>NC_000002.12:101732042-102035072 GCF_000001405.40 Homo sapiens
TTCTGCAAGTTTTTATGGTAACATGTATGTAAAACAACACTGAAGGAGTAGGGACGGATTTTAATATAATTTAGTATTATTTATAAACTCTGTGGGAGATGAAATGGGCTTAGAAAACCCACAGAAGTAGCTGGTGTGTAATTTACCATGGCCCTGGGGCTGAAGTAACCCATACAACCTTCCCTCATAAACTTTCCAGAATTTATTTAGGTTATGTTGATTTTATTCCTTTGAGAACTGATTACCCCTCAGGAGTGTAATCAAGATGGGCTTGTGTGGGGTGGGGCCAAAGGGAGAATGGCAGGCAACCATTCAGAGAAAGTGGTTTTACCATCTCGAGGTGAGTAATGTTTAAAGTTTTAGCTGCTGTGAAGTGGGATGCTATAAAATTCGGGGGAGTTTTCCTTCTACCCGGTTTCATTCCCCGCTCCCCTAGCCCCATGCAACTGCATTTCCCCTCTTCTGTGCTGAGGGAAAGAAAAGCTGCCTCTCCTTTCTTGGTTTTGTAGCATGGCTTCCAGTACCTGTTAGTCATCTCCTTGCTCCTTTTTTATTTTTTTTGAGACAGAGTCTTGCTCTGTTGCCAGGCTGGAGTGCAGTGCAGTGGCACCATCTCGGCTCACTGCAATCTCCGCCTCCTGAATTCAAGCTATCTCCTGCCTCAGCCTCCTGAGTAGCTGGGACTACAGGCTCACACCACCATGCCCAGCTAATTTTTGTATTTTTAGTAGAGACAGGGTTTCACCATGTTGGACAGGATGGTCTCGATCTCTTGACCTCGTGATCCGCCTGCCTCGGCCTCCCGAAGTGTTGGGATTACAGGCGTGAGCCACCGCATCCAGCCCTCCTTGCTCCCATTTTAAGTGCCGGTGGATTTGGAAAGATGGATATGTAGTCTCTGGGATCATTGTCTTTGATGTATTTAGAGCTTAGCAGCTGTCCTGTCAGCCCGAGCCCTGTGTCACTCGGCATCTCTGCCAATGTTACTACGTCCCAAGAAGCTTTTCAGGTGGCTTCCAGGTCTGTATTGGAAGCAATGACCTACCTGTGTTGTGAGATATCCCAGGAGCCAGCCTCTGTCACTCACAGGCTTCCAGATTGCTCTGCCCTGGCCTGGGGTCTCTGTCTGAAGTAGAGCATGAAAGCAGCCGGCCCCAACCCTGCAGGGTACACCTGAGCCTTTGACTCCGAGGAAGGAAATGGCGATGGGGGGATGCAGGGATGATGAGGAAAGGCCTCACTCTTTGAGTGTGTGATGAAAGGGAAAGGATGTCAGGAAGGCACTGAGCAAAAGGCTGTTACAGCTGACCTTGAGAGGTCAGCCAATCCATTAGCTGCATGGGGCCCAGAGAGGGTGAAGTTCTTTCATGAGATCATGCAGCAAGTTAGTGTCAAGTCTAGAATTAGAACTTGGGTGTCTTTGACCCTGACAGCGGGAGATGAGCAGTGGCCATTAGGTGTGATGGTGGTTGTAGGAGCAGCCACAGGCACTCTGAAATTGAAGGAGAAGAGAAGAGGCAGGGGAAGTGTAGCTGGTTGGCTTGTCAGCTCCCTGAGGCTCTCACCTTGTCACACCAAAGGGCAAAATGTATGGAGCGTGCATGGGACAGTAGAAAGAATGGAGGATTCAGGGCCAGACAAACCCATCAAGCCTTACTCTCAGAGGAACTGCTCTGTGTGCAGGTAGCCTCGTGTAGTGCCAGCCAGTGGTTCCCTTCTCCAGGGCTCTCTGGCTCCAGGGCAGCTGTTCTGTGAGAGGAGTGTCAGGTCCCGTTACAGGAAGAGCACAGATCAGGAGTCTGATGTTTCTGAGCCAGTTCTTTCACATACTAGCTGTGTGACCTTGAAAAAGTCAGCCTGCTGGAGCCTTTGTTCCCTGAACCACAGCCTGGCCACAGCAGTCCTGACCTCAGAGGTTAGGGGATGAAACTAGGGACCTATCACACTATGTGGCACCTGTGTATGTTTCATAAATTCGACCGAGCTTGGTGCTCCCCACACCCCCCAAGTGTCTGGTAATAATTCTTCATCTTTTTTCCCATTATTACTGACACTATTGATAGAAAATAAATCCCATGAGTGAGTTGATTGCTTATCCATTATACAGGGTATCATACTACAATTTCTTTAATAATAGAAAAGGTTAAAGTTTTGGAATTACTCTTACTTGAAAATCTGTACAGAGTTAAAATATTAAGGAAAATGTAAAATAATATAATAACTTGATAAAATGTGCACCTCCCCTCATTTTGTCTTTTACTGTGTAGAAGCTGATTATGTGTACAGAACTTACTATTATATTTAAAACAAAACTGAAAAGTCTCACAGATAAATCCAAGGCACATAATTATGTTATGACTGTTGTGCTGAGTGGTAATTTAGTATGGATATCAGGTAGTTTACTTAAAAGATTGTAATTATCCTTATTACACTGCAAGTCAAAGATTTTAAAATTTACATTCTTTCGTATCAGCAGATACATACCAGTTCAGCCATCATTAGTTTGTCAAAAGCTAGTGCTTGGTCGTTACCCATTTACCCGCGCACACAATCAGAGCCAATTCCTGCATATTGCTCTGTGAGAACTGGCCTGTCCTCTCCACACTCTAGCCTGTGCACCGCTTGGTGGCCAGTGGGCTGGTTGCTTTGTCTCTGTGAGCCAATCCTTTTTGCCTGCCTTCTGTTGCTTCTTCTTGAGAGAGAGATTGCGGCAGTAGAAATCCTGGGTCTGTGCTCTTGGCCTGCTGTTCAGGGAATAGCATGATCTCCATGCTGGCATTTGGCTGGAGCCTTAGCCTGGGGTGATTGTGGAGGAGAGAAGGCTCTTGGGAAAATGGACTCAGAAGTCCTCAGCATCTAAGACTCTTAGAACAGAATATTGCAGAGGCTAGGAGTCAAAGGGGCTAGGCCCAGTTAACTAACGTTTTGACTTGTTCATGAGCAGGGTGTTGTTCAGAAGACAATGAAAATGCACCAGACTGAAATTGTACTACCTCGCCTCTCACTGGTTAGAACTTAACATTTATTTGTCCAGCACGAAAGCCCTTTATTTTCCCTTGATTAAGAGGCTTAATATGCAAATGTACAGTGTAGTGACTGAGTTTCAGTGGTGGTATGAATGAGACCACTGTTACCATACCATGGCAAGGAGGATTTAGGCCAGAAAAGCAGGAAGGTTCTGGTGCTAGGGCAGAAAGGGGGTGTAGAAAGTATGTGGGGGCTTTCTTACAGGGGCAAATGGTCACCTACAGTAAACTTCTGACTAATCATTTTCACCAATGCTAGCCCTATTTATCTTCATCTCTGTACTAGACAGCTGGAAGTTGTCAGAGGGCCAAAGGTCTTTATTTCTTGGACAGTGTTTGAGCAGAAGTTTTCTTCTGTTCAATGCCCAATCAGGGTACCAAGTAGGGGCCACCTGCTTTATTTTTTTATTAGGGTTTCCTGGTAAGATCATATGAAAAAATCTGTAGGTTTTGGAGTAAACACCTCCCAGAATACTCTAAGTCACTCTTCTTAGTCATTTGTTGGGTGGCCAAGGTCAAGGCAAAAAGGTGGGCTGGGGCCTGCCCATGGGAGGCCGTCTTTGTCAAACCAAGGAATTCAGGCTTCAATCTGAAGCCTCAGGATGAAGAATTTGAAGCAGAAGAGGGAGACCACTCCAGTAATAGTAGGGTGGGTCCCATGGAACAGAATATGATTGAGTCAAGGAGACCAGTTTGGATGTTGTTGGATTAGGAGCTAGAAAAGAAAATAGAAATGGAAGTAGATAGAAGGGTATAAATGAGTTCTGGCTGACAGGTCAAATTGTGATGGGGACGCAGAAGTCTCAGAATGGCTTTGAATGGTTGCTGACAGATACTCTCAGGATGAATGATGTGAGTGATACTTTTCCACAGGGAAGAAGTCTGTTTCCTACAGCCTTCTATTTACTGATGGTGTTTTCCCTGTTAAACTTTCCAGATGCCTACTAGTTACAGGTGTTTTATTCCACCAGAAGCAAATTCACATCAAATATTTTGAATGTTAAAAATTGCAGAGCTGCTGGAGCTGCTGCTGCAGTCAGAATTGCTTCCCACTTGTTTTTACACAGTCCCCTGTGATAACCTCCATCCTAACTGGCCCCTACATCTGATCTGCTCCCTAACTTTCAGCTGTCCAAATCAGTTCGATCTGTCCAACAGTTCCCTTCCTTCAGTGGTTGCCCATTGCTGACAGTATAAAGACCAAGCTCTTTAATGCGACTCTAGGCCCACCTAATGCGTGGCCCTCCTTATTTCCTTGTTGCTGCCACACTGGCCTCTGCCATCCCCTGCTTCTTGCCCATCTCCTGCCTGCCAGGCACTTCTGTATGCCTCTCTCTGCCTTACCCAGCTGGGTCCTGGTCATGAATACAGGCATTTTTAGCACTGTGTCTCTTGCTGTCATAGCACTTGGCACAGTTGTGTTTTTACATTTGTTTGTGCCATCTTTGGTTAGTAATGGAGAGGGATCACTTGCTTATTGCAGCAGTGCCTGGCATGTAGCTGATCCTTATGTGTTTTGAGTATAATAACTCGTTCTATTGCTGACCCTCTGTCATTCAAAAATGTTATATTCAGTATATTTTTTTCTGATTGTCCTGTACAAGTAAGCCCCTTTGCAGTGTGCCCTTTAGGACCCTGTTCTAACTTTGTAACACCCCTCACTGCTTGTGAGTAATTGTTGATTCTTCCTGCCAGAATGTAAGTTCTGGGTTGCAGAGTTAGTGCTCCTGACACTTGGTACCTGGTGGATACTTAATAACGGTTTGTTGACTGAAAGAACAGTTTAGACAGTTGTCTATTAAATTTAAAGCAGTTAAAGCCCTGGCAGCACAAGTGTTCATCAATCTCCTTCCTCCCTCATTCCTTCCTTTCTCTCTTTGACAACTCATTTGTACTATCACAGTATTACATACTTGCTCTGTTATGAGCTGTCCATGTACAGGAAAAAGGGGCTATTGGGCAATCGGAGTTTTGATTATGAAAAGTTAGTCATTATGACAAAACCATGAAACACAGATGATAAACCTTCTAGTAAAATTTAATCTTTTGAAATTATTTGTCACCTGGGAGAGCTGCCATTCTGACACTTAGTGCTTTTTAAAATCAGTCAGGTGTGTATGTACTTCTGTTGGTCAGAGATGGTGAGTGGGTGTGTGGTTTCTGGGAGACCTGAAAATGGGGCCAGAGCTGTGGGTTTTCTGCAGCTCTAACAAGCTGCCACCCTTATTTTGGTGATGAGGCTTGTGCCCACTTTTTAATTTTTTGATTAAATTGTGCTGATTACATGGTTCCAAAGAACTTAGGGAATGCACAGTATTGCTCCAGATTACTTGTCAGTTAGGATTTACCTATTGTGAGATATATATATATATATATATATATATATATATATATTTTTTTTTTTTTTTTTTTTTTTTTTGCTGTTAGTCATTGTTGTCTCATTTGATGGATCAGAGTGTGAGATTGGGAAATGTTACGTATTAATATCAGGAAAAGAGACAGGCCTGGAGTAGGTCTGGAGGTAGGGCTGCTTAGTGTTTTATTAACCATGCTGATGAATGCACACATTCAAGATAATCTGTTCCCTTTCCATTCTCTGCCACTCCTTTTGAATTGCTCAAGGCTGGGATTCTATGTCTGGAACAGGTGACTCAGATGAAATAAAGTTTGAAAAGGAAAAAAACCCTGTCAATTTCTGGTTACTCATTATCATTCAGGGTCCAGATTCTGCCTTTTCTCTCTACTCTCTCCCCCCTCTTTCTCCCTCACTTAGGCTCCTGTCACCTTTAACTTTCTCACCACACTTTTTAAAAGTTGGCCAGGAATGAATGGAAATGGTGAGGAATGCCATGAATTAATATTTATTGATCCTCTGTTCTGTGGCAGGCTCTGGAAGTATTTTGAGATTCGGAGAGGTTACCTAACATGCTAGCATCATATGGCTTGTAGGTGGCAGGGCTGTGCTTGAATCCAAGATTGACTCAGGACCTATTTCTGGACCATGTTGCCTCCAGTGCTTTCTCATCCTGGTTGGACAGGGAGAAACTGTCTTAAAAGTCACCCGCTACATCCCCAAGAAGAGAAAGCCCCTTGTACTTTTTTTTCTTCTCTGAAGTCACAAAAATACATTCCTAGGTAAAGACTGGGATATTTCCAACACCAAAGAGTACCATATATGATTTCTGTCTTAGTCCATTGAACAAAAGAAGTTAGGTAAACAGCTTCTGATCAGAAACTGACTTGGATTCTTAATGAACATTAGGGCCAACCTGAGGGGTAAAACAGTTTTAGGCAGGATATGTTGAGAAAGAAAGGCCTTCAGTCAATACTAGAAGTAACTTACATGCAGATTTTTAAAAAAAGCAGTAGGATGCCTTTTTAAATTTTTTTAATATGGGGCAGTTGAAGTCAGTTTGGGTTGAACAGAATTGATAGTTACTGCCTTTGGGAGTCGATTTGTAGAGTGAAAGAAATCGACTTGTAGAGTGAAAGAAATAGAATAGTGATCTGCAGAAGGTTTTTTTTGGCCCAGTGATTTTTTAAAGACATCTTGCACCTGTCTTATTCTCTCACTATTCTCCTATGCTTTGGATTGCTGTAAGGACCTTGACTCAGGTGTTGCTTCCTTGAAGATCTGATGACCACTCTTTTCTTTTCTTGCCCTCTGCTTGCTTTCTGGGTTCCTGTCCTTGTGCTTATGCAGTTTAAGGGAAGTACAGTGGTGGAAAGATCACTGTCTGCCTGGCTGCCACCATATTGTTGGTGACCTTGGGAAAGAGACTGAACCCAAGAACCCATTTTTGTAGTTTCAAATTAGGGTTGATTGTAATAGTCCTATTTCATGAGGTGGTTGTGAGGATTAAATGAAACAGCATTCATAAAGTGACACATATATAATGGTGCAGTGAATACAGTTACTGCTGGCCGTCATTATTCCTTGGTACCTCTGGTAAGGCATTCGTTTTATTCTTTTTAGCATGGTTGTCTACTGTTACACATAATATCTAGAAGGTAGAATCTGTGACTTACGAATAGTACAGGGCATGGTAGGCAGGATAGGAGGCGAACCTGCTTAGTCCACAAGCGTCTTTGCAGTTGACTCAAATAAATCTGGCAGTCAACACAGTGCTTTTCTTTCTTGCACACATCTGATGTTCAGAAAACAAATCTTTAAATGTGGACAGTAGTTCCCAAAGGTGTTACTTCTGTTGCCTTCAGGTTACAGCATGGATGACCCAAAAGTAAAAACATTTATGAAGTCATCTTAGTGTATAAATGGAAACATTTATTTTCTTCATGGATAGGAGTCCTAAAGTCTTTTTTTTCCCTAAAATATCATTTAATTCTAAAGCTTCTATTTACTTTTCTTACAATTTAAGAAATACAGGCAGAGCATTACCTCTGTAATACTTGGTGTGCTGTGCTATGGGTTTTTAGTGGTTGTAATTTAAGTTCTCTGGAGGTTGTCAGCTACCTTCTCAGAAAAATCTGAGTGCTTAGTGCCTTATTGAACTAGGGCTTATTGGATATATTTACTTTTTGAATTCTATTGACTAAATAAAGAATTAAAAAACCCCTATCCTTAACTCTGAAAACTTGTTTCCTTTACAACTGGTAGATAGAAGAATTTCCAGTGAATCTTTAAATTCAACTCCAGAAATGAATTTAGAATTCACTTGGATTAGAGTTGTTAATTACCTCTTTGTTCAGCCAACATTATTTGAGTAGTCAGCTATAGAGGTATTAAGAGAACCAACCTTGGGACCATCAGAATGGCTTCTGTCTGTTAACCTATAAATGAGACGGACTTTATAAATCTTTTGTTAGTAGGGCAGTCACTCTCTCATCTCACCTTATGTCTGAGATTCTGGCCCTTCCTATGCTTTGGGGAGGTCCATTATTTTACACTAAAGGGAGGAAGGGTGATGGAGAATTGTTGACACGTTTGCTTTTGGACATGTTGACCACAGGTCATAGGCCCCAGGGATGCAGATGTTGAGTATCCTGGGAGGATGGAAAGTACTACTGAACCTTCAACACAACATCTGTCGCTTTCTTGGCTTCAAAGTTGCTTTATATCATCTTTTTTTTTTTTTTTTTTTTGAGACGGAGTCTCGCTCTGTCGCCCAGGCTGGAGTGCAGTGGCGGGATCTCGGCTCACTGCAAGCTCCGCCTCCCGGGTTCACGCTATTCTCCTGCCTCAGCCTCCCAAGTAGCTGGGACTACAGGCGCCCGCCACTACGCCCGGCTAATTTTTTGTATTTTTAGTAGAGACGGGGTTTCACCGTTTTTAGCCGGGATGGTCTCGATCTCCTGACCTCGTGATCCGCCCGCCTCGGCCTCCCAAAGTGCTGGGATTACAGGCGTGAGCCACCGCGCCCGGCCGCTTTATATCATCTTGATATTTTCCCCTCAATCATCATAATTTAAAGCCTGCATTGCTGTATTGTGCCTCTAATTTATTATATAAATCTGGAATCCTACACTAATAAGGTCATTTGCTGTTTCCAGTAGAATAAAAACTTGAAGCCATGCTTTTTGACCTTGATGTCTGCAGTAACTGTTCTTTTCAAGCTTGCTGAGAAGACAGAAAGCAATGTTGACTTTCAAGGGGGAAAATAAATATTTGAAGATAGGGTTTAGTTGTCTCAGTTTGCACTGTCAGCATAAGCAAAGACCTTCCCTTATTCGCTTTGAAAAAAAAACCTTATTTTTAGAGTAAGGGAAGGAAACATGTCTGTTGAGAAAACCTTGCTAAATTTTGTGGAAGTGCAAAATTCTCTCCTTAGTCCTCTCCTTTTCTGTAGCTAACAATAGTAACAGTGATTACAGTCAGCATTTGAATGTGTATGAGCCAGACCCTGAACTGTTTACCCTTAAAATACCTCCATTAGTTGTTACTCTCATTGCTACAAATGATGAGACTGAGGTTTAGAGAGGTTATTTATCACTTAAAGCCATAAAGAGTTAAAAAGTGGATCTGAGAATCAAATTCAACTTTGATGCTTGAGGACTCTTGGAGCACTACTGTATTATAAACTTTGAAATTTTGACCCTCTTTTGCTGTACATGGGGAAGTGTGGAGGGTAGTAGGTATTTTTTTTTTTTTTTTTTTTTGAGACAGAGTCTCGCTCTGTTGCCCAGGCTGGAGTGCAGTGGCGTGATCTTGGCTCACTGCAAGCTCCGCCTCCTGGGTTCACGCCATTCTCCTGCCTCAGCCTCCCGAGTAGCTGGGACTACAGGCGCCCGCCACCATGCCTGGCTAATTTTTTTGTATTTTTAGTAGAGACGGGGTTTCACCGTGTTAGCCAGGATGGTCTCAATCTCCTGACCTCGTGATCTGCCTGCCTCAGCCTCCCAAAGTGCTGGGATTACAGGCGTGAACCACCGCACCCGGCCAGTAGTAGGTGTTTTTCTTAAGGATATCGCAGACTCCATGTTAATGAAGAGGAGTTCCCTGCCCACTTGCTAAATTAGATCAAGGACATTTTACTCTACCCACCCCCGCTCCAGCCCCCAACCTTAATCTTTCAGTTTTAATTTCTAATGTGGTAAATATTGATATAATCCAGCTAAACATAAAGTTATTTGAAGTTTTCAATTTTCATGAGTGCAAAAAAGTCCTGAGGCTAAAAACTTTGAGGACGACTGGTTTAGTTTTTAAAACATAGGCTTTGGGCCAGCAGGCCCTGGGTTTGAGTCCCTTTTCTAGCATTTACCAGCTATGGGCCTTTGTGAAAGTTATTTTTCTGATTCTCAGTGTACTTATTTGAAAAATAAAAAAAATTGAAAAATTGGTTACACGGGGTTGTGAGAACTAAATAGTACATGCCAAGTGTTTCACTTCAGGCTGGGTGCTCTTAGGAATGCCACGCTGCTGTGCTAGATAGTGCGGCTGAAAGGTGAGTGTGTGTTTGTAGATGGTTTAGTGAGGGGTCTAAGTGAAGAGCACACCCTTTGTATCTCTTTGGTTGTGAAGAAGCTGTTGTCAAGAGCACAGGAGGGCTGTGTGACCTGGTTCCAGGGTCCCTGGGCTCTAGTGGGTCATCTGGGCTGGAGGAAGAATTGCAGAGGACCCTTCAGAGTCCCGCACTCTTGGGTTGGGCTCAGCCTGACTCAGGAGGCAGAGTGCTGTCCAGGAGAGAATCTGAGCGCTGAAATTTCCTTTGGAGGCTTCCCAGGCAGGTACAGGCAGGTTCTGACCTTGATTTCTTTAGGCAGACTGAGGAGGCAGCAAAGCTGTACTGAAAGCTCATTGGTAACCTACGGTGTGTCTTTTGTCTTCAGTGGCCTCTTAGGACTGGCGCTGTTTTCCTTAAGCCTTTAGAATAAATTGCCTCTTTCCTGCTCCTTGGCTTCCTGAGCCACGCTGCCTGTGTGCCCGCCCTTAGCTTGCTTCTCTCTCAGCCTCTTTTTGCCTGCCTGACTTCTCCCTCTAGGATGTTTACAATAAATGTGTGCCAGAGAGTGAAGCCCCTGTAACACAGTGTTAACTTCGGCTTGAGTAAAATGAGTGAGGACTAAAGCTAGCACTGCTTTCCCACTTCCTCTGGCCCCACTTTCTTTTTATGGAAAAAGTCCTCTCCCTGATTGTTTTTCAGCTGGAGGTCTTGCTCACAAGCCTTCTTTCTGCAGTAGTTTCATTGCAGGGTCAAGCAGGTAAAGGAGAGAGAATATTGACTACTTAGGATGACATATTACTCCTAACTGTATTTCCTGGAATGGGAGAAAGAAGAGTAATGAGTTATTAATATCTCCATAAATAGAGTAGCAATAACTAGCTCTACCTTTCTGCCTAAGCATGTCAGTTATAGTTTAGAAGTCTGAAAGAGCAAACCCATGGCTTTTCAGATTTTAAATTCTAAAGGGAGAGGCTTTTTATCAGGCCCACGTCCTGCTCTTTTTGAAAGAGGTTTTATTTACTTTAAATAAATTACTAAAATTATAAATCTGTTTATATTCAGTTCTAACTTGTCTTCAAGTTTTCTGCTTGGGAAGACTGGTGAGACTGGAGCAAGATGAACTCAGTTTTCCCCATGAAAGATTGTTAGGGATGTGTGAGCAGAAGGTAGGTTAACCACATGTTAACATACCTTGGGGAGTGTGGCAAGGTGGCTGCCTTAATTTTCAGGGCAACTCAGATGCTTCCGTCTATCTGACCTGAGCATGAGCAGATAGATGTTGATTAATGCTCTTTTGCCTTGTTTTTTGGCTTTTTTGGGGGGTTTACATTTGGTAAGCAATATTTCTAACACAGTGAAAGTAACAAAACGACAGAGTTCTCTGTAACAGAACTGTGACCCTAGACTCAATAATAAGGAAGAGCGTTGATTTGACCGTTCATTTTTGGATCCAGTGTTTGTTAAGGCCCTGACTGTCAGTAACAGCCATCCTTTTCAGTTAGTGTGTTGTCTGTTCCCTATTCATGTGACAGGGCCTTGTTGAGCTTTTCATGGGCACTTGCCTTTCACTGACAGGATGCTGTTGTCCTTTATTTCCATTCTGCCCTCCCCACTTCAGACATGATAACATGTTTACTAGGGGGAAAATACCTCTACATTTTAAACCACTCCCAGGAGCAGATAACACTTTCTTTTTTTCTTTTTTGAGATGGAGTCTTGCTCTGTCACCCAGGCTGGAGTGCAGTGGCATGATCTTAGGTCACTGCAACCTCTTCCTTCCAGGTTCAAGCAATTCTCCTGCCTCAGCCTCCTGAATAGCTGGGACTACAGCCACGCACCACCACACCTGGCTAATTTTTGTATTTGTAGTAGAGACAGAGTTTCACCTTGTTGGCCAGGCTGGTCTCAAACTCCTGACCTCAGGTGATCCGCCCTCCTTGGTCTCCCAAAGTGCTGTGATTACAGGTGTGAGCCACCATGCCCAGCCCAGATAATACTTTCAAGAAGAAAAATGTGATAAAGGTAGGACTGCCTGTTTTCTTAAGTTGTTTCTAGCACCTCTCTTTACTCTCTATGGCGATGAGGAATCTGGCTGTTAAAGACTGAGTGGAAGATTAGCGTGAAACTTGTCTTAGGCTTGTAAAACAAAATGTCAGGGAAGTCTTCAAGCCTCCAGAGCAGCACTGCCCACTAGAACTGACGTGAGCCACAGAGAGACTTTTCCAGTGTATGCATAAAAACCTAAAAAGAGAGGCGAAATTAATTTTAAGAGTAGATTTTATTTAACCTATTTTAGCCATACTGCTATCACTTCAACACATCATTTAACAAATACATTAATTAGGCAATTTACATTCTTTGTTGAAATGCAGTGTGTAGTATACGTTTACAGCACATCTCAGTTGAGACCCATCATTGTCCAAGTGCCCACTAGCCACATGTGGCTTAATGGCTCTCGAAGTCCGACAGAGCAGATTAAGAGACATTGCTTGCTCTTTTTACTACTTAATGAACTTTAGTTTTCTTTTTTTCTGGTTACTGAATTCTAGATGTTAGATTTGTAGAGCCTACCTTTTGACCAGCACAAGAGAGGCCTGAGCCAGTCTGTGGTCTTCTCCTTGGGTTGGGGGGTGTGTGAGGAGTGGATGGGGCCAGCGTACCTCACTGGCAGGTCCTAGGCGAGTTGGGCTTTACCTTCTCTCCAAGAGACCTGCCAGCCTCTTCCCTCGCTTGAAGACACCAGGGGTGCAGAAGGCATTTTCTGGCCAACTGTTCTTTGCTGATCTGTTCATCCTAAGAACAAAATTGAGTGGCTTAAAACAAAATGTAGCTAGCCTATAGTTCCAAACCTTTAAAGCCTCTGTTATTTAATAAAGGCTGGAAATGAGTTATTCTGAATAGCCAGAGTTTCTCAGAGAGCAACTCTTTAAGCACCAGGAGTTTAGTAACTTTCATGGTGGGAAGAGTTCTAAGTGTTGAAGGTACTTTTGTCATCTATATGGGGTGGAAATTTTAATTTCACTTTGTTGATGGTGCAGCATCACCTTTTTAGTATGCTGCTTCACTTACTGGATGAGTAGCTAGTGTAGCAGATTTAAAAGTGTGAGATCAAAAGCTGAATATAGATAGAATGATGACGTTGGGACTTGATTTTTTGACAAGTATTTGATGGTGTGTTTCTTTGGTGTATTTGATGGTGTGTTTCTTTGGTTTATTTGCATCTTTTTCAAAGGTGAAATAGAGCATATGTAGCCATAAAGGTGTGTGGTTCTAGATTAATTTTCACAAGCTTTCTTCTGTAAAATTTCATATTATAAAATAAATTGAATCAGAAATATGGAAAAAAGTGAAAATATCACCCCCCCCCCCCCAATACTGCTGTCCTCCCTCCTCCCAAATAATACTGTTTAAGCATAGTGTCTGGTCTCTGGTGATTTCCTACATACAATTCAAGATTTGCCCCCAGGTAAAAAAAAAAAAAAAAAAAAGTATTAGAATCTACATCTTCTGATTATAAGTCCTAAATTTCTATATTTTATATAGCTACCTTTGGGCCATGAGTTCTAAGCTTTTTCTTATTGTATGTGTAACTCTGATATGTCCAAATTTGAAATGCCACGGTCATACTTACCTGCACACTTTTGGGGGCCCATTTAGAGCATTGAGTCTGAAGCGCCTTCTATTTATTAGCATAGAATGTATGCAAACAGCCATCCATAAGCCGTTAAGTGCCTAGCTGAATATCAGGGTTTAAAGATGTGGTTAAAACTGCTTGTCTGGTTGTGCATTACTAAATTATTTCTGGATCCACTAGCTTGTAAAACACTGCCCTAGAATGTAAATAAACCCCTTACAAAGTTTGTTGCCTACTTTTTTTTTTTTTTCCTTTGAGTGAGTCTGCTACTGAGCTTCTTACTTGTATTGGCCCCCATTTGGTTCTCTGCCGTGGTTGATATCTGTCAGTCTACACTCAGATCAAATTATTTGAAATCCTGTTTCCTTTGTGTGTGTGTGTGTGTGTGTGTGTGTGTGTGTGTTTTAAATAAGTTTCACTTTGTCACACAAGCTGGAATACAGTGATGTGATCATAACTCACTGCAGCCTTGAACTCCAGGGCTCAAGTGATCTCCCACTTCACCCTCCTGGGTAGTTGGGACCGCAGGTGCATACCACCACACCCAGCTAATTTTTACTTTTAGTAGAGACACGCTCTTGTTGTGTTGCCCAAGCTGGTCTTCAACTCCTGGGCTCAAGTGATCCTCAGTCTTAGCCTCCCAAAGCACTGTGATTGCAAGTGTGAGCCACTGTGCCTGGCCCTGATTTTTTTTTTTTTTTTTAATGTAAGTATATACTGATTTTTAAATTTTGGTATGGTGAATAAACATGGTTTTTATTGGCTTAGGGCACCTGTTACTGAGAAACTTAATTTTTTCATGTTTTGTAAGTTTAATAAATGGCTTTTTTTGTGCTGGATTTGGATTTGTTGTTCTGCCATGGTAATACATATTATATTCAGGAGAACTGACTACCTCTCACAGCTGAGTCACAGACAGGAAGCTGACTCTCCATGTTGTCCTCTAGCATTTTAATTTTGTGGGATTACTTTTCTTATTGTAGAATGAGACCTTGCTATAAAAATGTTGTCTTTGGGATCTTGCACATTTTTGGACTGTGTGTTTAACTGTAAATATTGATTTAAGGAGATTTTAAGCTCACGTTAAAACTAAATTACATTTCGCTTCTGAGAAAAGCCCTTTGGGAAAAAAGATTTTTAGGCCAAATGTGGAGCTGTTTCCTTAAGTTTGTTTTTTTTTCCTCCCTTGACTTAGGTAGGTAGGTTTTGTCTTCGCCGCCCCTTCCCTCAACAAGTTCTTTATAGAAACCTGTGATTTCTAGCCCAGTGTATATTGTTGCTTAAACATATAGAATATTGAGGAACCCAAGTTTTACTGGTAGGGTTCTTAATAACTGCCTTAGGTAGACAAAACATTTTGCCCTTGTGTCCCCCTACTCTTTCGCTCAGATGCAGGTTGAGGTTGGCATCCTGACATCCTGAGGGTAGAGTGGACTATGAGAGTTTAGGACAAGACCAGGAGAGACATCTAAGGGCTTCTCCTGTGACTGCTTTTGTGTCCATATTCTTTTTTTTTGTTTGTTTTGTTTTTTGAGATGGAGTCTCACTCTGTTGCCCAGGCTGGAGTGCAGTGGTGCGATTTTGGCTCAGCGCAACCTCCGCCTCCTGGGTTCATGCGATCCTCCTGCCTCAGCCTCTTGAGTGGCTGGGATTATAGGCACCTGATACCAGGCCCGGCTAATTTTTGTATTTTTAATAGAGACGGGGTTTCACCATGTTGGCCAGGCTGGTGTTGAACTCCTGACCTCAGGTGGTAGGCCCGCCTAGGCCTCCAAAGTGCTGGGATTACATGCGTGAGTCACCATGCCCGGCCTTGTGTCCGTATTCTTAGTCAAGAATGGTGTATATTTCTTTTAGGTTTGGGAAGGGGAGAGTGATGTATCTGGTCCCCATAGCAGGGGTAGGAATTTTCAAGGGTGGAGTAATTAAAGACTGCTTTAAAGGAACAGATATTCCCACCTTCTAATTAGAGAAGATCTGCACTGCAAGTGACCACAAATTAAAACAGCTCAGTGGGGACAGAAGATTGGATGTCATGTCCCAACAGCCTTATTTATCTCTTTTTCCTTCCAAGGTTTTTTTCCCTGCCCCCCCTTCTTAGCTTTGGATAGAGATTAGAAAAGCTCTCTGAGGAAAAAATTAACCAGCAAACAAACAAAACAGATCCCAAATATCATTTTAATACTATGTCTAGTTTGGTCCAAGAAATAGGCTTGGTTAATCTTTACAGCAGCCTTTGAAAATGAATGGAAATACTAAGGAGGTAAACTGCTTATACTTTTTGGCACCTCTTCTGCTTCCAGTGAAGAAATGCTCTGTAGGTGCTTGAGGAACTGGTGTCGTGATGAATGTCACCATCAAAAGTGAAGGGTCGAGCTCTTTTTTTCTGATAAGCAAAATGACTTTTAATGTCTGTAGCACATTGATGTGCTATATCAGTTGTATACATTGTAGTCTGTTTTCTATATCCTCTTATTCAGAGGAGTAGCCACAACTCCAGTCTCTGGTGTAAAACAGCATGTTAGTATTTCATAGAATTTTTGAGAGAATGTTGGCTGGCTCTGTTTGTAAATACTGTACCTTGCTTTTTGGCTTCTGAAGAATAGTCTAAAGTTTACCGAGTGAAGCTGATTAAGCAAGGAAGCACCCTAAATAGATTTCCATTTGCACATCTTCAAAAAAGTGTGTGTGGGTATGTGCCTCTGTGTATATGGAAGTAACAAATGCTTCTGGTATTTGCCTTTTAAAAGCAAGAAAACAAAACAAAACAACAGCTTCTACTGTTCTGCTTTGGGAAAGCAGGATTTTCTGTCAGATGACAAATTTATTGAAGAACTTTCATGCGTCCATGTAATTTCTATTTCCCATTTCTTGACTCTGAATTTGGAATACAACAAGACTGCTTTCAGAAATAAGGAATGAGGCCAGGTGCGTTGTCTGTCATCTGTAATCCCAGCACTTTGGGAGGCTGAGGTGGATGGATCTCTTGAGCCCAGGAGTTCGAGACTAGCGTGAGTGACATGGCAAAACCCCATCTCTACAAAAATACAAAAGTTAGCTAGGACAAGAGAAGGAAATAAAGGGTATTCAGTTAGGAAAAGAGGAAGTCAAATTGTCCCTGTTTGCAGATGACATGATTGTATATCTAGAAAACCCCGTTGTCTCAGCCCAAAATCTCCTTAAGCTGATAAGCAACTTCAGCAAAGTCTCAGGATACAAAATCAATGTACAAAAATCACAAGCATTCTTATACACCAACAACAGACAAACAGAGAGCCAAATCATGAGTGAACTCCCATTCACAATTGCTTCAAAGAGAATAAAATACCTAGGAATCCAACTTACAAGGGATGTGAAGGACCTCTTCAAGGAGAACTACAAACCACTGCTCAAGGAAATAAAAGAGGATACAAACAAATGGAAGAACATTCCATGCTCATGGGTAGGAAGAATCAATATCATGAAAATGGCCATACTGCCCAAGGTAATTTACAGATTCAATGCCATCCCCATCAAGCTACCAATGCCTTTCTTCACAGAATTGGAAAAAACTACTTTAAAGTTCATATGGAACCAAAAAAGAGCCTGCATTGCCAAGTCAATCCTAAGCCAAAAGAACAAAGCTGGAGGCATCACGCTACCTGACTTCAAACTGTACTACAAGGCTACAGTAACCAAAACAGCATGGTACTGGTACCAAAACAGAGATATAGATCAATGGAACAGAACAGAGCCCTCAGAAATAACGCTGCATATCTACAACCATCTGATCTTTGACAAACCTGAGAAAAACAAGCAATGGGGAAAGGATTCCCTATTTAATAAATGGTGCTGGGAAAACTGGCTAGCCATATGTAGAAAGCTGAAACTGGATCCCTTCCTTACACCTTACACAAAAATCAATTCAAGATGGATTAAAGACTTAAACGTTAGACCTAAAACCATAAAAACCCTAGAAGAAAACCTAGGCATTACCATTCAGGACATAGGCATGGGCAAGGACTTCATGTCTAAAACACCAAAAGCAATGGCAACAAAAGCCAAAATTGACAAATGGGATCTAATTAAACTAAAGAGCTTCTGCACAGCAAAAGAAACTACTATCAGAGTGAACAGGCAACCTACAAAATGGGAGAAAATTTTCGCAACCTACTCATCTGACAAAGGGCTAATATCCAGAATCTACAATGAACTCAAACAAATTTACAAGAAAAAAACAAACAACCCCATCAAAAAGTGGGCGAAGGACATGAACAGACACTTCTCAAAAGAGGACATTTATGCAGCCAAAAAACAAATGAAAAATGCTCATCATCACTGGCCATCAGAGAAATGCAAATCAAAACCACAATGAGATACCATCTCACACCAGTTAGAATGGCAATCATTAAAAAGTCTGGAAACAACAGGTGCTGGAGAGGATGTGGAGAAATAGGAACACTTTTACACTGTTGGTGGGACTGTAAATTAGTTCAACCATTGTGGAAGTCAGTGTGGCGATTCCTCAGGGATCTAGAACTAGAAATACCATTTGACCCAGCCATCCCATTACTGGGTATATACCCAATGGACTATAAATCATGCTGCTATAAAGACACATGCACACATATGTTTATTGCGGCATTATTCACAATAGCAAAGACTTGGAACCAACCCAAATGTCCAACAATGATAGACTGGATTAAGAAAATGTGGCACATATACACCATGGAATACTATGCAGCCATAAAAAATGATGAGTTCATGTCCTTTGTAGGGACATGGATGAAATTGGAAATCATCATTCTCAGTAAACTATCGCAAGAACAAAAAACCAAACACCGCATATTCTCACTCATAGGTGGGAATAGAACAATGAGATCACATGGACACAGGAAGGGGACTATCACACTCTGGGGACTGTGGTGGGGTTGGGGGAGGGGGGAGGGATAGCATTGGGAGATATACCTAATGCTAGATGACGAGTTAGTGGGTGCAGCGCACCAACATGGAACATGTATACATATGTAACTAACCTGCACAATGTGCACATGTACCCTAAAACTTAAAGTATATATATAAAAAAAAAAAGTTAGCCAGGCGTGGTGGTGCAGGCCTGTAATCCTAGCTACTCAGGAGGCTGAGATGGGAGAATTGCCTGAGCCTGGGAGGTGGAGGTTGTAATGAGCCAAGATTGCACCACTTGCACTCCAGCCTGGGTGACAGAGTAAGACCCTGTCTAAAAAAAAAAAAAAGAAGGAACAAAGAGACATACCTAGGATCAGCAGGATGATCTCACAGAGGAATGGGGGGTCATCAAGATTGTGTATTCAGATAATGTTTGCTTCTGCTGTAAGTCCTCTACCTTTTTATCTTTTCACTTCCTTCTGTTTTGAATTTGGGGACCAGTCCAGGCTCCACAGCCTGGGCACAACACTGATACCTGCCACTGGGAAGGGACGTAACCTTTCTTGTTTCGTTGGGGGGTGTATGTGCCGCTTCCATCCCTCTGTTGGTGTGTTGGAAAGTATGATGGGGTTTTAATAACAGCTTTTCAGCTATGCATTGGCATTTTTGTAAAGAATTCAGTGTTCAACAGTTGTACATACACACATTCTTATCAGGTGAAGAAGCATGAAGTTAACTAAAAGGAAAGGAGAAAACACACTGAAGAAACTGGTAAACGTTCGGTGGAACATATTCACTAGGATACCGCCTTTGTAGAAATGATCTTTCTCCTCCCCTTTTACTTTTATACAACAGAGAGGCAGAATACTCTGCCATGAGACTGATCCTCTCCTGCTTCCCAGTGCTGCTTTCAAGTCCCAGCTTGTGGTTGGGAACACAATAGCTTAACCCCTGGAGTCTCAATGTCTCATCTGTAAAATGGGACTCAGACAAAAGGCCAGAGGGGGTGAAACTTTAAGGTGCCTTTCTTCATTCAGCACATTATTGGGTACATACTGAATACTAGGCACTGCTGTTTCCATGTATTTAAAATGGAAAGAAATGCATGGCCTCTGCCTGACCTCATGGAGCAGAGAGAGAAGACAGGCATTAAGCAGACAACTCCTAAATCAGTGGTTACATGACATGTAAGTTAAGGAACTGTTAGGAGGTGCTGAAACTAAACTGGCTTTCATTTAAAACCAGGTGAGTTGGTAGGGGCTCGACTACAGACACCTGTAGGTAGGGTAGACTGGGCATTCTATCTGCCTTCAAGGTATGAATCTTCGCTGTGGTCTGGACAGTGTGTCCCATTTACGTATACACTGGCATTGCTTTCTTTTATACTGTTTTGTTTCAGTTTGGTCCCAAAGGAGCCAGCACAGTGTTCATCATTCATGGGGAGGTGTCAGCTGTCATTCTACTGTTTCCTTATCAATGTTTTACATTTTGGTTTTGAGCATTCTGATCCTCATAGAGCAGGTGACCTCTGTGTTTGTAGGGTGAGCCATGTGAACGTCCTCTGGGGCTGGTGGGGGAGAGCAGTGCTTTCCAAAGCTTAACGGTGTTTCAGTTCCCTATTTGTTTTTTGTTATCTTTTTCTTCTGAACCTCCCTGTTTTTCCAGGGTTGTAAAGTGGATTAAAACTAATTTTATATTGAAATGGAAACTTTTATAACATGCCCAAGGGTAAATGAAGTCACAACAAGGTAGTGAATGAAAGATTTCTTGAAAGTTGATGAAAATAAAGTAGCATGGGAATCACACTTGGTCATACAGTTTTAAATTCCTCAGGTTGTATTCACAGTGCACCAGCTTGTCTCTTACGGAGTGCTTAGTTTCTCAGCAGTTCATATTCTTGTATGAAGGGTGGCATTATCTCAATAGAATTGGTTCATTCTTAGCTCAGGAGAAAATGCCACTGCTTATATCCATCTGCATTTTCTCATATCCTTATTCATATAGTGCCTAGCCTATTTTCTGCCAATCATAGCTAAGCTCACCCTGTGTACCAGAAGTCACATAGTACTGGGAAGTTCCAGGGTAAAGGAGGGAAAGAAAGAGGATGACATTGATGGTGCACTCAGCTGGGCACTGTGCTAGTGCTTTCACCTATGAGGATGAATTTGAGGTAATGCTATTCCCATTTAGCTGAAGAAAAAACCGAAGGCTTAGCAAGGTTAATTTACCTGTCTGTGGTCATAAATTGGAGGTACTGAGTTAGAATCCAAGCTTATTCCATAAAACTGCACCAGGAGTTTTACTGGCCGTGTCCACATTCCACATCATTATTGCTACTGGCCACTGTCCACGTCTGTGTATGAAACCGTGTCAGGCTCAGGAGACCTGTTTCTGTTTCTACTGGTGCCAGGCTCCGACTGTAGGGAGCATTGGCAGTTCACGCAGATAGTCATGGCATTCAAGGCAAAAGCAGACTGCAGGACAATGCCAGTTCTGTGTTTATTGCACAGTAAATGATGACAGTAACAATAGCCAGCATTTATTGTGTGTTTTATTCACTCCAGGAGTTGTGGAGCATACTTGTACATGCAATATCTCATTTAATCTCTCAAATTAATGCTATAAAGCAGGCACTGTTTTTATTTCCATTTTTTAGATGATGAAACTGAAGCTTAGAGGTATTTGTGCAGTTTGCCTGATGTATAGGTACAGAGCTACTAAGTAGCAGAGCTGTGATTTGACTTCCTTGCCAAGCTTAAATGCCTCCCCAGATTTGCCTTTGATTTAAAGAGTTAATCAGTTTCTACAGCTCACCCTCCCCACCTGCCCTTTTCCCTTGCCTACCCCATAACATGCATTTTCAAAGAAAATCTTTGTTTGAAATAGTTTTTGAAATGTGCCTTTGGCATTTTGAACATAAACATTCTCATTGTGCTGCTTGCAGGCAAGAGGCTGTGGAAATGCATTCCCTGGAGGATTTAGCAAAATAGGGTAGATATCCATCTTTTTTTGTTGAGGTTCTGGACTCTGAAAAATCAAGTCAGTGGCATTCTAAGATCTCATCTAGCTATGATTTATGAAACACAGTGAGATATGGATTTCAGCAAGTATGGGAACCACTTTTAGCATTTTATGAATTACCTTTCAGACATTTTTGTCCGCAAGTATACAGTTTTTTTTTTTTTTCCTTAGCCCAGCAAAAACCTTTCCAGGCTTTAGTCTGGAAGACAGTCTGTTTGTCTCAAGGAGTGTTCATTATAGAAACTACCAAGGGATTTTGGTGACTGTTTTGGATTTAACCAGTAATGCACTTTTAGGAAAGTACCTCAGTCTTTGGTGGCTTGAAGAGTTAAACTACCTTGGTGTAAATGGCTCTTTCAGGTTGACTGTCTCTGTGGGGTTTGCAGGAACCACTAAAGTTCAACACCCACCATGGCCCTTGTCCAGAAGGGTGGACAGCTAGCGCCTGGGGTCTTTATTATTAGTAGTGGCTATTTCCAGTTAAAGGAAGAGAAGGGGATGATTGACAAGCCGAATATGGCATTTGGTTTTCTTTCTTTCTGTTAACTGCAAAGGCTCAATCAAATAATGACATTGCTTTTGTTTTTCAGTGTTAGACACTAGTTAATATTAATCTAGCCCTGTCTGCATCTTATATTATATGTGAATGTGAAATGCCTTCAAGGGGAGAGATAATCTGCAGGTCATCTCTTACTAGTCAGTATGTTTTCATGTCTTCATAGTGCCACCCGATTCTGCCAACTCTGGGAAATCACTTTCAAGGTATGGATTATGACATCATTCTATTCACGGTATATTAGAGGCTTTGAGTTGGGAAGCTTTTTTGCTGTTTTTTTTTTTTTTTTTTTTTTTTTTGAGAGATGGAATCTTGCTCTGTCACCCAGGCTGGAGTGCAGTGGCGTGATCTCAGCTCACTGCAATCTCCACCTCCTGAGTTCAAGCAAATCTCCTGCCTCAGTTTCCCAGGTAGCTGGGACTACAGGTGTGTACCACCGTGCCCAGCTGATTTTTGTATTTTTAGTAGAGACAGGATATCACTATATGTTGGCCAGGCTGGTCTTGAACTCATGACCTTAGGTGATCTGCCTGCCTTGGCCTCCCAAAGTGCTGGGATTACAGGCATGAGCCACCACGTCCAGCCTAGTTGGAAGGCATTGTTGATGTAAGTTTTCATCAAGCAGAGTTAATTCAAACACAGCCTTGGGAATATGCCCAGAGAATGTAAGGTGGCTTACTGGCTGTCAATAAAAGAAATGCCAACTCCTCAGTCCTCAGCAGCTCCATGTTGGAGCGAGAAAGGCTTTTTTTGCTTTATGAGTTGTTAGGAGAGAAAGCCCTGGAATGGAAGGCAGGCAAGTGTGAAGATGAGGGGAAGGAAGGAGTCCAGAATATTGTTAGTCATGGCCACAAAAACCCAGTGAGTTGTATGAGGTCTCACAATGGTGAAGTAACATGATATGATGAAATGTAAATATTTGTTTTTATTTATTTATGCCTTGCTCCAGAAATAATTTAAGGTCTATATGGGCAGCTGCTTCATTTATATTAGCTAGGAAAAGTTATAGGAATTCACTTTGTTTGCTAGATTTGGTAATCACTAATGACTGAGAATGACAGTGTTTGTCAAATACTTAAAAAAAAAATTAGTTTGTTGTTTTGATGCCCCCTCCTCGCTTTTTTTTTTTTCTTTCTTCCCTTGAAAGCAGAGTGAAAAATTTTTGTATTCTGGGCTAAAATTCTTAAAGGTTTTCTTGTGGACTTCCTAGTAAAGGCCCTTTGTCTGTTATGCAGAGTCCGAATTCACATGACCACTGCTGGGGAATAAATAACTGCTTAAATACAGCAAAGGAAAAGGCTGGCTGGTCTTCTTGCTCCTTTCATACTTGTTTATTTCCCACCCCGAGTTCCTGACCCCAAGAGAAACTCTTGTGGAAGAAAAAAGCTTTACTGAAATTGGTGGGCGGCCTGAGACAACTGTTGAAGGAACAGAAACTCCAGAAAGTGATACTCTGAGTATCATCTTACATCTTTATGTCTGACAGATGAAAAGTTTTTGGTCTCTTTATGTCTGTCTGTCTGTCCCTCTCTCCTCCCTGCTAGCTGCACACTCTTTTCTTCTTCTTTCTTTATTTTTGCATTAATCCGCTCTCCCTCTGTTCCTCATCTGCCTCTTAAGTTTCTCCATTTAACAGAGTAGATTGTTGTGAACTCGAAATCAATAGCTGATTTAGGCCTACCCCTTGCCTTGTTACATGGACTTGTCTTGGACAGAGTACTTTGTGCAAACAGGTACTTGTATTTACTGCCTGTCTTTTCTTTCACTAGGTGACGTTAGTAGGTGCACATCTGTCTATAGTAGCTGTTACTGTGTTTTGATGCATGCGGGGAAACTTTATTTATAGTATGAGTTCTTTTTCTTTTTTTTTTTTTTTTTTTTTTTTTTTTTGAGACAGCGTCTTGCCCTGTCGCCCAGGCTGGAGTGCAGTGGTGCGATGTCGGCTCACTGCAAGCTCCGCCTCCCAGGTTTACACCATTCTCCCGCCTCAGCCTCCTGAGTAGATGGGACTGCAGGCAACCGCCACCACGTCTGGCTAATTTAGTTTTTGTATTTTTAGTAGAGATGGGGTTTTACTGTGCTAGCCAGGATGGTCTGGATCTCCTGACCTCGTGATCCGCCTGCCTCGGCCTCCCAAAGTGCTGGGATTAACAGGCGTGAGCCACTGTGCCCGGCTGACACCTTGATCTTAATGAAGTCATAGGATCCAAGTGCTGCTGTCAGACCCTCCTGCAAAATTTTACTGTGGGTGCTAATACAAATTGAATTAAGCCAAGAGGGAATCTGGAAGCTGAGTAGATGCCATCTACTCCAGCCCGTTTCCTATTTTGCAGCTAGGACTATCAGTGCCTGCTCGGTAGTAGTTGAAAAATACTGTTGACATATTATGGAAGGTCAGAGGTGCATACAGGTCATTAGTGACAGGACTGGAATCTGACCTGTGTCCTCTGGGGTCTGGTTCATCTTTACTACAGGTATGTCTTTTCTGTTGTTGTTTCTTATTTTTGAGACAGCTTCACTTTGTTGCTTATGCTGGAGTGCTGTGGCTTGATCACAGCTCGCTACAGCTTGGACCTCCTGGGTTCAGGTGATCCTCCCACCTCAGCTTCCTGAGTAGCTGGGACTGCAGGCGCGCATCACCATGCCCAGCTAATTTTTGTATTTTTTTTTTTTTTTTTTGTAGAAACAGGGTCTCAACATGTTGTCCAGGGTGGTCATGAACTCCTGGGCTCAAGTGATCTGCCTGGCTCAGCCTCCCAAAGTGCTAGGATTATAGGCGTGAGCTGCTGCACCAAGCCATTACAGGGGTATTTTATTAGCAAAATGACCTCCATCACTTATAAATAAATTACTCTGCTATGAAAAGGTTTCACCTGAGTATTTATTGGGAGTTGTGTTTGGGAAAGATCTTTAACACCGTTATTGATTCTTCATTTAACTTCATGCAGAGCACAGTGGTACAGGGTTTGTTGGACTTCTAAGGTCTCATTCACCTCTTGAGATGGCTTCACAACTATCTGTGTGTACCTTTGGAGTAAGGGATAAGAAGGAGGGGGATGTCTTTCATGTGGGAGGCTTGGGGCATAAAGAGCCTTGGGACTTTGTTTTATACAATTACAATGTCATCAGAAACTCATTGAAATAATTATAGTTTGACAGATGCTTTTTGGAATAATGATATGTTAATACTTTTATGTAATTCTCTGTTAGTAATTCCAGATTACTTGTTACAGGTTTTAGAAATAGCATATATAATCTGTATTTCTGCATTTATCTCTTTTTCTACAAAATTTGAGAACACCTTCCTAGCAAATCATTGGTAAATACTATAAGTGAATAGACTAGATCTACAGAAAACCAGTCAAATCTGTAGCTCACAAATGGTAGAAGTCAAGACCTGAACCCAGATCACATTTTAAAAAATAAATCAGATATACAGTAATAATGACAGATTACTTAATACAGACTCAATAGATACATAAAATTTTAAAAATAACACAGTCCCCCCTTATCCACGGGGGATACATTCCAAGACCCCCAGTGGATGCCTGAAACTGAGGATAGTACTGAACCCCATGGTTTTCCTATACATACATAGCTAAAATTTAATTTGTAAGTTAGGCACAGTAAGAGATTAACAACAAAAGCTAATAATAAAATACAAAAATAGGCTGGATGTGGTGGCTCACGCCTGTAATGCCAGCACTTTGGGAGGCCGAGGCGAGTGGATCGCTTGGGGCCAGGAGTTCAAGACCAACCTGACCAACATGGTGAAATCCCGTCTCTACTAAAAATAGAAAAAATTATTTTTACAGGCGTGGTGGTACACGCCTGTAATCCCAGCTACTTGAGAGGCTGAGGCACAAGAATAGCTTGAACCTGGGAGATGGAGGTTGCAGTGAGGCGAGATTGCACCACTGCACTCCAGCCTGAGTGACAAGAGAGACTCCATCTCAAAAAACAAACAAACAAAAGCAATAACAATACATTGTAAGAAAAGTTATGTGAATATGGGCTCTCTCAAAATATCTTACTGTATATAATACTTTTAGACTGTGGTTGACTGTGCATAACTGAAACCATGGAAAATGAAACCTCGGGTAATGGGGGTACTACTGTTGTCTGTCTTATAGTAATGAACATAGTCACAGAACCCTCTATTCTTGGAAGATGACAGAGCAAAAGTATCTGAAATTTGTGGTTACAGTAGCTGTTTTACATTTTTTATGTGAGAAGAGATGCTACAGAAGGATTTAAGGACACATCGTGAGCGTTGTGTTACTCTCTGTTTGGCAGTATAGTATAGTTCACCTTTGAACAACATGGATTTGAACTGTGTGGGTCCACTTAGATATACTCGGATGTTTTTCAGCCAAATGCATATTGAAAATATATGCAGGATGTGAAACCTGTGTATAAGGAGGAGCAGTTTTTCCTATAGGCAAGTTCCACAGAGCATCTGTGGGAATTGACTAAGTGCGGATTTGGTTATACTTGGGGGTCTTGGAACCATTCCCCAGAGTCTACCGAGGGAGGACTGTGTATGAAATTTAGGCTTCCCAGCTGTGTCCTTTGATAACCATAACCCTGACTGATCCCGTAGCTTTCCTTTTAGGAGGAACTACGTGGTCTAAAGAAAGGAAAGAAAATATGAGAAATTTGGCAAAGGTCAGGAATATAGGCATTAGAAATAATCACACTCACATCCCAGGTGGCACACTTTCTTGGAGTTAAAATGAAAGTGATCTCTTATGGATGTTCGCCACTATAAAGAAGGGTTGCTGGCCGGGCGCGGTGGCTCACGCCTGTAATCCCAGCACTTTGGGAGGCTGAGGCAGGCGGATCACGAGATCAGGAGATCGAGACCATCCTGGCTAACATGGTGAAACCGCGTCTCTACTAAAAATACAAAAAATTAGCCGGGCGTGGTGGCAGGCGCCTGTAGTCCCAGCTACTCGGGAGGCTGAGGCAGGAGAATGGCGTAAACCCGGGAGGCGGAGCTTGCAGTGAGCCGAGATCGCGTCACTGCACTCCAGCCTGGGTGACAGAGCAAGACTCCATCTCAAAAAAAAAGAAAAAAAAAAAAGAAGGGTTGCCATTTCGTTTTGGGGTTCTTGTTTCAGTAGACTATAAGGGGTCATTCAGTTAGGTTAGGCTTTTCTCTCTGTGAACAAAGTTTGCTTCCTTTGCTTTCCTTGGTCATTTTTCTCCTAGAAAGAGCTCTTATCTGTTTTCTTTTAAGGAGTCTTTCATGACACCATCTCCTTGGCATTTCCTCTGAGTTGGCGGTCCTGAATTTCCCAGCCATGAGGAAGGGTTTGTTTGTGAAGGGGAGCTGTAACATCAGTGAAATGAGCTTTTTCTTTCCCTTTTCTTTTCCCTTTGCCATTTCCCTTTCCCTTTCCCTCTCCCCTCCCCTCCCCTCTCCTCCCCTCTCCCCTCCCCTCCCCATTCCCCTCCCCTCCCCATTCCACTCCCCTCCCCTCTCCCCTCCCCATTCCCCTCCTCTCTCCCCTCCCCATTCACCTCCCCATTCCCCTTCCCTCCCTTCCCCATTCCCCTTCCCTCCCCTCCCCATTCCCCTCCCATCCCCCCTCCCCTCCCCCTCCCCATTCCCCTCCCCCTCCCCTCCCCATTCCTCTCCCCTCCCCTTTACCATCCCCTTCCCCCCTCCCCCTTTTCTCTCCCCCACCTCCCCTTCCCCCATCCTCTCCCCCTCCCTTCTCCCTTCCCTTCCCTCCCCTTCCCATCCCCCTTCCCTTCCCTTTTCCCTTTCCATCCGTCTCCTCTGTCTTGACAGGGTCTCACTTTGTCAGCCAGGCTGGAGTGCAATGGCACAGTCTCACCTCACTGCAGCTTGTGACTCCTGGGCCCAAGTGATTCTCCTACCTCGGCCTCCTGAGTTGCTGGGAATACAGGTGCACGCCACCACACCTGGCTAATTTTTTGTATTTTTTTGTAGAGATGGGGTTTCACTATGTTGGCCAGGCTGGTCCTGAACTCCTGACCTCAGGTGATTTTCTGGCCTTGGCCTCCCAAAGTGTTGGGATCACAGGCATGAGCCACTGTGTCAGCCAGCTTTTTCTTTTTCTTTTTTTTTAGATTTAGACAATATTTTAAGTTTCCAAAATATTTTTATAGGCCGGGTGTGGGGGCTCACCCCTGTAATCCCAGCACTTTAGGAGGCCAAGGCAGGAGGATCACGAGGTCAAGAGATTGAGACCGTCTTGGCCAACATGGTAAAACCCTGTCTCTACTAAAAATACAAAAATTAGCCAGATGTGGTGGTGTGAGCCTGTAGTCCCAGCTACTTGGGAGGCTGAGGCAGGAGAATTGCTTGAACCTGGGAGGCAGAGGTTGTAGTGAGCTGAGATTGTGCCACTGCACTCCAGCCTGGCAACACAGCAAGACTCCATCTCAAAAAAAAAAAACAAAATATATATATATATATATATGTATATATGTGTGTGTGTGTGTGTGTGTGTGTGTGTATATGTATTTATATTCTCACACTATTTTGGTTCTTAAAGTGGCTCCCATACACATTGAGACTTTTGTATTTGAAGTAGATAAGATGTTCTTCTATTTAAAAAATAAAGTTTGGAGAGGCAGAGGTAAAATACTCTCTGTTAGAATAATATAAGAAAATTGTTGGCCCGGCGCAGTGGCTCACGCCTGTAATCCCACCACTTTGGGAGGCCGAGGTGGGCGGATCACCTGAGGTTGGGAGTTGGCGACCAGGCTGACCAACATGGAGAAGCCCCATCTCTACTAAAAATACTAAATTAGCTGGGCGTGGTGGCGCATGCCTGTAATCCCAGCTACTGGGGAGGCTGAGGCAGCAGAATCGCTTGAATCTGGGAGGCGGAGGTTGCCGTGAACTGAGATCGCGCCATTGCACTCCAGTGTGGGCAACAAGAGCAAAACTCTGTCTCAAAAAAAATTGTTTAAAGTGGAATGTTTAACATGTTGGCAATTTAGATAAAAAAGACTAGATTGAATCCAAAGAACCAACTTAAAAAAATGTGGAATTATACTTCTTCCTAGAACAGAATGTCAAGGCTATAATAATCGCAGTTTTAAAGTGAAACATTTGTGTTTTGTGAAGTTGCTATAGAAGTTAAAGATACTATCATTGTAATGTGATTTTCTTTTCTTTTGGTTTTGGTATAAATGAAGTATTTCATATTTAAAATTATGTAAATTAAAGTTTTGAGGTTTGCTGTTATTAGATGTATTTTTTCTTAAAAAAATTTTTTTTTATGATAGTGTAGATTGTTTAGCTAATGTTGCTTGATCTTTTCCAGTGAATTGTGTGAGGTTTTGCTTGGGCCCAGTCATCTAGCATACATCAGTTTGGTGTGTTTTGTGTGTCTGGCATCACACTAGGTCCTGGGGATATATAGAGAGGAGAGTCCTTGCCTTCAGGATTCTCTCACTTTACAGGCAGGTAATTCAGTTATGGGGAGTATGGGAGCATTCTTTTTTTTTTTTTTTTTCTTTTGAGACGAAGTCTCTCTCACTCTTGTTGCCGGGCTGGAGTGCAATGGCATGATCTCGGATCACTGCAACTTCCGCCTCCCAGGTTCAAGCAATTCTGTCTTAGCCTCCTGAGTAGCTGGGATTACAGGTGCACGCCACCACACCTGGCTAATTTTTTGTATTTTTAATAGAGACAGGGTTTCACCATGTTGGCCAGGCTGGTCTCGAACTCCTGACTGCAAGTGATCCACCTGCCTCGGTCTCCCAAAGTGTTGGGATTACAGGCATCAGCCACCACACCCCGCTGAGTATGGGAGCATTTTAATCCCTATCCTGCCCCATCTGCCACCCTCACCGAGCTACATTCAGCGCTGGTGCTGAGTCAGGGCAGACATAATTGGAGAACAGTGGGTTAGGCTGTGTGATTGTGTAGACCTGGGTGGACTGAGATAGGTCTGTAAGCTTGGGCAACTCACGTAACCCCTCTCAGTCCATTTCCCTGTCTGAAAAAATAGAACCGGGAGTCTATTCCAAGTAGGGTTGTTTTCAGGATTAGAAGGTATATGGGTGGAAAGTGAATTGACTTTTAGTTAAGCATTCAGTAGGTGGTGTTTCTGTGATCTTGGTGATGACCTCTGGCATCAGAAATTGTGTATCCCACATTTAAAGGCACCTCATTTAAAATGTCTGGAAGAAATCCTCAGTAAGAGAATATGGAGTCTGGCAAATTGCCACACCTAGGTAAGATGCTTAATCGACCCTTAATCTTCGCTGTGGTGACAAATCCATGCCTGGCATAGGTAGCCCAGTTGGTCTTGTCCCCTGCATCCTTGTCCCCCTGGGCAGTGAAGATTTTTCCTTGCAGTGACTTGAATTCCTGGGATTTGGAACACCAGAGGAGTTTTCAAAGGAGGCCATTCTGAATAGAAGCTCTGTCCGGTCCAGGCCCTCATACTCCCATTCAACCCTGAGTACAGAAGTACTTTTGATACCATCTGCTGAGTTGTCAGCTCTTGTAGAGGTAAAACGGCTAAGTGGCACAGGGGAAGATTATTAAGGGCATGGCCATCTAAATGGGAGCTCTTTAACAAAAGTCTGGCAGTAAATGGAATTTCCTCATTCTAAATTGCTGTGAAGAAACCCCCCAAGCATGTGTTGCACAAAGCTGTACTGTTGTCTCACTGGGGCTAGCAGAGGGCTGTGAAGCTCTCTCTGACTTGATAAAATCCCTCCTCCTAGGCTTTTCAGTGCTTGGCTCTCCCTGTGTGGGTGTAATTGGAACTGGGAGAGGAAAGGATTATGGAAAGCAATAGTCTGCTTTCTGCTAGTTTCCAGCAGCTGTTTTGGGCTGGTGGGGGCTGGGGTGTTATGTGTGTGGTGGTGAATTTGAGTGGCCGCCATTTGTGGAAATGTGACAACATGTCATCAACTGATAGGTAGCTAGACCTGAGGAATGTGAGGCCAGAAGATTCTAGCTGCAAAGGGCCCCAGCTCTGCAGCCCCAGATGCAGGGTCAGACCTCTGCTCTACTGCTCCTAGCCCCTGCTGTGACCTCGGGCAATGCACCTGGGTGGGGTAGGATGTGTAAGTCCACTCTGTCATTAGCACAGTCTTCCAGGAAAGAATCCTGTGAGACAGAAGAATCCGGTGAGACTGAGAGACACAAGAAGGAGAAGTTGTGTAGCACTTATACTTACCTACCACACCAGCCAGTGGATAAAGGCGCTGTTCTCAGGGTTGCTGTAGAGCTAGACAGGAGTTAGTTCATGACAGAATCACATTGCAAAGAGAAAGAAAACACAGTTAAGTTATTAATATATACCCACTTTACAAGTCGTGACCAGGTCAGATGACTTTGGATACAGTATATACATATCATTTTCTTTTGAGCTTTATCTTGATGATTGTGATTTTTCTAGGGTTTTGGTGGCCAAGTTATTGGGCTTATAAGTTTTAAATTAATTTTTTATTGATTAAAGAATTAACCAGAGTTGTTATGCAAATGTCCACAAATGTGCACAAGTCCTCCTTGCATCTTCTAGCAAAAGGAAGTGTGAGTGAAGCAACAATTTCCAGAAGGTTTTAAATATGCCAGGAGTGCTGGCACAGAAGGCCCTGGCATTCATGGACTCTAGACTTAATAGAAGCTCAGGGAGATGAACTAACTTGAAGAGTGTCTTACCACAATCTCTATGAGAAACAAAGGTGAGGAATTCATAGAATTCTGATCTGAATGTTGCTGTGAAATACAGTTATTTTGTAATTTCGGAAATGCCTTTAACTTAAAAAGCTCTCTCCAGGTGCATTTACAACATAATCTGACTTAAAAAAAAATCAGTGTTTCATCACAAGGCTGTGGCTGGAGAGGGGGCTGGAGAGGACCCTGAGAGGTCAGGGTGCATGCAGTGTGGCTGTATGATTTTGCCTGAGAAATAGGAATGTATGATGGCATTGTGTCACATTTTTTCATCTTTGTCACGTGGGGCTATAGTGACACAACTGTATTTACAGGGAAGTCTGTGGGTTTGGTGTTCCCTAAGGAGGGTTTATTTAACATACTTACAACATTGTTTACTCAGATAAGGAAACACCGAGATGCTAAAAAAATGATTGTGCATGTATGTATGTGATATGCGTAAGGGTCTAGCTTCCTTTTATAAAATATGAGTGTCAAACATATGTAGCATTGCACTGTAATGTCATACGTAAAGTTCTTTCTGAAAAATTATACCCAAATTGAACCTTGCTGTTAAATTCATAGTTCATTTTGTTAGAAAGGCCATTATACTGAGTGAAAAATGACTTGGAATTTAACCTTAGTTTTGACACTGTGTTCCTGGCTGAATCTTTGCCTTGAGCTCAAATTCCCATTGGTAAAATTAAGTTGAGAACATTCTCATTCTGCCTACCTCTTTGAGGTTGATTTATGATGATCCAGTGTGTGAATATATTAATATGTGCAAGGACATGTTTGAAAAGTATGTAATGACTTAGGAGATGGTATGCCATATGTATTGCATTTTAAACCTTTATTTTAATGATACCTAAGGAATTAGTTGTAGGGATAGTTTTGCATTGTTATTAATCATCTAATAATTGTGTCTGCTTTTAAAGCTCTTAGATTTCTGTAAAGCAGATTATACTTGAATTAATATAAGCCCTGCACCTTCTTGCCACTCATAACCTAGAGTAATATAACCAAGACCCTGACCTCTTTGATATTTTGGCTCATCTCCTTCTTTTTGTGAATATTTCCCTTTTCTCCTGCATTCTCTCTTGTTTATAAACATATCCCTTGAAATCCTAGATGCTTTTAAGTGAAATAATCTCAGATTAAAATATTTATTTCACTATTTAAGTGATGAAATTTATGAGCATTATTAGTTGGACAAACTAACATTATGTAATTCCCTTGCAATACTGTAGGTAATATACCATTATCAGATGGTCCAAAAAATGTTAATCAGAATTTAAGTAAGCAAGGTAAACTTGAGGATAAAGGAACAAATTAACAACACAAATAATGCAAGGGAATAATCAGATAATTTCAAAATGTGAGACCTTCCATAAGGCAACTGGCCAGTTTCTTTAAAAAGTCAATCCCATGGAATCAAAGGGGGATTTGAAGAAACAAGCTAAAAAAAAAAAAGTATGTAGGGAGGAAGGGGTATTGGGAATATTTGAATGTAGACTGGATATTGTGGATATTGGGTAATACAAGGATTGTTGTTTTTCTTAGCTGTGCTAATGGCATGTGATAATGGCAAGATACTCGTAACTGTTTTTAGAGATGAAGTATTTTTTGTTTGTGTGTTTGTTTTGAGCCTGGAGTGCAGGGGCGCAATCACGGCTCTCTGCAGCCACCATCTCCCGGGCTCAGGTGACCCCCTTGCCTCAGCCTCCCAAGTAGCTGGGAGGTGCGCGCCACCATGTGCAGCTAATTTTTGTATTTTTTGTAGAGATGGGGTTTCATGATGTTGCCCAGGCTGGTGTCAAACTCCTGAGCTCAAGCAGTCCACCCGTCTCAGCCTCCCAAAGTGCTGGGATTACAGGTGTAAATCACACTGCCTGTACTTAGAAATGAAGTATCTTGATCTCTGTATTTTATTTTTGAAATGATTCAATGAGGAAATCTATCTTACTAGGAGAAAGATAAATTTGTCAAAATATTAACAAGTGTTGAATCTAGGTATTAAGTAATCAGATATTCATTATATTTGGGAACATTCCTTTTACTTTTCTGTATGTTTAGAAATTTCACAATTAAAAGTAGACAAAATAGTATTTCAATTTCTGAGACAATTACTCTGTGAGGCGTATTTTAAAGTGTAGACCCGGTTGAATTTCTCTAAAGGTGTTTCTTTGCCTTAGTGAACTTTTGCCTCTTTTCAGCTTGCTTGTTTCATCTTTAAAAAAAATTAAAAAAATTAAATGGAAATTTAAAAAGGTTACATACCCTATTCGGAGACATGGGTGGATGGAAAGTGTGGACACTTTCATTGGCCCTGGCTGTCTCACAGACCCAGTTTTACCTTCACCAAAGTTAAGGGACCCTTTTTATCTTTGACTGCTTCTGAGAAAACTTTATCCCTTGCCTGATGAATTGAACTAATGTGGGTACCCACTATGTATGCACGCACATATAAGAATTTGTAGATCTTATGAATTTCTGAAATTACAGAAAAATGAACTGGTCTGATTTTTCCTCTTCTTTATGAGTGCTGGGGGCTGGACAGGAGGTAAGCTGGTGGTGGTCACCTGGGCTTAGTGGGAAGGATGTCACTGCTTTAGAAGTTATGTCAATCAAATAAGTTGATTGGATTTCTGCTTTATGATAAGCGTTATCATAAATGTCTTATAGGTGGTCTGTGGGAGGACTCTGGAGACCTGGAGCAGTCCCTGGCTCCCAGTCTTTGGGGGTGTGTCTTGGATCTTTTAAAAGTGACTTCATGCAATATAAATACAGTTCATGTGATTTGTATTGGTTGGGTAATTTTGGAGGAAGTAAACCCTAAGCCACCAATTTCCAGCTTTATTCAGATTTAGAGCCTTTTGTCTTGATTTTTTTTTTTTTCATTTCAAAGTTTTCTTTAACAAAAGTTAAACACTGGATGTTTTTTCCTAACTTGTTTCCGGCTTTGGCATCTCTAAGCTCATTTCCCTTTATGTTTCCTGTTCTAGGAAATAATTATTTCAAACTTTGTCTTTTGCATAGGTTGAGGTACCTTCTTTATGTTACTGGTGGACGGTGTCCAGGTTCTTGGCACTTTGAACAAAGATTTGGACAAAATGCACAAACAAAGCAAGGAAAGAATGAAACAACAAAAGCAGAGACTTACTGAAAATGAAAGCACACTCCACAGGGTGGGAGCGGGCTCTAGCAAGCAGCTCAAAGGCCTGGTTACAGAATTTTCTGGGGTTTAAATACCCTCTAGAGGTTTTCCATTGGCTACTTGGTGTACACCCTATGTAAATGAAGTAGTGGCCTGCAGTCAGTCTTATTGGTCCCTTTCCGTAACTAATCAGAGTTTGAAGTGAAGTTACAAAGTTATACCCTATGCAGACATCTAATTGGTTGTGGAAGGCAACCAATTCTCCTGCCTCACTTCCCACTGGAGGGATTTGTTGACTATGAAAAGGGGATAGCTAAGTGAAACAATGGGCAAGTGACTCAATCTGGTGAGAAAAAGCCACAGTGGCATGTTTGGTATCCTCCTTTAGGAAGAGCAAACCGAGAGCCACACATACTTGCAAATATGTTATCTCACTGGGAGTTGGGTGGAGAGGCCCTATGATTTAACCTGGCTTTTATTAGAATTTTTTTTTATTAGCTCACAATTGTGAAGAGTTTGTCTCTTCTCCCCTAAATGTGTGGTCTTTTGAAAGCTCTTCAGTTAGGAATTTCAGAGGGAGCTTTTGAACACAAAGACTCTTCCTTCTGTATGACAGCTTGCTTTGGCGTGTCTTTGGCTTTTGTTTGCACTGTGATCTATTTATCTCCAGAGTGGCCTTGCCTTTTAACTCTGAGACCTCAGAAAGTACACCAGTGCTAATCATTTGGTGTGAACCAATGTCTCACCTTTAGAGATGGGTCTGCCTCTGTTTTTATCTAGCTCAGGGTCCTCAGCAGGCAGAGTTCATGCACTGCTGGCTCCAGACTGATCTCCTCGCAGAGAGAGATGCTCCTTCTAACTGACACCCAAGTGGAGTATATGACAGGTTGTCATAGCCTTTAATTAGGCAGAAAATTCACTTTAATAATTGCTATGACAGCTGGGCCTGCTAATAACTGGGCTAGAATGAGCTGTAATATTCTATTGCTTGTGTTCAGATCTGTTTCTCCCCTCACCCCCCCTTACTTTTCCACAAATGAAATGGCCTTTTGGATTTGGTGGACTTACTATAAATCAAAACTTGTTGTTGTTCCAATAAAAGATTGGTATTCAGGAGTGTTTTGGAGTAGGTAATTGAAACACAGATTTTCTTTATTTTTTCTTCATTGTACTTATTTGTATACTTCCTTTTTACACATGGCTTATTAGCTGCAGTTACTTAAGCTGCCTCTCTAAGAATATGATTATCTTGTATCATAACGTTAGTAATATTTTAATATATAATGAATTGGGGGCACTAAAGTGACTTAAAAATTTGCATTTCTGCATCCAATTAAGGGGTATACCATGCCCCTTTCGGTAAAATTTTGATCTGTTTCCTCTTTAATTAACCCCAGTGGGCTTGGGAAGTAACTGAGCATCGTGATATTTAATATATATTGCTTTTCTTTTGATACTATTAACTGCTTTTAACAAAGAATACATTGTTGGATTAGAGAAGACAAAGCTCTCAAGGAGCAAATGAGTCCTGCATGCTGTTCTAAAACACCACATTGCTGTCGTCAGCGTTGATTAAGGTTTTGCTTAGGTATTGTATGCTTTTGATTATAGTCCTGACATTTTAGTTTTGTATGCTTTTTCTTAATATTAACCCCACAGTCTACTTTTTTTTCTGTTGCAGACCTTAAGACAATGTAGTAATACGTCTTTTACCCATCCCCCAAATAACAGTGTACACAGTGTGTTTTTTCCCCTTAGTGGAGTGAGCAGTATGTTAGTGAGGTTAGGTGAGCATCTAGATTTGTTCCACAGAAAAGGGTGTTTCCAGCCAGTATCAGTGATGTTGGTACTTCTCCAACAGTCTAAATCTAAGGGTTTTAGGAGCCTGTTTGATTAAGTGATAAGAAGATACCCTCGTCTGGTGTTTCTTTCAGTGCTGCCTCTTCATCTTTTAGCAGAAGGCACAAATGCCTTTTATTTGCTCCGTGGTGAAAAGCTTCCAGTTCTCAATAGGCACAGGATGTCAGTGGCCACAGTTGGTGTAAGCCTGTTCAGAGTCTTCTAATTTGAAACTGTAGTGGTGTTTAGTTTATAAAGCTAAAAGAAGAATCTGTGAGGGTCTGGAATTGTATTTGTGTGTGAATTTTGTGACTTTTAGATGAGAAAGAAAACCTTTGCTTTTGCCAAAATCTTGTGCAAGATGTTTGTTATATGTTTGTTTGTTTGTTATATCACTTCCTGGAAATAACTGCAGTTCACTATTAAAGTTTCGTTAAGTGACTTGGCTTTTTTAAAATGTGAAAATTAACTGATTCATTATTGTGGTCTCATTTGTTCTTGTGTCATTATTATTTAAATAAAAAGGTAGAATGAGTTTCAGCTCGTTTTCATGAATATTTACCATTAGCCGGTTCTAGATCTGTAATAGTGAATATTCAGCAAGGTAAGGTCCCTGGCCTCCTGGTGCTTACAGACATGAAAGTTTGTTCTTAAGTGGAGGGATGGAAGTGGTCATAACAGATAGAATTTTGAGAAGAAATAAGGTAAGGATAAGTTAACGGGAGTGGGGGAGAATGGGAAAATTACTCAAGATTTTTGCAGTATGTACCTCTACAGTTTATTTGAAGTGAATTCAATTCTCATGTTTGGATGCTAAGCCATAATGAGATTGTGTTCTTATGATGCTCATCCAGAAATGTCTTTTTCTTTTTTTTTTTTGAGGTGGAGTCTTGCTCTGTTGCCCAGGCTGGAGTGCAGTGGTGCGATCTTGGCTCACTGCAACCTCTGCCTCCTGGGTTCAAGTAATTCTCCTGCCTCAGCCTCCTGAGTAGCTGGGATTACAGGTGCCCACCACCACACCCAGCTAATTTTTGTTTTTAGTAGAGACGAGGTTTCACCATGTTGGCCAGGCTGGTCTCAAACTCCTGACCTCAGGTGATCCACCCACCTTGGCCTCCTAGAGTGCTGGGATTACAGGCATGAGCCACTGTGCCCGGCCCAGAAATGTCTTGAGTCATGGTTTTGAGCCATTTGTTGGGGATTATGTATTTAAAGGAAAGTCTGGAGGGAAATCGGAGACAACCACCAACCCTAACAGCTGAGATATATCAGTGAGGTAAAACATTCTGGCTTTTACTAATTAATCAGCAAAATTATATTTCATAAACATTTACTAGGAGGATGAGCTCACTTCATTCATATCTCTTCAGTTACTCTGAGTTTATCATATCCCTTGTTCTTTTTCAACAAATAAGTTTTGTAGATATCATTAACATGTAGTTTTCACCTTCAAAGATGAACATTTAAAAACAGTCTTAGGTCTGAATTTCAAAAAAGTTACACTTTTGTTCATTCTGATTTTTTTTTTTTTTTTTTTTTTTTTGAGACGGAGTTTCGCTCTTGTCGCCCGGGCTGGAGTGCAGGGGCACGATCTTGGCTCACTGCAGTCTCTGCCTCCCGAGTTCAAGTGATTCTCCTGCCTCAGCCTCCCGAGTAGGTGGGATTACAGGTGCCTGCCACCACACCCGGCTAATTTTTTGTATGTTAGTAGACCCAGCTAATTTTTTGTATGTTAGTAGAGACGGCATTTTGCCATGTTGGGCAGGCTGGTCTTGAACTCCTGACCTCAGGTGATCCACCCACATCGGCCTCCCAAAGTGTTGGGATTACAGGTGTGAACCACTGCGCCCCCTGGCCTGTTCATTCTAATTTTTATAGAATAAAAATATTACAGTATGAAGCTCAGTAATGCAAATAATATGACTGGCAATGGCTTGTCTTCCACATAGCCTCATTTCTTAAATAGAGAGTAGGTCTTCATGTCCCCAGTATTCTTGCCTACTGCCCATGGATTGAACTGAGAAGCCTTACCTGGGATTCTTGGAATTGCTGTTGGCTGTCTTGTGTGGCAGCCAGCCACAAGACCCATAATTGTCCCAGTGGACATTTAAACTGGAGTAGACAACTGTCACCAGATGGCGCTAAATTGTGACCAGAATCTAGATGAATGTGGTTCACACAAATAGCCCCACAGTTACATGCTTCTCGAGTGTCCTGTCTACCAGCTGTGTAGGCTCTACCTGATTGATTCATTCAGTAACCATCCAAGTTGAATATTTTGGATCCCACTTAACAGCCTCATGGCAGGAATTTACACAACTAAAACAGTATCTGCTTTTAAAAAGTAATAAAATAGTTGGATATATCACCATGTTCACATAAATAGCACACCTTGATTTTATCATACTGAGCTCTCCATGTTGTTTTCCTGCTCTCAGCCTGTCCTAAGGTTGGGGGATGGTGGAGGGGAGCTATTTATAAAACCCAGAAAGCCTGGATCTTTGGTAGGGAGGAAATGCTGATGCTGAATTGGGTGAGCATAATGGGAAAAGGAAGGAACAAGAGCAAACCTTCTTGTACCTTTTGGTGTCCTGATTAACATTCCAGGGAGAAATTTGCTTAGACCGCCAGGATCTAAAGTGAGATGAGAAGATGGCAGTGGAACGGTGCCATTTTAGTTAGTTGCATTCCCCTTTTCTGTGCTTATGCTTTTGTCTTTAAGCATACCAGCACCTCCCCTTTTGTTCCACCCAGTTATGTAAGCATATTCTTCTTTCATGTGTTTTCCTCTGAACCAGCTGCTCAGTCTTCACTGAGATTTTTCAGGTTCCTTTTGGAGAGAAGGGGGAGGATTTTTTCACTTAACATCTTCCTAACCCTCAACTTCCCTAGTTGAATTTTGTTAAATCCACTCTATTCTTAAGTGCACGGAGGCCGCGCAATGTGCAGACATGCAGTTTAGTTGTACAATGACTCCAGCAATTAATGAGGCCAGATTGATCTTTGCTGTTCCCTCATTTACATGAGGAGTTGAGCTGCCTAGTGCTCCAGGATGGACACATCATTTGAAGAATTGAAAACTATAATGAGAAGACTCCCAATTGACCCTACTCCCTGTCCTTCTTTAAATGGAAGCAAAATCCCTACATAATTTGCTAGAGTACCAAGAGTGAAACACAATAGCTTGATGACTGGTGATTGATGATTTGGAAATCTGATTGCTGGCGGTCCTGTGCTGTGGTCTATGGTGGGTCAGCAGGGTTTCTCTGTGGGCCTCTGAAGTCTCCCTCAGCCTGGCAAGGCCAGGCCTCTAGTAAGCCCTATTGTCCCTGTGCTGTGTGATTGTTCTGCCAGGGTTCAAAAGTCTGTTGGCTCAGTGTGTGTTGAAAGGACATTGCCCAAATAAACATTTTTGTCCTTGGACTCAACTTGGGCATGGCCCCTGATGGAGAATACTGGAGGCCCAGATTTGTACTCAACGTCTCAGCCACCTGAAAATCATTCAGAAATAAATTCCTTGGTTCTTATTTCCTGGAAGGGCCAATTGTCTCCCCAGGTGTCCCCCATTTTAAACCCTACCTATGTCTGAAGTTGCAGTTGACACAGCTGAAAAAGGATATCCAACAAAATTTCTTTAAACTTGGTTAACTTTAGTGAATGTTGCAAACAATTCTTTGATCTAAGTAACAGCTTAGGCACACACCTGCTGATTGAAAAGAGGCATATCTATAGAAATATTTGTTTCCATGTGAATTTTGTTCTTTTTAAATTGTGGACTATTATGACTCCCTTTCCAAAGACCTAAATGAAATTATTTTATGTATCTTCACCCAAGAAAGGATGAGAAAGAAAAGTTATCGCTGATTTTCTGTTATCCACTTAGTTTTGAATAGTAGTGTGCTTCACTTTCTGTGCCAGACTGGAAAAGTGTGCATAACACAAAACTAAATGAAGTCTTTTTTGGCATTCACATTGCAAAGTGTTTCATCAGTTTCATGTAATATAAAGAATTGCTTAGGTGTTATGGTAATTAACATTTCTTTATCTTGCCCCGCGCCTGGGCACTGTGCTAAACCTCACACACATGAGGATGTCAGTCTTCATCTTCACTCCTTGATATGGGTACAGATGAGGGGACTGGGCTCTGGAAGTTGGTAATGTTATTCACTGCCTCCCTGTCTGAACCCATGCTGCTCACTTGCTTTTAGGTGTAACCCTTCCTTGATTTATCTGGGTTGACAAAGTCGGTTTCTTTGCATTGGGTTTTCAGAAAGTGGAGTACACCATCTTCACATTGGTGTAGGGTAGTGCCTTGTAAATGCTGCTGACTGCAAGACCCCCTTCCTTGGGCTTCTCTGTGCCCTAGTTGACCCTCGGCACTTCTCCTTGGACCTAATGGACCCCAGCACTTCTTCCTTGATTGTAGCACTAGAGGCAGGAATTATACCTGTTCTGGTTTTGATGTTTTCCCAACTCAAGACCCTAAATCAGTAGAGACTCTGAATCAACCTTTTTGCTTGACAATGTGGTAAGAATAGGAAAAGGGAGGGCAGCAAGGGGGAGGGAACAAAGACAATGCCAACAAAGCAAAATCCCTAAGCGGATGTGTCTGTCTGTTGAGGGGCCTCTCACTGAGCAGACAGGAAAATAGGCCGAAGGCCCAGAGGCGACCTGGGTTCCCCACCCCGCAATTGCCTTCAATTTTTTTCTTGTGAGTACACAGTAGAAAAGATTTTATGGATACATAGTAGGTGTATATATTTATGTGTTACATGAGATGATGTTCTGATACAGGCATGCAATGCGTAATAGTCACATCATGGAAAATAGGGTATCCATCCCCTCATGCATTTATCCTTTGTGTTAGAAACAATCCAGTTATACTGTTTTAGTTATTTAAAATGTACAATTAAATTATTATTGACTATAGGCACCCTGTTGTGCTGTTAAATACTAGGTCTTATTTATTCTTTCTAACTATCTTTTTTGTACCCACTAACCCCCCTCCCCAACCACACTTACCTTCCCAGCCTCTGGTAACCATCCTTCTACTATATCTCCATGAGTTCAATTGGTTTGATTTTTAGCTCCTAGAAGTAAATGAACGTGCAATGTCTGTCTTTCCGTGCTTGGCTTCTTTCGCTTAACATAGTGATCTCCAGTTCCATCCGTATTGTTGCAAATGACAGGATCTTATACTCCATTGTGTATAAGTACATTTTCTTTATCCATTCGTCTATTAATGGACACTTAGGTTGCTTCCAAATCTTAGCTATTGTGAACAGTGCAGCAACAAACGTGGGAGTGCAGATATCTCTTTGATATACTGATTTCCTTTCTTGTGTGTATATACCTAGCAGTGGGATTACTGGATCATATGGTAGCTCTATTTATAGATTTTTAAGGAACCTCCAAATGGTTCTCCATAGTAGTTGTACTAGTTTACGTTACCACCAACAGTGTATGGTTCCCTTTTCTCCTCATCCTCGCCAGCATTTTTGATTGCCTGTCTTTTGGATATGAGCCATTTTAACTGGGGTGAGATGATATCTCATTGTAGTTTTGATTTGCATTTCTCTGATGATCAGTGATGTTGAGCACCTTTTCATATACTTGTGTGCCATTTGTATGTCTTCTTTTGAGAAACGTCTGTTGAAGTCTTTTGCCCATTTTAAAATCAGATTATTAGATTTTTTTCCTATAGCGTTGTTTGAGCTCTGTACATATTTTGGTTATCAATCCCTTGTCAGATGGTTAGTTTGCAAATATTGTCTCTCATTCTGTGGGTTGTCTCTTCACTTTGTTGATTGTTACATTAGCAGTGCAAGAAGCTTATTAACTTTATGTTATCCTGTTTTGTCCATTTTTCCTTTGGGTGCCTGTGCTTGTGAGGTAACCTGAATTTTGAATCACTGCTGCCTCTCTTCAGTTTTTTATTTGATTAAAAACTATCATAAAGTTAAATTGACTTAGTTTTCTTTTGATATACAAGTCTGTATAGTTTTAACATGTATAGATTTATGTAACCACAATCAGAATGCAGAACAGTCTCATCACCCCAAAAGCCCCTCTCATGCAGTTCCTTTTGGTTCTGATTTTAAAGGCATGTCTTAGTGCTGAAGAGACTTGCGCTCCTAGGTAGGCTCTTGGGTGTGGTGGAATTTGGGCAGCCCCCGAAGGACTTCTCCAGAGGCCTGGAGTTCACTCTCAGGTAGGGTGGAGGCCTCTCCACCTAGGTCGTCTTGCTTATTTTATCACTTCCCCCCATTTTGTTTATCAATCTCACAAAAACCTAGGGTTTCCTATCCCCTCTTTTTTTTTTTTTTTTTTTTAAAGGGGCTGAGTGATGGTTGTAGGCATTCGTGGATTTTGTAGCAGTATTTCAGGACAACCCCGGATCAATCTTAACCTTCACGCTTCCTGCATGTTGTTGCTGAGTGGCTTTGTGGGGCCATTATTGGTACAGTTTAGGAGGATGAGTTTCTGGGGACAGCTGGCCTATATCCACAAAGAACAACATGGGGTGTTTGGCCCTAGAGAGAGAAGCCTTATCCATCACAGAGGCTGTTGAGTCAGCTCTTAGGTCATATTTAGCCTCCTCTGCTTGTATTTCCTGTGAAAAATTTGTATCTTACCAAGTTTATTTCTGAATGGCCTATTCAAGTGGGGTAACTGCTGTGGTGGACTTGCCAGGAACCCTTCTTAAAGGAGAGATCATCTGAGAGGTTTGAAGGTTGTACCTCCTATTTGAGATTGTTTGTAAAGGTCTGTGTTTACAAATTACTGAATATGTTTGTCATATAACACCTGTTAGCCTCTTGATTATTCTTTGAAAAACCATTTACTGAGGGCCTGCTGTGTGCAGGCCCTGGGCTAGTGCTGGGGGTGAGAACTTAGAATCCAGTAATTAGTGATTTGCCATCTGTTTTATTTTTCCTCGGAAAAAAATTCTTCAAATTCTCGAAGCCCAGGAAAAGGTGGGTGACCATAACCTTCTGTGTGCCCCGAGGCAGCCCTGGTTCACACCTGGTTTCCTGGAGTACTTACTCTCAGTGCCCCGTTCACGCTCACGTGCCCTGTTGGGATGATAGCTTAATGTGGTCAGGCCAGTGAAGGGGGAACAGAGTCAGGGTGCTTGTGTGGTCACTCACTGTGGGTCAGTGTTTTTGTTGGAGTGTTATGTGGTGTCTGCTACTTGGGCTTCTCCCATGCTGTCAGGGCCAAACCTGTTTGTTTTCACATGTCGGGGAGATAGACATGCAATTAATGAGCTGCCTTATGCTTAACGTGGTGGTGTTTTGGAGGGCTTTCAATTTCTTATTGGGAATGTGAGTTTTGGTGGTCCATATAGACTGGAGCCTTTCTGACATTATTCCCCATCAAGCCGTAGTGGCAGTTACTCTGAATTATTTAGAAGTTGATTACAGATTCTCAGGCCCCTCACCTAGGGATTTTGATCCAGTAGATCTGGGTGAGGCCCAGGCATATTTAATTAAAAGTAAAACAAAAAACTCCCAGCAACAACAACAAAAAGCCCTCCCAGGGACTGATGGTCAGCTAAGGTGGAAGAGCCATTGCTGTTCTGCACTCAAGAATATCGGGCCCGGGCTTTTCAGGTTCACGTGTGAGCATTCTGAGCGATAAGGCCTGTAGGGACGCTGGAGAGCTCCTGCTGGTCTAACGGGGCAGTTCCCACTGGACTCCAGACATTGTTTTCTTGGGCCTAGTCTAGAGGCTCAGCTTTAACAAATCTGTTTTTCAAGAGAAGCTAGAAATCTGGGTTTAAAAAAAAATATACAGCTTTCTAATTTTTGGAATGTTCAATTAAAAAGACAAAAAATGCACCCCCACCCCCCCACCCCCCCAAAAAAAAACACTATGGAAAATGTTAGGTACAATTTAGTCAATGAATTACTAGGGAGGATTTATTGCCAGGGAGAAGAACCCTGCTATTAGCACCTAGAGAGTAGTTTCTGGCTGTAAACTCAGAGCCAATTGCCTTAATCAGATGCCAGGGTAATTTGAAGTGGAAGAAGTGCAACCGTAAGAGGACACACAGAGGCTATTTTTAATATGGCTATGTTAATTGGCTTTTGTTAATTTATTCCACAATTGAATTTCGCAATCTCATAACCCAAATAACCACATACCAAATAATAATAAGCAATGTTACGGACCTAAATTTAGGATTTTGTTTTTAAATTAAAAATATATATTTTTCTTTTTCTGACTATTGTCCTTATAGAAAGGCGGGAGACTTTGCTTTCAGTGCTTAATTAGAAAGTCATAGCCAGGCTTTGCCAATATAGGCCTTAGACTTTAACAATGAGTAGAAAGTCATAGCCAGGCTCTGCCAATATAGGCCTCAGACCTTAACCCTGAGTGTGAGTTCCGCTTGAAAAGTGACTGAAGAAGGTGTGTGGTCAGGTGGTGAATGGAGAAATCTTGTAGCATTTTTAAGCGAAAGCCTCTCATGGCCCTTTCTCTATAATCCAAGCATGAGCTTTGTGTGAGGAAGTAGCTGGCTATTGGGAATGGCTGGACATGCCCACAGAGAGTCCTGCTCTGTGCAGTGCCTGTTTTCATAGCGGCACACAGCAGTGGGTGTGCTTTGGGCACTGTGTCTGCTATTGACAAGAAGGAGTGGAGAACCTGAAGCTTGAGCAGAGCCACCACATTACCTTCAAACAGTATGGGTAGTGGAGCTAGCGTATCCCACCTTCGGTGCCGGCTCATGGTTTTCTGTGTAGATTAATTCCGGCTCACAAGGTCCCGCAGGGCGAGTGGCAAGACAAAGTCATTCATCGCCTCCATCTGCTCTCTACCCAAATGACAAGGTATCAGAGAAACCTCCCTGACCACGCAGTGTAAATGCAACCTCCCCATCTCTCGCATTCCGTTTCCTCAGTGCTCTGCCAGGGTTTTCCCTGTAGCTTATTTCCATCCTTTTTCTTTTAACTATGAGAACGTATTCAGAAGAGCAGAAGGTGTATTGCTTGATTTTGCTTATATACCCCTTCAAGAACTAGAGCACAGATTTTGCACACTTTTGTTCACTGTTGTATCCCTAGCATCTAGACCAGTGTCTTGTATATCAGAATGTTGGCCTCAGAATCATGACCGTTTTATAGTAAGATGGCCACACTTGCAAGAAGTGAAGAGACTTGTTCAGGTTCTTCAGTTTAGTGGCAGAGCAGTTGACTCAGATGATCAGAATTTCTTTTTACTTTTAATATTACGGATTTATCTTAGGAAGACAGATTTTGGTGTACTTGTTGCTGGAAGAGTTTCAATTCAGTGTTCTATTTCTACCAGTAATTCCGTAGGGGTAATTTTGGATGCTTGTGGGCTGTAGGTTCAGTGGAATGACTTCCCTGGAGCAGCAAGTCAGACAGATGTCCTCTCATCAAAGGTTGATGAAGGGGACCTGTGGGTCTGGGGGGACCCACAAGGCAGAGCTCTGAATCCCGGGGAAGAAGCTGTACTGGCATTTCTCCCTCCATTGCAAGTTAAATATGCTGAAACCACCTTAGGCAGTTCCGTAGGGCTGTGAGTGCTGGGCTGTGAGTGCTCACCTCTGCGTGTCTCTGATTCGTGTGTCCAGCACAGTGTGCGGGGTCCCCACCTAATCTCCAGGCAGTTGTGAAATCGCTTTTGTATCTTTTTTGTAGTCATTTCCTTTACACTGATAGCCCAGGCTTTACATTGATAGCCCAGGCTTTGCCCACACCACACACAGGGTGGACAGCATGCAGAAGGTATCTTGTGGGGGAGGGGGTGGCGCTTTGGGGGGATACCTTGGCAGCTGGCAGGCTTCTCAAGGTGCCTTGATTGGTCGAGGCTGTGGACCAAGTCAGGGGTTGAGTGAAAAGCAGGGGCAGGGTTAAGAGGAGTCGGAGAGGATCTTCAGAAAACAGCCACCGAAGATTCTGGCTGCCTGAAGGGCACCCAGGGAAGGGCAGGGAGTCGTATGAAGGGACATACCAATCCCTGACTGCCCGGGTGCTTTTTACTCCTCAGGGTTTACATCCTGACCTTCACCTACAGGCTGCTGTTGGTGCCTTAGTGGGGTGGAAGCAGGTTCTGGAACACAGACCTTTGATTTTAAATCTCTGTGGCCGGTAAGGAAAAGTGCTGATCCAAATCAGTGATCTGGTACCTGGAGCTTTGAAGCCAGACACACCTGAGTCGGAATTCCACCTCACCCCTCTTTCTAGCTGTGTGACCTTCGGCTCGTTTTTCTAATTTCATGGAGCCTCTACTTTCTTTCTGTAAAATAGGGATGTTTTTCTTCATTGTAACTTGGTTGCAATGACTTGCTGTATTATGTATTAAAGTATTTGTACACTTCTGTGTGCCAGGCACAATAAATAAATGGATATTTATTAAATATATTTGTTGAGAGAATGAACACACAGTGAGTGCTTCTTTATCGGCCCTTCCTTTGTGGAGTGAGAGAGGAGGTTTGTTTATTGATAGGGAGGAGGAGGAGGAGAGGAGGATGCTGAAAAATAGAGGGAAGCATAAAGCTCATCAAAATTTTCCCTTTGCCTGTTCTTTTAGTTATGTAATGTGATTATTGCATGGCCTCATTATGCAGAGTAGTCAGGGAAGGTGGTTAGAGCACTGACTTTATCAACTCCACTAGATCTATTTAAGCCTTAGTAAAGCTATAAAACTGCCCTTTTGTTTACTTATTCATGGTCTTTCATTGTGAATCTTATACTGAGAAAGCGATGATGGGTTGAGTGTACAACTCAAAAAGAAATGGTTATATAACACTGAGGAAAACTCATCTGTTTTAATAATATGGTTACTTGTAACTGATGATTTTTAACAAAAGATGATGCTTTGAGGAGAGAATTTTCTGTTTCACATGCCGAGACAAGAGCTCTTTCTATCTCCATTTTTTTTTCTTTTAATTTTGTCAAGATAAATTTTAGATGGACATGGTATGAGTTTGCATGAGAGTGCTCTGGCTTTGGAAACCTGAGTTGATGGCATGGGTGCATTATTTCTGGTAAGGGATACTATCACATGTAACCTCAAAAGAAAACTTGAAAGGTGGGGTTTCTCTTTCACCTCTCTTTTTTTTTTTTTTAAAGGAGGGACAATACAGTTATGCGTAGTGAGTAAAATATGAATATACAGCATAGGCAAATTAAGAGCTGTGTACAGACTTTGAATACCAGAAGGAAAACAAATGCTGTTGTCAGAGACCACGTGCAGGAAAGGAATATGTCTTCTAAACCGTGCTACTGGCTGCAACACAACAACAGAAGTAGTTTAGGTTCACAAACCAGATTATACTTGTTTTTACAATAGTTCAGGGACACACAAAGCTGCTTACAGTTGACTTTATATGAATAGTGTACATATACGTAGGTTCACGGGCAGTGTATTTTAGAGTTAGCTTCTTGAAGTGCTGAGAAAGAAGTTAAGAATCAGTTTGAAACCTTAATTGAAGGTTGAGTTGGTAGTGAGTGGAAGGGACCATGGGTGGATGAGGAGCCCAGAATGGAATCTGAATCCCTTTCATCCCTTAATCTCTTGCCTTTTGATTTGTGTATGAAACTTTCAATTTTTTTCTCTAAGCCAATGAGAAGAGTTCAGTTTGAGTGCTTTAGTGATGCTTGAAGTGATATTTCAATATTGAAGTTATACTGTGGATATAATTATGAGGAATCAAGTGTACTGTGAAGTCACATGGGAGAAATGTGGAGAAACTTATTGGGATTGAGGAAGGGGACCCCACATAATTCTGTGTTTTGTCTTTTGTTCTGGATAAATGCTTAGCCATTATAATAAACAAGCTTTTTATTAAAATCCACTCAGTTATTTTGTGTATGATGTCTTCTGATGTCGTATGAAATCATAGACTCTTGGGTTCCAGTGCTACATCTGCCCTAGCTTTACAAGGTGTGTTTTTCTTGTGTAACCTGGGTTCCCCACTTGGTCACTAAGAGGCACAGTCCATTGGATTGCCACCTGGGAGGAGCTCCCTTTCTCATTGGTCAGTTAGTAATCTTTTATTTAGTGCTGAATTAAATTATCTTCAACAGTAGAGTATTTTTAACGTATCTTGACAGAGTCATATGATTGAATTTCGTGGTTTGTATTACCATATTGACTAATTACTTGGCTGTTGAATACTGTATTTTTTTAGTGGCTAAAATAAATGAATAACTTTATATGTAAGTTTGCCTATAGTAAAAAATGGGAAATTTTTCTTGCTATTAAACAAAAATTACTGGGTCTTTAGCCAGTTGGGTTTTTCAAGTGAGCAAAGAGCAGCTGCGTATGTGTAGTAAATACTAGTGATAGCTGCTTGCAGAATCTGAAATCTCCATTGTTTTAGATGCTCTGACATGAAGACTTGCCAGTGCCCTTTGACTGTTGATGAAAGAAAGCATGTGCTAATCCTTTTTTCGGACCCTTTAGTTGATGATTTTTTATTTGCCAGTCTCCCTCTTCAAACTTAGTTCCTCACACTTGATGTTGTAGTAGCGACTGCAAGGCTGTTACCACCCTTGGAAGGGGCGCTATCCTTTGTAATGCATCTTCACCAGATGTCTCTAAAACTCTTCTGCCCGTTTTCCCCACCTGACCCACTGCCCAGCCAGATCTTCCCTCCCCCTTTGTCTTAGTCCATTTTGTGCTGCTGTAGTAGACCACCACAGACTGAGTACTTTAAATGAACAGGAATTTATTGGCTCATGACTCTGGAGGCTGAGAAGCCAAAGGTCGAGGGGCTGGCATCTGATGTCTGGTGAAGGCCTTTTTGCTGCATCATAACGTGGAAGGCATCGCATGGTGAGAGGGAGGGGGAAGGGGACTGAACTTCCCCTTTTATAATAAACTTGCTTTGGACATAACTAACCCACTCTCTTAGACTAACCTTTTTACTCCTCCCTCCTGGCCTTACACCTCTCATGAGGCCCCAGCTCCCAACACTGTTGCATTGGTAATCAAGTTTTCAACACGTGAACTTTGGGGACATTCAAACCATAGCACCCTTTTTGAAAGAATTACTCGTAAACTCTCATGACCGGATTTCTTCTCTTGCACCCTTCATTATCTGCTCATTTAAATTGTCTCCACTTCTCTAACATAGAGGTGATTTTTACTACAGTGATAGCTCCTCGAACTGGAACTGAGCTTGCTGTCTGGTCCCCCCACCTGCCATCTGTCCTAGAACACAGCACACAGCTGTAAATGACTGAACAAGCATGCAGAGCCCAGATGACTGGGCCCTTTCTTTGTTGGAGTCAGAATATTACTGCCTGACGTAATATTCCCGGAGGCTATCCCTTAATTGCAAAGACTGGATAGTAATTAGTGATCATAATGATTTCCCTGGGCCATTAAGAAAAGTACCTTTTAATGTGCTCAAGAATTCAGGGTTTAGAAAGATTTCCATCCAGATTGGCTCCTTAAAGAAAAAAGATGCGGTGCATAATTTATTTTACTTTCAGTTATCTGCTAACGCAGCTATGCAAAATGACTCATTTATTGGGGAGTGGGTGGTGGCATTAGGTAAAGTCTTACCATATTGTCTATTTTGACTGTTTCATTCTTAATAGAAGTCTACACATTGCCTGCAATTGAGGTATAATTTTCTTTAAAGGGAGTGTTGTTTCAGATAAGGTAGCTGCGACCTAAGAAAGGAATAATTCTATATTGATTTTAAGGTCTTTAGGGAATGGAAGCACTGTCTTATTAATTGGAAAGTCCCAACTGATAGCACTGACATATTCATGTGCTTTCTTTGCCTGCCTGCTCATCTGCAGCCCTGATCACAGAAGGAAGGGAGAAGTAGATAAGAAATAGTAGTTATGAGGATGAAACGTGCACATATAGGAGCCCTCTCACGTTAGGCTTGGTTTGGTGTCTGGAGGCACGTGATGAGAACAGCAGTGGATCTGTGGGCTCATGTTTCCTTACTCCTGCTCTATTAGGACTCCAGTCTGAAGGGATGATCTAGTACCAACCAGGAGATGTTTAGAAGACCGAGATGTTTCCTGAAGTATTCTGAGCTGTCTCAGGTTGATTACGTGCTTTCTTATCTTAGATGGCTCCTGGAGAGCTGTCTGGGTAATATGCTCTCCCACTTTGGTAATTTTGGATTTTTTGCAGATGCTTTTTGTAAAAGAACACCTATGAGTGAGGCCTATGGTTTTGGGGTTTGCAGTGCCCAACCAGTCAAGCTGGTCTTTGCCTTTTTTGTGGTTGGATATGGAAAGAGTGGTCAGTAGATTTCCCAGTGCTGTACTCATGCCATTCAGCTCATAGTCACATAGGTTTCCATATTTGCTAGTAAAAATAAGAAAATTCGGAAAGGGGAGTAGGTTGGAATTGTCAAGTTGAACTGTGAATGGTGTGGATGAGATATTCTGGGGAGAGAATGGACAGACCAGGTTTGGCTTAGCTACTAGTTGAGTGTCCTTCTAGCTCTCTGGGATTTCTTTCTAATCTGTAAAATCACCATTTTGTTGAAGTAGGCTTGCCTGTCCTTTCAATTCTTGGACATTTCAGAACATAAGCTATGTGTTTTTCTGGAAAAAAAAAAGGATATTTGTTAGAATTAGAATTTACTTGTTATGAATCTAACCTTCACACACCAAACCCCCAGCTAAGACAGTAAGTTGCATATATAATTGTAATAAATACTATGTAAGTCTGAAAGGGGAAAGAGAACTTGAGTTTGCGACTTTTCTTATAATCTTGAAGAAGTAATTCCCAGACTTCAGAGTGTGTAAGAAATCACTAGAATGCTAGTTTAAAAAGGCATGGATTCCTATACCCCAGTTACACAGTTCTTATGGCCTGGGATAGAGCCTGGAAGTCTGCATGTCACAGGTGAAAGGCAGTGATTTTTGTTACTGAAATTGACATGCCTAATAGAAAAACGCAACATACTTTACCCCCAGTAAATCTCTTAAATCCAAAATATTAACACTCCCAAGCCAACAGCACACCACTAAAAAGTCAACGAACAAATATCAAGAAACAAAGCTTCCCAGTTGGTTGGGAATGAGAAGCAGCCAGGTCTTCTCTCTTCTGTTGCAGGTACACGTCACACCACCATGGAATCTTCTCTTTTGATTTAGTGAGGGAGACTGGCGTCTTCTAGATGTGCAGTGTATGACAAGCTTCTCTCATCCTTGCATGTCTGCAGAGGTGTGACATGGTTTTGTGACACAGCTTCTAGTCTTGGGGGGATTCATTGTGCTCACCCTTTTTTTCCTGGCCAGTTGCTAACTCAAACCTGTCCCCTTCTGGGATTTGGAAAGGATTGTTTGCAGCTCACATCTTGAGAGATCCATGTTCTGTCCTTTGATGATCTTCAGTGCCATCCAGGCATCCTTGAAGGCTCAGCCGCAGCCACCATGGTGGGTCCACCTCACTAGCCCCATAGTGATGTGTCCTTCCTGAACAGCTGCTTTTGCACATCCTATGAAAGCAGAGCAATTGGTTTCACACTGTCTTCTTTCCTAAGTGTTTCTACTCTAGGGCATGGTATTTCTCTGTGATGCTCTTCGTGTGTGTGTGTGTGTGTGTGTGTATGTGTGTGTGTGTGTGTGTGTTTTTAAACACCTCTTTAAATTATAAGCTCCCTGCAGGCAGATTGCTGTGTTTTATCTCCTCAGCAGTGTGGGGCATGTCCTGAGCACTGGTTAAAGGTAGTCTTCAGGTTACTGAGATGTGCATTAATAGGCTTCACTATTAAGCAAATATAAAGCCAATTTCAGGTAATTAATCTCTGAAATTTTTGTTTCAGATTAAACTCAGCAGATAAAAGGAAGCATTAATTTATGATGAGATAAAGATGGGAACAAATAAAAGCCTCTTACAGTTTCAGAAAGCCATGGACCACAGTGGCTTGTGAATGTGTGTACACATGCCTTCATGTTCCCTAAACAATTCCTGTGGGATGTTCTTTCTTTATTCAAGAAGAAAAAGGCCAGGGGTTGAAAATAAGTTTTTATTATTGGTTACTGTATTGCCATGTTTGATTATATCTATTAAAATGTTATAGAATAGTATACTTGGCAGTTCCTATGTAAGTTGGTTAATAGGACATTTGTGGTCATTTTTGTTCCAGGTCCACAGCCTGGTATAGAGAGCCAGTCTAGGTGTGACTCTTGAGCTTGTTAACCTAGCCCCCTCTGAGCTTTAGTTTCTCCATCTGTGAGTTGAGGATAATGATACTTGCATTGTGTGGGGAGTAAACAACAATGCATATAAAATGCTTGTTCACTAACTGCCCCAAGAGTAGGGCCAACATGGTTCCTGTGTCCTGTTCTTACAGTCCAACCTCAGGACTGTAATGCTCTCCGGTGTCACAGGATATGCTTGCTGGAGTTGATGCTGTGTGTGTGCACCCCTCTGGGCTATTTAGGGACGAAGGCATTTGTTATTCCTAACTTCTGTGTTTATTTACCTTACATAGTATCATAAACATCATAAATTTTCCTTCTCTCCTATTCTTAGGCTGTATGAGTACAAAAGTTTTATGATTCTGGAAAAAGGTGAAATTTAGGGAGAAAGCACTATGAATGGAAAAAGTGCTGTTGAGTCACGTGCACTTTCTTGCTAAGATGTGAGGTGGTGGCACCATTTAATAGCAAGGCTCTGTGACGGAAGGTTGGAGGATGAGTGGTGAAACTTTTTGATAGAGTGGTTGGTATTAGACCATCTCTTCAGATTGGAGTCTTGAGGTGAAGGCTCTATTTTTCATTTCTTGAATTTATTCACTCCTCACAGTTCCTCTTAATATGGATGAGACAATGGAATTTGCCTCTCAACGAATATATTTAATCATCAAATGTGTTTTAAAGGGATAATTGGAGTTTAGGTAAAGATTATGCAGCATGAAGTTACCTAGCCTTTAGTGATAGTAGAACATTTGAGAAGATAGGAACATTGCCATCTTCTTCTTTCTTTCTTTCTCCCTCTCTCTCTCTCTCTCTCTCTCTCTCTCTCTCTCTCTCTCTCTCTCTCTCTCTCTCTCTCTCTCTCTCTCTCTCTCTCTCTCTCTCTCTCTCTCTCTCTCTCTCTCTCTCTCTCTCTTCTTTCTTTCTCTTCTTTCTTTCTTTCTTTCTTTCTTTCCCTTTTTTGAGTTGGAGTCTTGCTCTGTCGCCCAGGCTGGAGTGCAGTGGCACGATCTTGGCTCACTGCAACCTCTGTCTCCCAGATTCAAGTGATTCTCGTGTCTCAGCCTCCCCGAGTAGCTGGGATTATAGGCGCCCGCCACCATGCCTGGCTGATTTTTGTATTTTTAGTAGAGATGGGGTTTCACCATGTTGGCCAGGCTGGTTTCGAACTCCTGACCTGAAGTGATCGCCTGCCTTGGCCTCCCAAAGTGCTGAGATTACAGGTGTGAGCCATTGCACCCGGCCGGCATCTTTTTCTTTTGGGATTTAAAAGCCTCCTTTTGAATGCTGTTTCTTCTACCTCTAGGCTCCTCTCTATGGGCCAGGGGCAGATTTCATTAGAGGCAGACAAATAGGCTGCCATAGTGCCCCGCATTTAAAACCATGTGGGATGGGTTTTCTAGTGTGATGGTTTTTCGAGTGTGAGGTGGCAATTTTGACTTGGTTAGAAACATAAAGAAAGTTGAAAATCAGGCCATTTTCTTCAGCTTGGACCTCTATTAAGAATAGTTTGAGTTTTCTTCTTAAAAAAAAAACATACATTTTCCTGAAATTTAAAGACTAAAAATGAACCAGAAACTAAGAAGGTTGCTCTATCAAAGGGGATAACGGTTCTGGTTATTTGAGCCATTCAAGCTACGTGAAATGATGTTGATTGGAAGAAAAATTTTAATTCTAAATCATGCTATGTCTGCTAACCCTTAAAAGCATAGAGGGGAAGTAACTTAAGCTGTTTCTTTGAAAACAAAATATTTTGATAGAAATTTGACGAGTTAGTAGAAACAGTAGGAGTCCCTCTCTTGAAGTATGTATATAAAATCACTGTGGAAGGGGGATCCTGCTGCCATTGTATCGTGGGCAGATAACTGAAGAAAATTCAAAGTTTCTCATCTGTAGAACAGGCTAGTGACCTGCTTTGTTGCCCTCATAGGATTTTTTAGGATCGGTTGAGAAAATAGATGTGAATAGTATTTGGGGGCTTTTAAATCACTAATTGTCTTATAAACACATTAATGTTTACGTGGTACTGTGTAAATAAAGCAAACCATGAATCTTTAATCTCTGCCATCTGGCATTTTATATTTATTTTATCCCTGGATGAGATACTGTGCCCAAGAAATGTAGATAATAGGACAAGAGAGTAACATTCATAAATGGATGCTAGGTATGTATATTTAATACTGACCAAGTAATTTACTGGCATATTTAAAGAATGGATGATACAAGGGAAAAAAAAGACCCTGTTAAATATTAAGTTCAGAATCTCTCCATGCACAAGTTAGGTGTTTGAGTGACCCACCATCAGGTGGGTCCAGAGTGATCCAGTAATCCAGAGTTAGGTGAAGGAACATGATGTATTGCTCATCTTCAGTGAGTAGGCTGGATGAAGCAGCCCTTAAGAAACATTATAGAGGCCAAAATGGGATGATATAATAGATGTCTACCCCCAAACATCAGTGAGTAATGCCTTTTCCTGTGTCCTTAAGTTCCCAGCATAATGCAGTCCATTTATAGTTACGTGCATTTTCATTTTCTCTTTAAATACCCTTCAGGTGGTATGAAGGAGGGTCGTGTGTCGTAGCTAAAGAGATGCCAGGAGAGGTGTGCTAAGGGTCTCCCTTGTGAGTTGGGCCACCCAGCTAGCGCAGGCTTAAGCTTGTAGCCCACCCTGAGCGGAGAGTCAGTATATTCCCTCTTGGGTGGTATTGAATAAATCACAGGCAAACTTTTGTCCTTTAAAAAACTCTTGGTGTAGCTTCCTTAGCACACAATTATATGAATATTAACATTCAGTACAAGTACATTGAGTCCCGGCTTTAGTTTTTCTCCCAAGACTATTTTGCTGGCCATTTTGGTTCCTTTGCACAAAGGTGACCCATCTCAGCAGGTAGATGATTACTATTAGTTTCAAATTTAGAAGTTTGCTTTTTTTTTTTTTTTTTGAGACAGAGTCTCGCTCTGTCACCCAGGCTGGAGTGCAGTGGCACGATCTCAGCTCACTGCAACCTCCACCTCCTGGGTTCAAGCAATTCTCCTGCCTCAGCCTCCTGAGTAGCTGGGATTACAGGTGCACGCCACCACACTGGGCTAATTTTTGTATTTTTAGTGGATTCGGGGTTTCACCATGTTGGTCAGGCTGGTCTTGAACTCCTGACCACAGGTGATCCACCTGCCTTGGCCTCCCAAAGTTCTGGGATTATAGGCATGAGCCACTTCACCTGGCCTTTTTTTTTTTTAAATAGAGAAGTACATTATTTTAGCACCCCATTCCCTCCCCTTATATTGGCCATTCCTTTCAAAAATTAGAAATGGGCCTACATTGACTACATTTGAGACAATTGCAGTCTACAAGGAGAAAGGAGCAAGGAAATCAGCATGGGCCTTTGTTGGAGTGGAATGAGGATGAATCCCTGCCAAGAGCCCACTGGGTGTCAGGGTCAGGGCTAGGGCCTTATAGACTCTCTGCACTTTATCTACCACCTGCCGGACTCTAGAACGGGGGCGAAGCACCTGAACATGGGGTCGGAAACTCCTAGAACTTAAGCAACTTTCCTGAGGAAATAGAGTGATGGGGTGATGGACAAGGAAAGAGAGCTCAAAGCTGCCTGGGTCCCAGATTAATTTTTCCCGGTACAGTGTCTTGTTTGGAAGGAGGAAGGCAGAATTCTTAGATGATTTTCTGGTTTAAATTTAAAATGGATCTAATTTGGAGACCTAGTAAGTGATAATGAAGACTGATGCTGTCACATGGTCTGGCCTCATCACAAAAATAATTGATTAGTTTTTAGTTCCTTATACTCTGTTCCCTTAGTAAGGGAAACTCATGTTTTTTATAAAGCAGATGCTGAGTGAATTCACAGTTCTCAGCTTTTATGCCACTTTCTGACTAAGTCTTGAGGATACACACTTGTGGTCTTGAGTTCAGGCATAGAGGGAAGCATAGACCATTTTCTGTTGCTCCTTATGGCTTTATTTATGTTAAGATTTGTTTGAAAAAAGAAAAAAAAAGATCCTACTCTATAAATGTCTGAGGAGGCTTTTTCATAGACCCGTGGATTTTCTTGATTTGTAGGGATCTTAGGTGTTACCCTATCAGATACTCAGAAGACCCTTCCATCCCCAACATTTTACTAACACATTCCCAATGCAGCATACTAAATTACCCTCTTGAAAAGAAGGAAAGCCAGGACAGTGCATGTGACATTTTCCCTCATCATTTGGTTTCTGTCAGCGAGAAATATGCTTTAGTAATTTGGAAATAAACTCACTGCAGGGGGTGAATAACAGGTTTGAAGGTTGGTTAGTTGCCAAGGAGATGAACTTTGTACGCTTATGTGGAAAGTATGAGAGGATCACTTAATACTATATCCTCTGAAATTCTACTCTTTCTCCTTGGGTTCAACAAAATCATCATTTGGTTTTAGGTTGTGTTGGCAGTCACAACTATAGGAGCTATCATTAATTTAGGAAACAGGGTTCCAGGGTTGTGCTTGACCACTGACCATGTGCCACACAATGTTCCTTGTGCCCCATTTATTGTACACAGAAGCCCTATGAAGTGGGCACTACTATGATCTCACTTATATAGATAGGAGCCTGAGGCATACCAAGCGGTGTCTTACCCAGGTACAGTTACTCAGTGTCATAGTTGTAATACAGTGTCATTTTCATAGAGTTGCTTTGTCCAAGTTGTAACTTGAGTTCCTACACAGACTCTCCTCAGATTTAAAGTTTCAAAGTTCACAACTCTTTAAGTCATGAGACACAAGAGGGACAGGCTTTTGGAAAATATGGGGATGTTCTTTCTGTTTTACATCTGTTGCAGAAGGACCGTTTCTCACAAAGTTGTTAAGTAGATCATGCTCAGCATATCTGGATGCTCTTTGCTACTGGCCTGAGAAATGACCAGCAGGGCATTGCAAAGAGTGGGTAGAGAGTAACAAGACTGACAGTAATTAAACCCAGTACTCCTCATCTGGGTGAAAGGAGAATGATATCAAGTATGTCTGGTATCTAGTGATATAAATGGGTTATAGGATTTTAGATTCCAGGTGAGGCATTATAATACAACTGTAAGAAACCTGTCTCCCTCATCCCCCCGACTTCTTTATACACTTAAAAAAAATCCCAGAATTTTAAAGAAGTGTATAAAGAAGTTGGTGGGAGGAGGGAAATAATTTTAAAAAAAGAATTTGTTTGATAGTTTCGTCATGTTATGCTTTAGCTTGTTTCTTTCTTGCAGTCCCTACATTGGGACTGCAGGAGAGCTTCAAAGAAGACTTTCAGTGTAATTCTTGCGAAGTAAAGTAATGGGTATTGGGAATACACAGGGAAAAATTACAGTTATCCATTTTTGACAATAAAAAGTCTCTAGAGGGTTTTTTGGGGATCATTTTTTTTTCCTGTAGCAAGTTAAGAAGGAAAGGATGGCCAACATGATTTGTAGAAAAAAAAAGTTTCTTTGAGATAGTGTTATGTAAATTAAACCTGTGAAGGAAAGAAGTGTAAAATATAGGAAAATATAAAGAAAAAGTTAAATCCTTAGAGAAAAAAAAAGTTTCTTTGAGATAGTGTTATGTAAATTAAACCTGTGAAGGAAAGAAGTAATTGATGCTTTATCAAAAACTCATTTGTTCATCGAATTGTCTTGCTTATTAAGTGTGGTTCATTATAAACCATATTGTTGTATTGGAGAGCACAGGACTATTTCGTCATCACTTTTGGTTAGTCAGAGATAAGTATAGTTGAGATACGATTTGTTGGAAACTTCAGCCATTTTGTTCTAATGATTGTGCAAAAAAATTGGTGCTGATTTTTGATCTATTTTTTCTGTTTTTCAGGGTCGACATGTTAAAACGGGTCAGTTGGCAGCCATCAAAGTTATGGATGTCACTGAGGTAAGATTGAGTCACACACATTTTTAAATAATGTTAGATGGAAGACAAAGATTCCCCCAACAACACAGAGTATTACTCTGTTTGGAAAATCTGATTACTTGAACAAATTGCCCTCCTGTGACATTGTGGGTTCATAGGTCCAGTGGACTAGTTGGCCTAAATTGTAGTACACGGTCTCCAAGTAACTAAAAGGCAGTAGCATTTTCTCAAAACACACGCAGTGCACACACACATCTGAGTGATGTCATCCTTGGCAACGTAATGGGACATAATTGGAAACATCTTCTCTAATGGAAAAGAAAAAGTTTGAAAAGGGATCATGGAGGTCACATGAATAGGGAGATTGAGGGTTTCGAGTGGAGAAAAGCTTCTCTAGGGTATTAGGCCACATTTGTGCCATTTCTTTTATTTTTAACATGGGGGAGGAAAACAGACCCAGCCAAGTTCCCAGAGGTTGGAAAACAGAAACATCTGCTAGAATGCTGAGCAGATTGTTGGCAAAATTTAGTAGCAAAAAATAGTTCTTGAAATGGTCGCATGAGGATTTACTGTGCAGCTTTAGATGGGAAAGAGGAGAACGTGACCGAGACAGAAAGTAAATGTATGTGTGCCTGTGTGTGTGCATGTAATATATGCACGAGCCCATATTTAAATTCTTTAAAAATAGTAATATATTATAATGAACTAAATCCATTTCATTTTAAATTATTTTTATCTGAAATTTTACTTTATGCTCATGTTTGCCCCTAACTTGCCTAGTTATGAATAGGATTCAATATCATATTTCACAGATTCTAGAAAGAGTTCACTAGCAGCATTGGAGATTTAGGATAACTTTAAATCCAGCCATAACTTCCCCAAGTCTGGGGTCTGTCAAGGGAGATAATGGCTAACCTGATCTCTAGTGTGCTATCCAGAGAGCAAAATCTCCTCCTTTGCCTTGCTCTTTGCTGGGTCTCTGACAACATGGTCATCTTCAGCATGGGTATTTGTCAGTAAGAATTGGAAAACACTGTTGTCTCTGGACCACAGGACAACTGATAGAGCCTTCCATAAGTATTTGAAGATGTGACATTTTATGAGGTGACCACTCTCTTTTCTCTGTTAAAGAGAATAATGGGTACTTTAAAATGAAAATGTACCGTTGCTTAGTTGAATGGCCAAAAGATTCTCCTTGACATACTCTGATGTAGACTATTCTGTTGTATTATAGTGATCCTATCTTGGTGTACAGCTCAGTGGGAAATTGGATGCTTTCCAATAAAATATTATTTTAAGGTGATTTTAAATTTTACTGAAGGAACAGTAACTTCTTGCTTATTATAATTTAAATACAGTAGTTGAGCTATTTATGAAGTACCCTCTTTGTGAATGGAATGATCAATACCACCTTCCTACCAAAGTCTCCATTCCGAATGCTGTGCATCTTGCCGGTGCTGTGTTGGGAGTGGTGTTGCTGGAAAATACGGTCTTTGCATATTTATTAACACACTTTTTGACTTGTTTACTGGCAGACTTGTAGGTACAATTTTAAATGTAATCTTTTGGAATTTTATGAACTGAGAGTTCACTCTTGTAGTGTCATTCAACCTGTGCTGCCTCCCCTGACACAGCTGTTGTGGCCGGTCAGGATACGTCCTCTTTCACATCTCTAATGGAATCTAAATGTGGTTTGCCTTCTCTGTAGAGCTCTTCTTCACCGAAGCCTGGCTCTGATTATAAGTGTGCAATATGTGATCACTGTAAAAAAAGAAGTGTAAAATATAGGAAAATATAAAGAAAAAGTTAAATCCTTATACTTACTGCCACCTTCTCCTCCTTCTCCTCCTCCTCCTCCTCCTCCTCCTCCTCCTTCTTCTTTCTTCTTCTTATTTTTTGAGATGGAGTCTCACTCTGTCACCCAGGCTGGAGTGCTGTGGTGCAATCTCTGCTCATTGCAACCTCCACCTCCTGGGTTCAAGCAATTTTCCTGCCTCAGCGTCTGTAGTAGCTGGGATTACAGGCTCCCACTGCCACCCCTAGCTAATTTTTGTATTTTAGTAAGACAGGGTTTCACCATATTGGCCAGGCTGGTCTTGAACTCCTGACTTCAAGCAATTCACCCGCCTCAGCCTCCCAAAGTGCTGGGATTACAGGTGTGAGCCACCGCGTCTGGCCCTCTGCTACCTTATGATAGCTGTTGTTAGTGCTTCAGTGTATTTCCTTTCAATCATGTTTCTGTGAACATAGCTATAAAATACATACCGATATGTGTAATGGATGCTTTTGTATCCCACTTTTGTTGAGTTGTGTACAAAAGGTATTTTCTTGCCTGAAAAATCAGGCAATGTTGGACACATGCATGATATAAGTAGTTTTGGGACTCCTTTAAAAGCAATTATTGCAAAACCCATGTATTCAGGTAAAATGAAAACCAGATGGTGAGTCCTCAAATAAGTATTATACAAACACAATTAACTATTTACCATATTGTCCATGTTTCTTGTGTGCTGTTTTCATACAGTGACCTTTGCTATAGCATGGGGCACAGTCATTGCCCATAGTAAGTGTTGCTTATGGATAGAGGGCCATGCACAGCAGGCAGCCTGGAAAACAAGCCCTTGCCAAGCCTGCATGTCAAAGCTCCTCTTAGCTCCTCTTGTGCAGTTGTAGGCATTGGCCTGGCTGGGACCTGGGAGCAAGTGGGGAGCAGGCTGAATGAGAGAGATTTTGCAGCATGTGCTTCTGGTTCCAACTCCAGCAGGAGGGGCTATTGGAGCGGGTTCTCTTGATGAGAACAGGACTCTTCATGGTTTTTTTTTTTTTTTTTTTTACCTCCACTTAGTTTCATCTCAGGAGCAAAAAGGTGCAAATACTTGTTTTTGGGAAAAATCACAGATTGGTTCTGACTCTTTAGGTGAAAGTGAGAGGCAGTTACCAGGTCACTAGTTATTCCTCAGGCCCAGAAGGCAAGAATTGCAGCAGGTGTGGGAAATTGAATGGTGTGGCTGCTCTTCTCCCGAGCTGTCAGCTGTTGGCAGGCTGAATGAATCTAGCTCTAGAGCTGGCTGCAGACAATGCAAAGATGTGGGCCCACTTCACTTGCTTTACTTGATTATGTGAATCTGGAAAACAAAACCAGCTGAGAATTACAGATTTCATCCTCGGGTGAGGTGACAAGGGACTATGGAGGAAACCAAGGGGTCTGGAAGTGGGGAGGCATTTATTTGCAAGAGATGTCAAGTTCTCTTCAAATTTTGTGTGTGAGTACTTCAGCTGTATTAAGAATTGACTATCCTTAGGATTTTGAAAGGCTCTTTTTAGGGAAAGCATGTCTTTTATCTGATTGGTTTTGGGAAGGGTTTAAGGAACAGATTAAGGATGTGCTCAAAGTGGATGGTATTAGGATAGCAGATCTATAATGTGGTTTGTTTTTGTTTTTGTTTTAAATAATGACAGAGGATTTGCAGAAAAATGTATAGGGAGGTCTCATGTACCGTTCATTCAGTTTTCCTGATAAAATCTTGCATAACTATAGTACAATATTATAACTTAAGTACATGCACAAAACAAAGCAAGGCAAATGATTGCTTTTACCAGTGATTGCTCAACTTGGAGTTCATAAACTCTTTGAGTGAGGTTTGTCTCTGAGAACAGAATTTTATTTTGCATTTTAATAGTGTCCCCTAACTTTTTATTATGAAAAAGTTCATACATCCACAGCTGTTGAAAGAATGAACACTCTCGGCTGTTCACTTATATTCAACATTTGTTAACATTTTGTTTGTGTGTGTGTACTGTTATTGAAAATAATTACAGCTATCACCATGACACTTCACCTGAAAATATTTGAGCATGCTTGTCTTAAAGACAGTCTTCTACGTATCATAAAATTTTACCTAATGTTCAGCCTACATTCATATATCTTTGCTTGTGCCAAGAATGTTTTTATAACTCTTTTTGAATCATAGTCCAGGTTTATGCACTATACGTAGTTATCTTATATCGCTTATTTTTAAGCAGTAAGTTTCTCTTTACTTTCCTGCCTCCATTTTTATTTTTATTTTTATTTTTAAAGAAAATTGACTTTTGTAAGAATTTAGCCAGATTGTTTTGTAAAGTATCCTGTATTCTGGATTTGATGGTTTCCTCATGTTATGCTTTAACTTGTTCCTTTCTCTCCTATATTTCCTGTAGACTGGAAATATGTTGAGAGGTTTGATTAGATGCAGATTAAATATTTTTTGGCAAGAACACCTCAGTGGTGGTATTGGGTACTTCATATTGCCTCACGTCAGGGAGTACGTCAGTTCTAGGTGAAGCCCACTTCACTCATAGCCTTCCCATTATTAGTGAAGCCAAGTTGGGTCTCTTGGAGGTGACTGCCAGCGTTCTCCACCATAAGGGTGCATTATTAGTTTTACATTTCCTAAGTAATCTATCTCCAGGGTGATACTTTGGCACTGTGTGAATATTCTGTTCATGAGCAACCTTTCAACTAATGGCTTTGGCATTCATTTAATGATTCTTGCTTAGGTTAGTTATTATTGCAAAATGATGATTTTACGTTCTTCCTTTTGTATTTATTAGTCAACAACAATCTGTAGAAGAGTTTCCTACCTACCCCTTCCCTTCTCTCTTTGTCTGGATATTCCTGTGGACATGAGTGGTTTCCATCAATTACAGCTGTTATTATTACATAATCAAGTTGTACCATATTTGCCAGTGAGAGCCTTTGACATGAACCCAATGGGTCCCCATGGAGTCTGTGGCCTTTTGACGTGCCACTATTAGTTTTTGAGTACTTCCTTGTTTTCTGGAACAAGTAGATATTTGAAACTCACCTACCAAGACATGGAATACTCTCCTCTGAGGAGCCTTAGTTCTGTTGAGTGGGAAATATATTTGGAGACTAATATCTGGATGCTAAGTATGCTCATTGCTACTGAGGTATTACTGCTTCTAGGCCCTTTGAGTAGACAGAGCTAAGAAGTACATTTTTTCAAAAACCAGAATTTCTTAATTTCTTGTGTCTTGTATATCTTATGTTTCTTTGTCTTTTCTCTTATACTGAAAATATTGGTTCCTGATAAAACAACACATTTTTATGTTCAGTGAATATAAAGTTCACAGTATTATAATAATATTACTACTTAAAATAGACATGGAGGGGAGAAGTTTAAGATTTTTCTGAAGTTATTTTGGCCCTTTGCTTTGGATAAATCAAGGACAAACATTTCTTAGGTTAATGCACAGAGAACAGAGGCAAACTTATTATGTGGTGTTTTATGTCAGATGGGGATGAAACGGTGCTCTTTGGAGTGAATGATGTTTGACTGCATTTCATCAGCACTGAGTAGCAGAGCTGTATCCAATCTAGTCTTCTGGCCTGTCCAGTGGCCTTTCCAACATGTGGTCCTTTTTCTCAGCCACTCGGGCATAGGATGCTGTTAAAGCAGGGGATTCTCAAAATGTAGCTATTGGACCAGCAGCTGCTGCGAGTACTTGGAAACTTGTTAGAAATGTAGCCTCTGGTTCCATCCCAGATTACTGCATCAGAAACTCAGGACTGGAGCCCTCCAAAAAATTCTAATGCACCTTTAAGTTTGAAACCCCCTGCTTTAATGGAGCCTTGGGAAAGAAAGAGCCCACTCCCTTCTGTCTGTCGGTGAAGAACTGCAGCTCAGAGACGCTAATAACTTCTTGCTCAGGAGTACATTGCTAATTAGACACTGCAGGAATTAGAACCTGGATCTTTGATTCCCTACTTACTGTACTTGTGAAAGTATAACCATTTCAAACATCAGGTTTTTAAGTAAGCTCGTTGAGTGAGCTGGTTGGATCTGAACTTTAAAGGATAGATGGATCTTGACCACACTTCTCCTTTTTAAAATTTGTTTTTAGCAGATTTGTCAGAGCAGACTTTCTTTTAGTTTTAAGACTACAGTGTCTGTGAATGGTAATTCTGTCATATTACTTAGGGGTTGGGAAGATATTGGGCATGATGTCTTTTGGGAGCCAGTATACTGGAAGAGCCAGTATACTGGAAGATTGAGCATCTTCCAGTATTCCTAGCGCCATGTTCCATGGATATGTGGAAGTAAAAGCTGTGTAAAAGCCCTTCCTAGAGCAGCCAAGTAAGAATCTGGCCTCTGCCTGTCATCATATGTGGAAAGGCAAGAGCCATACAAGAAGCTAAGCAATATATGTCACTTCTGATGGACAGATTTTTGAATGCCTTCTGAGCTCTGACCACGCATGGGCAGGACACCTTGCTTTCAGGGAGTTCATGCTCTGGTACGAGGGAGTAAAACAAGCATATTCCAGTGATAACACAAGGCCATATAACACTGAACAATTTTACCCTTTTCATTTGGAGGGGAGCACAATGTAATGAATGTGTTGTTCTTGTCTAGACTGAAAATAAGAACAAAAGGAAGGGAAGGAGAGATCTCTGTGGCCTGTGGGACCTATTGTTCTATTCTGTTATTCCTCAGAGGCCAGCTAAATGCTACAGGCCTTACAGCTTCGTACTGGCTTCTTCTGTTTTAGGGTGTTGGTGGCACTTTCTCCCTGTGCTTTGCATGACTCTGGCAGACTTACCACAGGATCATTCAACGTTGTCAGGGTGAGCCAGAAATGTATCAGTTTTTGACAGTCTGTATCCCCCTCCTGCACCGCCCCCTCCCTCCTTATCTTCTTATCTTCTGCTTTTCCCTTAGCTACTGAGAGAAAAACTAATGTGCCATGTTTGTGGGATGCTAAATTTCCTCGTCTTGTATTTTCTTACCTTAGACAACTTTTAACCTGATTTGAATGATCTTTGATCTTAAATTTTAACTTCCCAATTTGGGTTGGTTTCCTTACTCAGCCTTGTGTAGATAGATAAAAGGCCACAAGTTTATTTATTTATTTATTTTTTAAATACTGGTATAAGACAAGACCTTGAAGAAAAGCTCTTAAAATCAGTTAAAATCAACTACATTTTATTTAATTATTGATTTATTTTAACAAGTATAGTGATTTTGAGAACTAATAGTTCCACTGTATCCTCATATATTACAGCAGTTTTTTTCAACCTTCCGTTTTTTTGACTGTCTCCTCCCTATGAAGCTTTTTAAAACATTCTTTTAGTTTTTTTTTTTTTTTTTTTTTGGAGACCAAGGTCTTACTCTGTTGCCCAAGCTAGAGTGCACAAGTCTAGCTGTGCACAAGTCTAGAGTGCACGAGTCTAGCTCATCGTACCTCAAATTCCTAGACTCAAATGATCCCCCCCATCTCAGCCTCCTGAGTAGCTGGGACTACAGGAGTGTGCCACCTACAATAATTTTTTTTTTTTGAGAGATGGGGTCTTATTGTGTTGCCCAGGCTGGTCTCAAACTCCTGGGCCCAAGCAATCCTCATGTCTCAGCCTCCCAAAGTGCTGGGATTTACAGGTATGAGCCACAGCACCCGCCCTTCTAATCATTCCCTGTGAAATTTTAATAGTACAGATATACTGTATATCTGTATATAACTATATATGTTTATGTACTGTATATATGTCTTTACACTTAAAAGTAGTAAATTTTCTTGAGGACAATATCAGCCCCATTGAGAACACTTGGTGTAGAGTAATATAAAAATACAAAATACGAAAATTCTCTCTTGCTGTTTTAACCCATTTAATAAGTCAGTAAGCAGAGGAAGGTTAAGACTAGGTTAGCTTTATGCCTGTGATGTTTTACATTTTTCATGTTGAAAAGTCTTCACTTTATTTATGGATGACGACAGTTGGAATTCAGAGAGGTGCTTGACCTGTCTAAAGTCACAATAGAGTCCTGGACTTGCTTTTATTACACCACATCTCCCAGTTCACTACAGGAGTATAGCAGTGGTATTCTGTATTTGGGTTTTAAAGTAGTGGTACCTAACAAGATGCAATGCTATATAAGTAGTAGACACTCAAATATTTGATGAATTAAATAGGGTGTTCCATTTTTGGTGGTTGCATGAGTTCCGTGCACTTGGAGAAAACATAGTAGATACACACTACTGGTTTCATTGTCCAAGAAAACAGTCTTCTATTGCAATATTTATAATTTTCCATGTCATTCTCATCTTTTGTAATCACAAATATTTACATTTTAGATGCTAACATTAATCATAAATAACAGCAAGACCTCTTACTTACTTTCACACTTAAATTTCATCCCTCTAGGAAAGAAAATTATTGGAGTGGTTAGGAGTGAGTACATTTCTGGGTTTCATTTTTAGAATTGTCACTGAACTAATAAAAATGATTTAATCTTTTGCTCCTCTTTCCCAGGAACATAAATTTGAGGCCCATAAATAATTTTCAAGGTGAATTTATAGTGTATGAGCCTCCTAGGCAGTTAACCTCATTATTTAGTAGTCATATCCTGCCTTTTTCCCCAAGACAGCAATACATACTTTTAAGCATGATAAAGCTCAGTTTCCTCATCTGTAAAATGGAATAATGCCTACTTCAGAGGCTTTTGTCAGAATTAAAATTAATGTAAAGTATGTAGTCTATTAGTTTTTACATAGTAAATGTGAGTTTCCTTGTTACCTTCTCCTTATTAAAGACATTAAAGTATCACTTTTGCTGAAGGCTTTTAAACACTCCCAATACCCTCCTCAGCCACTTACTCAAATGATCCACTCTCCACCTGCCTCCCTCCACCTGTGGCAATCCTTTTCTCCTTGTCTTTCTTCCTTGCAGGCTCCTTCTTCAGCCCCTCTGTGGTTACAGCCATCACTGTTTGGTCCTTTGATAACTACCTTTGCCCTGTGAACTGTCTTCTTCTGCTGTATATGTGTGTGGGTTTTTTTTTTTTGTTTCATTTTTGATTTTTGTTTTTTCAGATAGGCTTCACTCTGTTGCCCAGGCTGGAGGGCAGTGGCATCATCCGGGTTCACTGCAGCCTGGACTTCCTGGGCTCAAGTGATCCTCCTACCTCAGCCTCCTGAGTAGGTGGGACTACAGATGTGTGATACCATGCCCAGCTAATTTTTAAAATTTTTCGTAGAGACGAAGTCTTACTGTGTTACCCAGGCTGGTCTCAAACTCCTAGGCACAAGATGTCTTCCTGCCTTGGCCATCCCAAAGTGCTAGGACTGCTGATGTGAGCCACTGAGCCCTGCCGATTCTTCTGCTATTTTAATCGTTAGCTAGAGAACAGTGGCCACATGTTCATTTATGTGTATGTTTTTCTATTCTAGATCATACCCTCTTGTAGGATTATCTCAGCCCTTCTAGGTTCATGACAGCACCCTTCATTCACGTGGGTGGTGCTTAGCATATATTTGCTCTTTCTAAAGAATGCCCCAAGACAAAAGGCAGTTCTTGTTGTTCTTCTCCTTAAAAAAAAAAAAAATAATAATTTTTTGAGACAGGATCTTGCTTCATCCCCCAGGTTGGAGTGCAGTGGTGTGATCATGGCTTACTGCAGCTTCAACTTCCCAGGCTCAAGAGATCTTCCCACCTCAGCTTCCCGAGTAACTGGGACTAAAATTTTTTGTAGAGACCAGGTCTCCCTGTGTTTCCCAGGTTGGTCTCAAAGTCCTGGGCTCAAGCAGTCCTCCTGCCTTGGCTTCCCAAAGTGGTGGGATTATAGGCGTGAGGGACCACACCTGGCCAAAAGGCAGTTTTAAAGGAGAATTTCCGAAAGTGCTTTGAGCAGTAGCAAAAAATATATATAGTGTCCCTTTTAAAAGATTACAGACAGCCTTTATATTAATATTTATGTGCTACTATATTTTAATAATCATACATTTACTAATTTGTTGGCTAGTTTTAAATATAAAAAAGGAATAGAGAAAAGTATCATATTCATTCTTATTGAAAATATGACTACTAATTGCTTTGTTCAGATATAATTTTGGTTCGTTGGGACTGGAAATGGCAAATGTATACCATGGTTTGTAGGTTTTTTGTTTTTGTTTTTAATGCTGTTCATGGAGTTGCACTAATTCATTTATTTAAACAAGTACTGAACACTTAGTCTTAAAAACACTATTCTCAGCTCTGGGGTGGAATAGAAAGATTAATTATGCTTTAGGAATAACTATTCTTGATCTCTTGGTAAATTAAAACTTGCTGTGAAAGGATCATCTTTGTAATTGTTAATGAGCATTCTTCAAGCAGATTGAATATCCACAGTTTCTTAGTTTAATTTCATCATTTTGTGAACCAAAGGCATTTTTTCTAAGTAAAATAAATGGTTGAGTAAAAAAAATCGCCCAACAAATTTTGTATAATCTAAATTGCTGTTTTTTTTAAAAAAATGGATACTGTCCTTTCACCATCCCATCTCCTTTCCCCAGCTGCTGCTGCTGCTTTCTGCTTTCCTCCTCTTTCTTTATTCCTTTCAGCTTTGGGCGGCTGTACATGCAAAGTTTTGTTTTTTATCTTGACACTTCCCATTCTTGCTTCCATTCCCTGTAAATGTATAGAAAAGAATGTTGTGTTGGAGGTCCCCAAGACCATCCTCAATTTCGATTCCAGCACATAGATGTACTCTCCGCTGTGATTTATAGCACAATGACAGGATCCAGAGCAAATTCAGCAAGAGAACAGGCATGTAGAAGGAAGTCTGAAGGGATTCAGGCACAGACTTCCCAGAGTCCTATCCTAGTGCAGTCACATAGGCCCTGTTTACTTCCTCCAGCAGAGCCGTAATGGCACGTATGAAATATTGTCTACCAAAGAAGCTTGCTAGAGACTCAGTGCATTGAATTTTTATTTGGAGATGGCAGTACAAGCAGCCTCTGCCTAGCATGCACCCAAAATTTCAGACTTCCAAAAGGAAAACAGGTGTTTGGCGTAAACTGCATTCTAGGTACAGTGAGCCACTCTTACCAGTTCTGGGAGCGGTGGAAACCCTACCCAGATCAAAATCCCAGATGCCAGCCAAAGGCCAACCTTGTAAGCTGCCCTTTTTAGGGATGGTGTCAGGCCTCAGGACTAAACAGACACCTCTCCTGAGTGCTGCATTGATGTATCACCTGCCTCATCAGCATCTCTACTTGGAAGTCCGATAGCCTAAACTCAACATGTCTCATGTGAGTTCCTGTTCTTCCCCCATAAGCTTGTTGCACTTGGAGCCTTGTCTTTTCTCAGTTGGTGGCAACTCCACCCTCCTCATTGCTCAGGCCCAAAAAGATTTTGTATCCTGGGTGGACTACTTGCTTTCTGTCCTGTACCACTTGGCTCATCTGTCAGGAAATCCTATTGGTTCTGCCTTCAAACTATGTCATTTGTGTCAGAATAATCTTGGTAGATAGTGGGTGTGGATAGATTGACTTCAAGTTAGTAACTGCTGGTTAGTATTTTTGAAATCATAATATGTTTTAATGAGTCTGATGGTCTCCTCATAGTCTATGAGAGTCTGTAAGAACAAACAGATACAAATCTGACCCTTCTCACCACAGCCTCTGTGCTGCCACCCTTGGCTACCCCTCTGGTTTTGGCTGCCACCCTCTGTTGCTTAGATTTCTACCATAGCCTCTATCACGAGCCTCCTGCCTCCATGCTTGTTCTCCAGTCACTTCTCACTGTAGCAGCTGACTGAAGCTTGGGAAACAAAGTCAGAATAGAGTCTTTCATAGGCTGCTTTCTTAGCTCAGAGTAAAAGTACGGGTTCTTACAGTGGCTGACATGACAGGGCCCTACTTGATTGGCCTCCCAGCCCTCCTCTCCTCCTTCTACACAGTCACTCCAAGCACACAGGCCTGTTCACTGTTTCTCCACCCTGCTCGCCTGATCCCGCCCAGAGACCTGTCACTTGCTGTTTGTTCATTGTGCCTGGAATGCCACTCCCTCACGGCTGCCCAGCTCACTCCCACACTTTCTTCATGCCTTGACACAGCAAATGGCCTCTTCCTACTCCTAAAGCTCTTGCCCTGTTCTATGTCACCGTATATAACTGGCATATTTATTCTACTTAATGTATACCAGTGCCTCCACCATGCCACTAACTGCCTGTCTCCCAAGAATATAACCTCCATACATAGTGACAATGATCTTTGTCTGTTTTTTTTTTGAGATGGAGTTTTGCTCTTGTCACCCAGGCTGGCGTGCAATGGCGTGATCTCTGCTCACTGCAACCTCTGCCTCCTGGGTTCAAGTGATTCTTCAGCCTCAGCCTCCCAAGTAGCTGGGATTACAGGCGTCTGCCACCATGCCCAGCTAATTTTTGTATTTTTAGTAGAGATGGGGTTTCACCATGTTGGCCAGGCTGGTCTCGAACTACTGACCTCAGGTGATCCGCCCACCTCAGCCTCCCAAAGTGCTGGGGTTACAGGCGTCAGCCACTGAGCATGGCCAGTTTTTTTAGTGATGTTTCATCCAATGTGCAAATTCAATGCCTAGCATATAGTAGGCATTTAGTAAACACTGTCGAATGAACAGTGCCTCCCCTTCTTTTTATGTAAAAAACCCAAAACTCAAGTTAAGTTACATATGCTTGGTTGATGATGATGATGATGTGTGTGTGTGTGTGTGTATGTATGTGTGTGTGTGTTTGTGTGTGTGTCTGTCTGTGTCTGTGTCTGTCTGTGTGCACAGGCCATGAAACTATTTGATGATTAAACAGTTTGGATTGTCTTTTAATTGTATAGTGACATGCCCTTTGAGATGTGGTAAAATGAAGCAATACAGTTGGAAAGAAGGTTTTAGATAACCTGTGTCCATTCCTTTGAAACACTTAAAATGGTGAAGTCTTTTAAAAGGATCACTTTAGCACCCCTGCCCTTTTTTTTGCCTCCTGAATTTAGTTCCAATAACTGCTTTCCAGTTTACATTCTCTTCATAGGACTGGGGTATAAATTCTAGCCTAATTTGTCCATATGATAAAGCCTAATTCTAGCCTAACCTGTCCATATGATAAAGCTTTCTGGAATTGCTTGTTTTATTAGTCTGTCAACGTCTTGTGAAAATCTATAGTAGCAACATACACAGGATCTTAAACATTTATATGACAGTGGAATCATTTTTAGAATAAAAGCTCTGATTGTTTAATTAGAGAAACGGACCCCCCCTTCACTACCATTAGCATAATACCCTGACAGAAGGAAAGACATTTTTGGTGAGACATTTTTATCTCCTAGTTATTCTGACTTTTTTGCTAACCTTACAGAAAAGAGAGTTGACTTCTGTGGGTTTGATCTAAAATGGGATTAGGGAGCCAGCTAGTTGATGGGCTGGGTTTTTAGCATCCAAACTTGCCACATTGTAGTGCACTGTTAATCCATAAATGGCCTCAGCGTTGCGGGAAGCCAGGCTCTCTCTGCTCCAAGGGCAGAAAATCCCCTTAGAAAGCTGCCTTCTGGTGAATGAACAGCCCGTCTGTTCTATTGTTCCACGTTAGCCTGCAACATCTGTGCCACAGGTCAGACTCTCTCCCTTGATTTTTAACTCTGTGCACTAACAGGGAACCCAGATTATATTTTGGCTGTAATCCTGCTCCCAAGCTTGCAGATCGTTTTGCAATTTGTTTTAATTGCAAAACAATTGTCCCGTTGAACCTTGGGCATTATATGTAGTTCAGTATGTGCTAGAGGTTTTAGGTGATGTTTAGAACTATGAAAATGATTTCATGGTGGGGTGAAAGAATTTTATTTCTCACTCCTCTCCCTGGTATTCTAAGGTGCTGATTGGTCTCCAAGTCTGAGTGCAAATTCTGCCTAGATGGAAACCCGCCTCTGAAACAGGACTGCCACTGTCTTTGTCAGTTATCTGATGGTTATCATGATGTCCTTGGGGCTCTGAAGTCCCCAGCATGTCCAGGGGTCTTTTCTCTGAGCACAGGAACCTTGTGCCAGTTTTCCTTTACCCGTGTTTCTTTTATGTCTAGACATTCCCAGACACTTTTTTTCTCTCCTTAACATACCTGTGCTGTAGCAGTGTGGCTGACAGGTCTTGGGAAACCAGTTCTCGAGGGTAGCTGCGTTTACTTGCCTTTGTCTATATGAGCACTGAATTCAGGAGAAGTGTCTTCATATATGCAACCCTCAGTAGCTCTTATATTTTTATATTTTGGGCCGGGTGCGGTGGCTTACGCCTGTAATCCCAGCACCTTGGGAAGCCAAGGTGGTTGGATCATGAAGTCAGGAGGCCAGCCTGGCCAATGTGTTGAAAACCTGTCTCTACTAAAGATACAAAAATTGGCCGAGCGTGGTGGCACGTGACTGTAATCCCAGCTACTCGGGAGGCTGAGGCAGGAGAATCGCTCGAACCCAGGAGGCGGAGGTTGCAGTGAGCTGAGATCGCACCATGCACTCCAGCCTGGGTGACAGGGCGAGACTCCAGATCAAAAAAAAAAAAAAAAAAAAAAAGTAATAATATTTTGACCTTTTTATTGAAGTGAAGCATGCATACAGAAAAGTACACAAATTATAAACTCAGTAAATTTCCAAAAACTGTACATAACTCTTCAATGGACCAGCACCTAGATCAAGAAACAGAACTTTGCCGGTACCCCAGGAGTGCCCTGATATGCCTCTTGCAGTCACTAACTGTTCCATGCAAGGGTGACACTGTCCTGACTTCTCTCACCACATATTACTTTTGCCTGTGTCTGTTCTTGATATAAATGGAACCATACGGTACTCTGTGTCTGGCTTCTTTCAGTTAGCATTATGTTTGTGAGGTCCACCCATATGGCTGCTTATAGGGAGAGCTCATTTATTCTCATTGCTTTTAGTATTCTGTGGTGTCCCACTAACATCCAAGTGAATATATTCCTGCCGTTGATATAATACTGGTTATGTGGCAGGTGCTGAATTGAATTGCTGCAGAGATAGAAGGGAATTTACCTAGTTTAGGAAATTCTGTGATGGATAAGAGATGCTGAGGTGCAGGTTATAGGGAAAATATTCACGTCTGTATTTCTCATAGTTTGGGCATGGTTAAATATCCACTTATTTTCTGACTTAATTGTATTATCTTAACTGCAGGAGTCCTGAGAAAGAGCAGATGACGTTGCTGGCGTGTGATGACTTGGGAACTTTACTCTCTGCTATCTTTGTTGGCTTACACAGCTTTCCCAGCTGCTACAGGTCTTCTGCAAAGAATTTGTGCAGCACTCTTTGGGATTCTTGTTTGGCCTGTGTCTCACTGCCGCTTCCTTCTCACCCTGTTTCCAAGGTTGTCTACTTTCCTACCGACTTTGCTACACTTGCAGCATGTCCTCCCCCTGCTCCCTTAAGATGGTGTAGGTTTGGGGTGGAATAAAGATAGGGAGACACAGCCAAATAAATAAAATTCCAAGCAAGCCTGCGTTCTTGCCCCACCCCACCCACCATACCCTGCTCCTGTCCCTACTTTGTCTCTTACAGATCATGAAGAAAGAAATCTCTTAAGTTCTACTCATTCTTATTTTTAATGAGAAGGATGTTTTAAAAACAAGGTCTTTGATATGACATTTTGTCATACCTAGGAAAGCAACAATAACAGCAGTAACTGCTAGGTTGAGGGAATCTGTAGTTAGGTGGTATTTCCTGGTGATGAGTCATCTTCCCCCCAGGCCCCTTGGGGATCTTTCTTTCGTGAATGAGTGAGGGGGAAGGCATTTATACAAGAAAAGAGTGAATGCCTTCATTTCAGCTGTTTCACTTTTTTTTTTTTTTTTTTTGAGACGGAATCTCGCTCTGTCACCCAGGCTGGAGTGCAGTGGCACGATCACGGCTCACTGCAACCTCCACCTCCCAGGTTCAAGCATTTCTTCTGCCTCAGCCTCCCTAGGAGCTGGGACTACAGGCACGTGCCACCGTGCCCGGCTTATTTTTATATATATTTTTAGTAGAGACAGGGTTTTATCATATTGGCCAGGCTGGTGTCGAACTCCTGACCTCGTGATCCGCCCGCCTTGGCCTCCCAAAGTGCTGGGATTGCAGGCGTGAGCCACTGTGTCCGGCCTCAGCTGTTTCACTTTTAATGTGCCCGGTGAACTCACTTTTGTTCACTCACTGAAGATGCTGGATTTTTCTCCCCCTGAAGCTAGAACTGAAGAAGACTCCCTGGTTATTTTTTCCTCCTTAAGTTGTTTAGAAAGCAGAAGAAAACTGTTGATTTGGAAAGTGACTGTACAGATGTTTTTGTTCAAAAGGGAAAGGAGGAAGAAGGCCATTGAGATAGAAGAGATTAAAATTTGGAACTACGGTTAAAGCAGCACATCTCCCTGGGCCTGGCTGGCCCTGGCGATTCTGTGTGGTTGGGCACGTGTGGAGTAGTGTTGGTTCATAGCTTCTGCAGCCTTTTTCAGTTCTTTCTTTTACCCTTCTTTTTTTTTTTTTTCTTTTTTCTGAGACCAGTGTCTGTCTCACTCTTGTCACCCAGGCTAGAGTGCAGTGGTTTGATAACAGCTCACTGCAGCCTGGAACTCCTGGAATCACAGTTCTCCCACTTCGGCCTCTTGATTAGCTGGGGTTATAGGTGTGTGCCACCACACCTGGCTAATTTTTTATTTTTTAATTTTTTTTAGAGACAGGGTCTCACTATATTGCCCAGGCTAGTCTCAAAACTCCTGGGCTCAAGGGCTCACGCAGTCCTCCTGCCTCGGCCTCCCAGAGTGCTAAGATTATAGGTATGAGCCACTGCTCCTGGACATGTCACCTGTATTTTAGCCCAACATGGCACTCCTGTATGATGATTTGAGGAACTGACTACCTTCACAGAAGGTGCTTTATAATGACATCATAGTTCATAGGGTGGGGTGGGGGATGTTAGGGTAAGTGCCATTTCTGTCTCATTAGTTCCTAGACTGATGGTAACCTACATGACCAAAGATGCTTTTCTGTATTAGTCCTTTCTCACATTGCTATAAAGAAATACCTGAGACTGGGTAATTTATAAAGAGGTTTAATTGACTCATGGTTCTACAGGATGTGCAGGAAACATAGTGGCTTCTGCTTTTGGAGAGGCCTCAGGAAGCTTCCAGTCATGTTGGAGGCAAAGGGGAGCAAGCATCTTACATGGTAGAAGCAGGAGCAAGATAGAGAAAGAAAGAGTGGGGGAGGGGGAGGGAAGGAATGAGGGAACCAGGGAAGGAGCGCTCTGCACACTTCTAAACAACCAGATCTCTTTAAATGACCAGATCTCATGAGAACTTCCTCACTGTCGCAAGGGCGGTATCAAGAGAGGTGGTGCTAAACCATCCGTGAGAAACCCACCTCATGATCTAGTTACCTCCAGGCCCTACCTCCAGCATTGGGGATTACAGTTTGACCTGAGATTTGGGCTGGGAAGCATACCCAAACTGTACCACCAAAGATGCTTCTTCACAGTAAAGCCCAACAACGGAAGTTTTCTTCAGGATAAGCCCATTTTTCATTGCCTTACAAATGACCATCAGTTCTGGTTGTTTCCCTTGTTTTTATTTTATCCATTAGGAGGATGGGGAGAAGAATGCCCATGGCTCCTTACCTTGCTGGCAGAGCAGGGTAACCGAAGATGAGGGCTCTGTGGTGTGGTGCTGCCTGTGTGCAGCTTGTGCCCAGGGCCCTACACAGAGGAATTGCTGGTTTGTGCAAGTGAGGGACCCTGCGTCTTCCTTATAGCTACAGAGCCCATGGCTGTGGGCAGCTCCTGGCTCTTAACACCGAAGAATTCATGGATTCTTGCTGCTTCAAGTGAGGTCGTGCTGGGTGGTGAATGTTTTCTTAACTGTTCTCTTTATGCTAGTTTAAAAGTTCAAGGCTTTTTGGCCCTTTGACTTTACTGGTTACTTCTGCTTATCAGGATGATAAGAAAATTAAAATGTATTCCCCCTGTTACACCACCCTCACCCCCCCCCACCCCGTTTAGTATACCTACGGTGGTGAATTTTATGATTTATAAATTACAGCTCAGTGAAGCTGCTGGAACAAAAAATTTAAGTGACGTTTAAAATTATATTTCTTAATTTTTACTTTCTATGAAATATAATTATTCCAGGGATAAAATATAGAGAAGTAAAAAGATGAAAAAAATTACACTCATAATTCCATCACCTTGGCTTAACTCCTGTTAAAGCATTAATGTATATTTTTTTAGTTTCATTGTGTGTGTGTGTGTGTGTAAAGTTATTTTTTAAATGATGGAAAGGCTTTTTTCTCTAACAGTAAAATAATGTACTCATCTAGAAAACTGGAAAGTGGAAAAATATTTTCTTACAGTCTCACCCCCCCGACGTTCTGGTGTATTTCCAGTCTTTGCGGAGTAAAGCTATTTCTTATGGCTGCCAGTCACTCAAGGAAAGCCCCCAGTCAAATGTGTTTATATGTGTGGCTGCGTTTAGTTTAAAAATGAGTTTGTATTTATTTATTTATTTTAGAAAGATTTCTCCTGAATAATTCAGGTGGTGAATTCCTTAATCTTGTTTAGTCTCAACTACATACTTCATGTAACTTTTTTCTAGTCACCACTTCATGGTACACCTCTACAACTTTGAGCTTGTATATAGCGCGTATATATGTTATTTTCATGTAGTGATTTTTTTTCCTGTCCATACACTTTGGACAATGTGGCTTTTAGATTGTAAATTACTGAAGAACAGGCCACTGTAAATAACTTCATAATATTGTCTGTCTGAACAAGCACTTTTTATTCTTAGTTTTTTTTTTTGTTGTTGTTAGCTTACAAGATCTTGAAAAGTGGATGCTAATCACCACCATACATATGGTGGTTTAATCGATATATTTTCCCTGATAGATGCTTCTTAACTGATAAAGTATTTGTCATTGTCTTTATTATTTTAACTCATCTGAATATAAATAAAACTGAAGTTAGGGAAAGGAAGCAGCATATTACTTAGAAAAGGCCTGATGACTTTAGAAAAGGCCTGATGACTTTTTAAAACTTAAGTACTATTTGAAACCTCTCAATAAACTGCTTGTTTTTGATAACTTGACTCAAATATTCCATCAGTTGCTTAGTTAAAGTGGTTCAGCCCCAGTACTTCTTTATTATATCATCTTCAGCATCTGTTGCTTTGTTTGTTTGGGAGGAAGATGGCTGGCTGCTTAGCCTCTCTCAAAGCTGGACTGTGACATTGTGTCTGTGGTTGATGGACACAGCTGTGCAATTTTTGTGTGTGCTTGGCAGCACCATCTTCAAAAACATCTGGTCTAAAGATGTAGTTCTCTCTCCTGCAACTGTATGTAAATCATTTAGTGCATAATGGGATAATGCCAAATATACTTACTTGACATGAACACATAAGTGATTTAAAAGCCCAACATGATTTTCTATGCTGACCCAGAGTTCAGTGTATTGGAAGATTCATTGTCTAATTGGGTGTGTACTTGTATCACTTAGTCTGGTGCTAGTACATCACATGCCATGGATATGCTAATTTTCTTCATTTTAAGTGAAGGAAATGGCTGGTTTGGTATAATAGGTAGCAAAAACAGGAGGGAACCCTTTGGCTAAACCATTGGGGTGAATTTGGTTTGAATCAAATCTTTCAAAGATTGCTGTGTCTAAGATACATTCCTCAGCATCTCCTGTATATTTTTTAAGGGATGTTTATAGAGAAGATTCCATAGTACCCCTGTGGGTTTTTTTTAAATACAGGTAATCACTGTGCCTGTTTTAATGATAATTTATATGAATTTATGTATTATATTTGCATTATATATTATGAATTTATGTTATAATTAATTTGTACCCATAATTAATATATAAGTAACATCATTAGCCTCTTGCATTGGACTTGGTGAGAGTCTTCCTAGATTGGCTCTTATTTTTATAATATCTGAAAAAATTCACAATACCATTTAAAAGCACAAAGGTCTCCAGGATTTGTTACTTACTGTATCCCTCAGGTTTTATGATTTTCCCCCCCAAGTAATTAGAGATGTCTTCAGTGAAATTTACCACTGAAGGATCTTAGCTCTGAATAGCAAGCCCCAAATTAACCCACTATTTACTCTGGGCTCTCAAGAGGCATATCTTTTTTTCCTTTTAGTTTTGAGGTTTTCTTTTTAAAAGTTCTAAGACTTACAGAACTTTAAGTTTTAAATTCATTATTTTCCCCATTCTGTGTCTATTTTTAGTTAGAAAAACTGATAAACCCAATTAATTCTACAAGCATAGGTTACAGTATTCTTCTGTGCCAGTTTTTTGTCCAAGGCTTACTATTGAGTAGAAACACTAGCTGTTGAATGTGCACAAGTCTATAAGCATCCATGGACAAGACGGTGCCTTATGCACACTGCTGATAGATTCTGATGTGAGGCTGCCAATTTATACTGAGCCTGGCAGGAAACGAGGGCATTTTCTTGATTTCTTTTAACAGACTTATTTTATTTTACTAAGTTTAGTTAGTCTAGGCTCAAGAATGTGAAAGTAGGGTCGGGCGAGGTGGCTCACACCTGTAATCCCAGCACTTTGGGAGGCCGAGGCGGGTGGATCACGAGGTCAAGAGATCGAGGCCATCCTGCCCAACATGGTGAAACCCGGTCTCTACAAAAATACAAAAATTAGCTGGGCTTGGTGGCGGGTGCCTGTAGTCCCAGCTACTCGGGAAGCTGAGGCAGGAGAATCACTTGAGCCCAGGAGGCAGAGGTTGCAGTGAGCCGAGATTTGCGCCACTGCATTCCAGCATGGCGACAGAGTGAGACTGCGTCTCAAAAAAAAAAAAAAAAAAAAAGAATGTGGAAGTAGTTTTGCTGGCCTGTGGCTTCCCTGGCTTCATTCTGTATAGTGTCATTCCTTGTCTGGTTTCTTTTATGCTGGCTCTACGGCTCTACCCAGGTTTGTTGGCTGCTCCTTGACAGCTGCCCAAGCTCACCCTCCCAGGTGTTGACGCCCCTTCTCTCTGCATTTCCTTGTCCCTGTGCTCTGCCTGCCTCTGTATCTGCATTGGTCCATGTGTCTCTTTGACGAGCCATCTCTCTCCCTGTCCTGCCCCTGCTTGCTCTTGCCGGTGCCCCACATGGTGTTTGCTATGAAGTGGGCCCACAGTTCGTGCTTACTGAATGCATTTATACCAATGGATGGGCATGTGGTTGGGGCACTTGTTAAAATCTGCCAAGGAAAGTGGCATGGCAACTTACTGACCTTCATTTTTTTGGGTAACAGCAGATGGTAAATTTGGCAGTTGGTATTGTTGGTTGGAGCTGGATAAGTTGGGCAGGTTCCAACATGGTAATATCCTTTGTGCTTGTGAATTTGGGTTGGTGAATGGCCTTTCAGGGTCTTCACTGGAGACATTTATTTGTGTAATTTTTACTGATTTAAGTTTTTGTCTTTATCTCTGTAAGTCAATACACACTCTTGGAGGAGGAGGTACCTACCACTTGAGAGACTTTGTATGTGTTTTCATGACAACAATACGTTTACTTTTTCTTTTGTGCAGAAATTTAGTTCCCTCATTATATTCAAGATAGGTGTGTGGTAGTTTATGGTCCTCCTTTATTCTGACAACTCCGTTCTTTTTCCTGCCACCCCATGAGAGTTCTAGTTTTAAAACAATTGCTTCAAGTTAGCCAGACTGACTCAGGGGACTCCATGCAGACTTTGCATGTGTTTTGCTTCATAGCCATTCAGAGTACAGGGAGATGATGATCACAAGACAGGGAGGACTGTGTTGTTCTTTAGGGAGTGATGTTGTTTGACTCTTCGCAGACGGAGGACATCAGCAGTGTCTCGAGGCCTTCTTTTCATGTCTTTCGTTCAGCCACTCCTGCAGCCTCCAGTCCACCTCCTCACAGCACGCGTGCGTGTCCCTGGGTACTTGCAGATAGATGGAGTAAAGATTAAGGAACACAATGGCAAGTTAATGAACTGTTTTAAGACCAAAATGACTTACTACAGCTTTATGAAATGTGTAGGTAGTAGACTGCCTTAAAGTTCTATATAAAATGATTAATAGCAAAAAAAAAAATTGCTAATGACTTAGAGTATCTTTCTGGTGATTGTTTTTAAAAATGTGCATCTTTGCTGTAGATAATTGCCATACAGTGTGCTTATGGTGCTGGATGGGGTGGTGGGATGCTAGGGGACGCTACTTAAGTAAAAGAGGTTAAGTGCGAGATAAAATAGCACCAACTTGTCTTCTAAATTTGAGGAAACTGTGTTTGCCTATTTAAATTGGATTACGTTGGCCAGGCGTGGTGGCTCACGCCTGTAATCCCAGCACTTTGGGAGGCCGAGGTGGGCGGATCACGAAGTCAGGAGATCGAGACCATCCTGGCTAACACATGGTGAAACCCCGTCTCTACTAAAAATACAAAAAATTAGCTGGGCACGGTGGCGGGTGCCTGTAGTCCCAGCTACTCGGGAGGCTGAGGCAGGAGAATGGCGTGAACCCAGGAGGCGGAGCTTGCAGTGAGCCAAGATAGTGCCGGCCTGGGTGAAAGAGCAAGATTTCGTCTCAAAATAAATAAATAAATAAATTGGATTACATTAATCCTATATTATTGACTTCCACTATGAAGTTAGAGGTTTATGTAATGGAAACACTTTTTTTCCTGTATATAATAAAATTTGTATTTTCAACAATAATCTTTTAAAATTACATTCAAGAGAAAAATTATTTTCTGATAAAATACAAATAGTACTCAATGTCAGTAGTAATATGTATTGTGTTCAGAGCATGTCTCAGAGCGAAAACACTAAAAAAGGAGCTGTAGCCGGGACCTGCAGCAGTGTGAGTGCCCTTGGTGGTCACTCTCCTCAGTGCTCTGGGACACAGTTGAGCAGTGCCAGTCTTAGCAGCTGTTCGTATTATTTCCAATTTAATCACATATTGAAGATCATTGGTTGTCTTCTCCCTCAGTCTTTTTGGTATCTGTGAATTTTTGGCATCTTTTCACATTTTTCCAAGAGAGGCACTTGCAGTTTATCATTATCTTGTATGAACACAGGTAATGACGTACATAGTTAGGACATACATTGCTGATTGTTGTTTGGAAGAGAGGATATGGGACACATTTTTATGAGTTTCTGTGGTGGTGGAGTATAAAGCATCCAACAAGATTTTCCCCATAAGGACCACTTACATCGTGGGCTAGAAATGAATATACTGGTTTGGTTCAGAGCAGAACTTCTCCTTGGGTTTAGTTAAGGTCGGTTTGAGTAACTAGTATAATGCAGATGGTAGCCCTGTAGAGTCAGATTTCCTCAGATCTTGGTCAAGTGTAGTAGTTTTTCCATTGGGACTTTGAAGCTTTTGATTTTGTGTTTCTCTCACTGGCTCCCATTAGATGGTTTGATATCTTTCTAAGAAGTAGAGAAAATTGAGAGGGAGAGACATCAAATTATTTTCCTAGTTAGGATTGAAAAGTAGGGAGGTGATATTTAATTATTGAAGGCATGATGACTGGTGCCATCCTATAGTTTTCTTCCACACCCCAGTATTAGGAAATGATTCACTTAGGTGAGAAGCTGTGAGAAGTGTTGAGTGACCTCCAGATACATGCTATCACATTTTCTGCAGAGAATGTGAGTAGATGCAGTACGACATAGCCAAATGTATGCTTATCCCTGAATTTTGTCACCTAAATTTTTTTAAATGAAAGGTGTCTGTTAGGAATTAAAATACCTTGATTCTATTTTCTATTTTACCCAAGTCTGTGACACTTATTCATGGTCTTTTTGAGTAACTTCTGTGGAAAGCATCTTTGAATTCTTAGAGCTAAGGGAATGATTCTTCATATGTGGTTCCCATGAGGCTCTTCCAGAGACTTCTCCAGGCATGTGAGCTGTGATACAGAGGTCACTTAGTTGTATTTGAAGTGGAAAATGCCATTTCATAATAAAGACAGGATCCCTTTCCAGATTTGCAAATGATCCACAATGAAGAGAATTATTTGAAAGTAACAAAATGGTAGTGTACACACATGGAAACTAAGGCTTTTTTCCTTGTTACCATATTGGCAGACTATAGCAAATTTCCATTTTCCAGGGAGCATCAAGAGCCAAGGTGATTTTGGTTTAATATCATGACATTTGAAAGATAGCTTTCCAAGGAAAGAGTTCACTGCTTTTCTCCAGGTGATCATTGTTTTTATTTTATCTTCCTTTTTTCTACTCGTGTACTGTGGTGATTCATGAAACATATGAAAATAATACATAAGCAGGAGTTGGGGTAGCTTAAGAAGCGAAAGTGGAGGAGACAGGAAGAATGAGGGAAAAGGTAAGGTAAACCATGAAACATATCAGAAATTGGGGCTTTGCTTCTAATGTCCTCAAGGTCAAAGTTAGAAAGTCACTGAGCTGTGTAAATACTAGCCATTGGCCTTGCCCTCTGAAGTCAGTGCTTCTCCAAGTAGGGTCTGTGGAATAGTTACTAGCCTCATTTTGACAGCCAATACTTTGATTAACACATAAACCAATAAGTTGTTTATAGCAATTGAGATCAAACAAAAATTACTTAAATGATTGGATCAAAAGTAAGTTGATTTCAAACATCATTTTTGTAGACAGTTTTTCGTATGCGTGACTTAATTTTTTTTTTAAATTATGATTATATTCTTCTATTGGTGGGAAAGTAGGAACAGATGACCTGTATGATAATGTGGGTCTTTTACTCTGCCACTCTGGTTGAAGGATGGAAACATCTGTAATTCCAAGTTGTTGCTTTTTAAATGCACTGGGTTCTAATTTAATGGACCATAAAAAGCAAATTGGGTGTCAGGTTCCTTCATGGGTAGATGCCCAACAGACGTAATAGTTTATACCAATAGAGGTGTAGGTTGTAGCTTTTGTTAAGTTTTTTTTAAATCTGTGAATTCTGTGATCAGTGTTATTCCTGGGTTAGTTTCAGATAATTTTCTTTCCCCCCCTCTCTCATATGTGTATGGTCCAGCTTCTTTGCATGCCTGGTAATTTTTAGTTAGATTCCACACATTGTTAATTTTACCTTATTGGGTACTGGATATTTTATATTTTTTATAACATACTTGACCTTTGTTCTGGGATGAAGGTAGTTCTTGGGAACAATTAGATCCTTCGAAGATTTGATTTTGGGATTGTCACATCATGTAGTCTAGGCTTATTTGGCCCCACTATCGAGGCCAGAGTCTTCTGAGTCCTGTGAATGACGAGTTTTTCCAATCTAGCCAACGGCAGGAGGCACTGCTTCCCAACCCTTTGAGCACTGGGTAGTATTCCGAGGAATCCTTTGGGATCAGGCTCTTTCCCTTACCTCAGGTGGTTTCCGCACGGGGACGTGTTGATAGTGTGCTACTGAGTCTTCTAGGGGGAATTGCTTGCTCTCTGTGCAGCTGTCTCCTTTCTGGTATTCTGTCCTGCGACTGCAGCTGCAGCGGCTGTGGCCTCCCCAGACTCAGTTCTGTCTCCTCAACTCAGAGACTCCTCTGGGCGCCGTTTGGGTTTCCTTTCCCTTTGCTGCAGCTTGGAGTCTTTCTCAGGGCAGTAAGCTGGAGTCTGCATGTGTTTCCCAACTCTCAGGGTCACTGCCCTTATGGCCTGAAGTCTCTTCTAAGCGCTTTCGTATATTTTGGCTAATTTTAGTTGTTCAGGTGGGAGGATAAATCATCTGTCCTTGATACTTTATTTTGGCCAGGAGCCAAAGTTCCCTTCATTCTTTTTTATTGAAGACACATTTTGTCAAATATGTAAGCACGAGCTCTGGTGCCTGTGAGTGCATGGATGAATCCAGCATGAAGTACAGAAACACTGTTGCTTATCACACCCTCCTTTAGAGCTGTACTCCTTGTTGCCATTCCTTTCTTGGACCTGTTTTTAAGGTTTTAGACAACACTCTATTCAATGTGTATTGTATTCTTTCTCCCCTTGTGTTATGGGAAGCTTCATGGAGTTTGCCACTGGGTTAGGGAGAGGTATGAATAGACTGAGGCAAGATTCTCCTCAAGGGACCTTTGGCAGGTCAGGAAAGTGAAGACAGTGGATGATGAGTGCTCCACCTACCTTCTCCTTTTGCTCCGGGAATGACTTAAGTCTGGAAAGAGCCGATACTAAGAAGTTGAGGGTCTGGATTGGTACATCATAGTAAACAGGAAGAAATGACCATGAGGCTAAGGTCAGAGTGGTGCCACTGACCCAGTTGAAGGCAGTTTAAACAGCCAGCCTCTAGTTCTTCAGGCTCTCCTAGGCCTCCCTGCACAACTGACCATTGGTTTCAGTGGCCCAAGCAGGGAAACTGGCAGTGACCCTCGAGCAGCAAGGAGGGGAGAGGACCCTCAGTCCAAGGACAGAGGAGATGGACTGTGTGAGTTGCCGGAAAGCTCATTTTGAATTCTTTGGGGGCCAAACTTTTCTATCCTAAACTCTTATTTTTTTTTTTTTCCAAATTAGGAAAATAGTATATGACAATTGTAGAAAATTGGGCTATAATCTAGAGGTAATATTTGGTAGCATTTCTCCCCTCCTCCTCAATGCATTCATTTAAACTAAGTACTAATATGAACTATTTCAAGTATATTATTGAAGACACTTGTACCCATGGTATTTTGTCTATAGATTGGGGCTCGACGAGGTCAACTGTCAGGATTCCTGGGTGTTGATGACATGAAGCTTTGGAAAGATCTAATAGTTTCTTTTAGATCCTGGAGGAAATAGTGATCTTATTTGCATTTATTGTTTGAGTAAGATCACCATGTTCGTTATTTGTCATGTGGTGCTTTTTGGTGGGGGTTTGTCAGACATGTATTTTGTCCTCCTTGTGGGTCATTCAGGCAAGCATCAGTCTCCCAAAGTTGTTGATGGGCAACTGATGTAGAAGAAAATAGAATGAACTATATTCACCATCTGAAGTCCTCCCCACCCCCATCCATCCAGGTGAATGGTGTCATTGTGTAGTTGTCTTCTATATCACATTATTTTTAGATACCAGCTGAGTAGTGCAGTCTCATTGAAAGATTCAGCAGGTGGCACTTTGTAGAAGATGGAGGGGATCCAGAGGGCGCGCTGGGGGCTTTGCTGTGTGTAGTAAAAGTTCTATGTTGTGCTTTCCATGGAGAAGAGGGCGGGTCCAGGGCTTCAGGCCATTGCATGCTGGGTTTGGAATCCCAGAACTAGCTCATTGGTTCAGTAGCAGAACTAGAAAGAGGATGCGTTGCGTTTTTGTTTGAAATGTGCTGAAGACAGTGTTTTTTTATTGAGCAGGCTGTTGTTAAATTTGTAATTTTTCCGTCAGTTTTTATTGAGACTGATTGATCTTGGGGGGTGCGGATTAATTTTAAGGAACATGTAATTTCTTCCTTTTGATCAGATCCTATAGCCTTAATTTTGTTCTGGAATCTTTCCTGTGTAGTTATATTCATCTGTGTTTAGTTGACTAGTTAGTGAATTTAAGTTGTAATGTGATGTGCCTATTTGAGGCCAAAAAATAAAAAATAAATTTGATTAATTCTGTGCTGGTTTCATTGGTGTGGTACTGAATGATACTCTTAGATGTAGTGGGATTTACCAGGTAAAAAGTAGTCAGTTCTCATTTTTCTACCCGTTCACAGTCACATAAAGAAAAGGTTCAGTAGTAGTTGACAAAAACTTGTAAACTGTTTTTTAAAAACAGATATTTTCATTCTAAATGTATATTCATTTGTACATTTTGGTGCCGAAGTCTTCCAGAGATATTTGTATATCTCATTTTATCCGTCCTCTCTCCAACTAACAAAGATAGAGTTAACAGTCAGTCGCCTTTTTCTTTTATCCAGCTGTCGCCGAGTCTCCATTTAATTCTGTAAAGAGGGTATGCCAGGTGAAAGGCTTCATTTCACCTGGCAAATGCTCAGAACATTTTCCAGTCCTCTTGGATTCCAGTTAGCTTATCTGAAGTCTGCCCATCTCTCCTCACCACATAGTTACTACCATTGATGGAATGGGAAAAAATTTAGGTAACAAGTTTGAACAGCATTTTAAGGGGTCATTAAAAAACAAACAACAAAACACTCATACCATGCACTCCTGTGTGCTCAGATGGTGGAGTGGGCAGGGCTTGTCATATGACAAACCCATCGCTACCTGTGAAAATTACTACTATGCAGATGTTCTCCACCCCCACCCTCTGACAGCCTGCAAGGCAACTAAAAACTCATCTCCTAGTCAGGTCCTGGCCTGAGACAAAGGCCTTTTCTGTGAGGATTTGCTTCCACTGGTTAAAGTCCAAAATGCTAATTGGCATCAGCTGCATTAAATCACTAAGTGGGGGCTAGCAGCTGCCACACCATTTGAGTAACCAGGAGGGGGACCTTTTTTTCCTTACTAAAAAGGCCTCTCTCTCCTCTTCAAGTTACTCTTGATTTTGTTTTTCATTTGTTTATACTTGTGACCTGCTAAAGAAGGGCATGGAGGACACAGTAGTTTGGACTCTGCCTGGACACATGGAATATATAAACTTCCTCTATGTAGTTTTGCCAACTCAACTTTCTTTTTGTATATGGGATTTGTTGTTGTTACTAAACTTCAGTTTTAGCTGGCCCCTAGTCTGTTTTCTGCTGTATCTTCCCAGGCCACATGAAGTGTTTGTTTTTGGTGGTGCTAGTGGTGGTGGTGGTATGTGTGTATGTACTTAAGTGCTGGGATGCAACCACCAAACATATGTTTAATAACCAAAGGGAGACTGAAACTCAGAAGTTGATTCATTATTACCCTACTCTAAAGACAACATAAAATACTGTATAATAAGCATTAGTCATAATTAGATTTCCAGTTGTAGCTGGCTCAAAGCCATGGCAGATTCTGTATTTCTAGTGTTTTTTCCTTCAAGTGGGCACTCATAATTGGACAGTAAATGACAATTAGTGGTGCTAACTGCCTTTTTATTTTATAAGATGTGTAATAGTCGTCTATTTTAAAATCATAAAATCAAGAGAGGAAATGTTCAAAGTATATATAAACTTTATCCTAAAACAGTAATTTGAGGGGAGAATATAATTTCCTTGCAATATATTTTGTAGTTATTTTTGTATGCTTCCAGGATTTGACTATTTCAGACCTGGGAAATATTCTGGCAGGTGACATTGATGTGATCACTGTATTTCTGGATGATATTTCGGTGTTTCCGTCATATTAGAAAAGCTATTGCCAGACTTGATTATATTTTAGTTGTTCTTCTAAATCATTGATTCTGAGATGCAACTCAGTTTTGAAGATGTTAAGAGTGTGTACTTTATGGTCGACAGTGCTTCATGGTTTCATGACATAAAATAGTGTTGGGCTCCATTCAGGGGCACTTCAGATTCAGTGAAATACATGGTGCCATGGTGATCTGCCAACAGTATTTACCAATGTGCCAATTCGGGAGTTTTCACACCGGTGGACAATATGGAATTTAAGAGTATAAGAACTAAAATGTGTGCTTGATTTTTAACTCAGTGAACTGTGAAAATATCGAGTGCTCTTGACTCTTTCTTGTACAGTGGTGAACAGGTTAGATCCTAGAAGACATTGGTTTGTGTCACTAAAAGAAAAAAATATAAATGGAACCTAGTCGAATTATTTTATAATTCTTAATTATTGCTCAGGAAGCCTTTCATGGGAGAATCATAGGTAGCATTTCTTTCTTTCAAGAAGTGAAAGCTACTGGCAGAGTGTGATAGGGAACAATGACCCTGGAAATAGTTTAGCCACTGCAGGGAGTGGAGGTAGGCAAAGGTAAGGGTGGGATTGATGAAACAAGTCTGGACAGTCCAGTAAAGTTCACTAGTGTATGAAGTTCTTACTACAGGAACAAAATTAAAATAAATATTTTGATTTTCCCCTATTCATTGTTGTTTTGTTTTTGTGTAGTTTTTATACCCCAAATCCTTACAGATTTACTGACTTTTGGATAAAAGGAGAAAAACCATTAGTTCACTTTCTGGTCACCCAGCTGCAGTTCAGTATAAGGAAAGTGGGATGTTTGGCTTTTTAGAGCACATGTTTAATTAACCATGGACCTTATTTTGGGAGTGACACCACATGCCTTTTCAATGGGGCCTGTTTATGGCCACTACCGTGTGCTAAGTCTTTTCAGGAGCCTGCCTGTCTTGACAAGCCTCACTAGGGCTGTCCCAGGCCACTCACTGCTTGGTCAGGAGGCCTCTCAGAAACCCTCAGATACCACTGGGAGTGAGTTGTGGTGAGTCAGGAGGGAGCAGGCTCGATGTGCCCCATGACAGCAAGCCCTGGTCGCTACTGCTCGTTACACTGTGCATGTTGATGTGTGTGTGCAGAGAGCACAAGATAAAACTTTTGAGGCATTAGGTTTCCTACTTTTATTTGGGGGCATGCTTCCTCATGTTTTATGTAGTAAAAATTGTTACCCTTTTCTGTTTTAGAATAAAGTTCCTTTGAAGCAAGGTCTCAAATAGAAGTGTTTTGTTTTACTGGCTAGTCTAAACACTGGTTTTGTTTAGAATTAAGATGGTTATCTAGTATTGAGTACCTAATTTTTCATTGCTGCTTTCAACATGGCCACATTTAAATCTCAGATAGAAATTATACCTATTTGGTAGGACTTTCCTATATGCAGGGTTTGAATGAGAATTATTGTATCAACTGTATTGGGTCATGTGACTGTTGCCGTATTTGTAGTCATCTGTCAAAGTCACATGACAAGTGTTCTTGTAGAATATATAGTTGTGCATCACTTAACCATGAGGATACGTTCTCAGAAATGCATCATTCATTAGGCAGTTTTGCTGTTGTCCATCATCAGAGTGTGTTTATGTAAACCTAGATGGTACACATGGGCTATCTGGTATGGCCTAGTGCTCCTAGGCTGCAGACATGTACAATATGCTACTGTACTGAATAGTGTAGGCAATTGTAAAATAATAGCAAGTAGTTGTGTATCTAAACATAGAAAAGAGATTGTCAAAATATGTTATAAAAGATAAAAAGTGGTATTTCCGCATAGAGCTCTGACCATTAATGGAGCTTACAGGGCTGGAGGTTGCTCTGGGTGAATCAGTGAGTGAGTGGTGAGTGAATGTGAAGGCCTAGGACATTACTGTACACTTCTGTATTCTGTACTGACATTACTGGTATACTTCATAAACATGGTACACTTAGGATACACTAAATTTGTAAAAAATATGCTTTCTTCAATAATTAACTAGGTTACTGTAACTCTTACTTTATAAAACTTTTAGGTTCTTTTGTAATAACAGCTTAAAAAACTGCATAGCTGTACTAAAATATTTTCTTTTTAAATATCTTTGTAAGCTTTTTTCTTTTTTAACTTTTTAAACATTTTGGTAAAAAACGAAGACAGAAACACACACGTTATCTTAGGCCTACACATGGTCAGGCTCATCAGTATCCCTGTCTTCCACTTCCACATCTTGTCCCAGTAGAAGGTCTTCAAGGGCAGTCATGCACAGAGCTGTCATCTCCTATAATAACAATGCCTTCTTAGGGATACCTCTTGAAGGATCTGCCTGAGGCTATTGTAAGTTGACTTTTTTTTGTTTAAATAAATAGGAGTACACTTTAATAAACAATAAAAGTATTGTAAACAAACCACTAACATAGTCATTTATTATTATGTACTATACATAACTATATGTGCAATAATTTTATACAGCTGGCTGTGCGGCAGGTTAGTTTACAGTAGCCTTAACCACAAACAATGTCACTAGGTGATGGGAATTTTTCAGCTTCATTTATAATTTTATGGGTTCACTGTTGTATTTGCAGTCCTTTGTTGACTAAAACGTTATGTAGTGCATGACTGTAGTATAATACTCCAATGTTTATATTTCGGAACCAAGCTGTAAAGCCGCCATCTTGAGAATTACTATTCTAAGATGACTACATGTCTTGTTATACATTTGTTTTCTAAAGCAGTAATGTATAACTGAAGTTCGTATTTTAAAAATTATTTTTCCCATCTGATCTTATCATTTATATCTAATTAATGATGTTGCAGCTTTTATTTTAAAGTATAATATTTGCAAATCAAACTTCCTTTAGGCTTGTAAGGCCTTAAGAGTGGTTCTAGAGGTGCTAGACTGAAGCAGTAAGTAGGTTTCTTCCAAGTTGTGTGTGTGAGTATGTGCGTACACACACGTCTAGGCTACTCAGAGCCCCTACTCTTCCCTGGATAGAGAAGGACATCAGTTGTGAGTGGAATGATTGTGTCAGTGTAGAAAAGTAAGGACATTTTAGGGGACTAGTCATCTTTTCCTTTTGAAAATGTATGCAGTATAGGGGATTCTAGAGATCTGGTCATCAGATTTCTCTTGATCTTACACTGTGCTTTTCTGATCAAGGATGATTTTCCCTTTCCTGCACAGTTTCTCTTCTTTCTCACTTTAACTCTGCTTTCCCCTCATTCTGTACTAACTACAAATCTTCCTTAACCTGACTCTTTGCAGGTAGTATGTCATGTATATATAACAAGGAACAGAATGCCTACCTGGCTGGTGTGCACAGCGTCTTCTCCAGGTTTATATGAGAGAGAGAGGTGGAGATAACAGACTTCTCAGACTTTGTCATTCACAAGGGCAACTTATTTTTATTTTCCAGACTTGTGTCACTATCTGTTTCCTTCATTCCCCACCCTGATCTTCTCACACAAACTCTGGGTTTCTTCCTCTGCTCATCTTATTTCAATAAACCAAGATGCTAGGAGAGGAGCCAAGTCTGAAACCACATTCTCAGTGATGTTTTGTTACTGGGGCCCACTGGACGTAGCTGAACCTCTTTTCGGGTTAGTGGATTCTCGCTGAGCACACCGTCACAGACTACACCTCCAGCCTGCGTTCATGTATTCAGTACTTTGCCTTGGCTTCACTAGAGGGTGCTGTCGTGCAGGGTTGTTAGAGGTAAACGTTTTCTGGACTTAAATGGACCAGATGATCTGTATTTGCAAAGGAAACAGATTTTCCAAGTGATAAGTTCAAATAGTATCAGTCATTTTCCTTTTGTGGTCCCATTTTTACAGCTGAACAAACCGAGGCTCAGAGAAGTGGAGTGCATTGCCCGAGGTCACAGTTAGTGGGAGAGCTGGCCGGGCAGTCCCCTCGCACTATCCCTGCGGCTCTCCGTGTCTGCCTTTACCTCCTATGCATCACGTCCTATAATCACACTTCAAAGGATGAGTCCTCTAAGGTTCCTGTTCTTGGCACAAGGATAAAGTGAATGTATATGTGCCTCTGCTCCTGGAGGATGGAGAACTTGTGTTCCTTTCATTATTGTATGTAGTGTGGGGGAAGTAAAGTCATTCACATCGTTCAGTAGCCACACATTTTATTTTTATTTTTTCATAAGGATGAAGAGGAAGAAATCAAACTGGAGATAAATATGCTAAAGAAATACTCTCATCACAGAAACATTGCAACATATTATGGTGCTTTCATCAAAAAGAGCCCTCCAGGACATGATGACCAACTCTGGGTAGGTGGATGTTTCCTGAGCATTTGTGGGCATTCCATTTGCTTGAATTGTAAGGGCATGGCGGGGGTGGGGGCGGGGGAAAGAGGGGGGGAAGAAAAACAATAAAGAGGGGCAGTAAGTAGCTGGCAGGTTCTAAAGGCTTCCTTGGCTTGTATCTGTGGGTTGACTATATGCTGGTTGTTTATTTTGATGTCGATTTCACATTGCGTGGAAAAAAGTTAACTTTGTGTTTCGGGAATAAAATGGCAGCATCTAGAAGGAATGTAACCAAATAGCAAGGAAATTAGGAGCTTGAAAGCAATACAATAAAAACTTTATTTATGGGAACAAAATTAATTTGAAAGCTCAGTAAATTGAGCTTACCACTTGGAAATGAGAGACAGATCTCAAGAAACAAACTTCTGTCAGTAGCTTATTAATAATATTAATGATAATAGTTAAAACAAATTCCAGGGAAATTTCTGGAATTGACACATTCAACCTTACCTCTTTTTGAACACATTTATATTCAAGATAATGACTTGGAGATACCATCAGATCTGTGGCTATCACATTATTTAAACTTATAAAGCAGGAAGATAGGTTAATACTTTTTGTATCAGTATTTTTAAAAGGCTATTACAGAAAACATTTGCAAAATTAAGTAGAAGGCAAAAAATTTACTGTTACTATTGCCCAAGTCAGATCATAGTTAAAATTTTAGAATAGTTCAATTCAGTTTATTTTCTGGGTACTTTAAACATACCATTGTGATCATATTGTTCAAACTTTTAGATACTGTAAATATTGCATTAAAAATTGTATAACTGCTTAAAAATACCATTTTTTATTCACATTAGACCCAGTTAATATAAAATATAATAGTTTGAGGATCATAATGTGAAAAGTAGAATGTTTTTGAGGTAAAATGAAAAAGAATGTTAGGGAATATTTGAGTCAGATATTTGATAATTGGGTAGTGATGAAGAGCAAAGTGGTCCTCCTGTGCCCATGTGCTTCTGAGAGAGAATGAGCACTTCAGAATTGCTGCACTTGGGTGTGCCGTAGAATACCAGACACTGTCAGTCTTCTGGACCAAATATATGGAGCGAATACACTGGACTATGAAATGAGCTTTCAGTTATTTAGGTGCCTCCAAATTATTATGAATTATTGAGGAGCATCACGTTTCTAGGTCTTTAGAAAAGAGAGGGCATGGCGGTTAAACTGGTTTTCCCAATTTCTCCAAGATATGTTGCTCACCTTGTGTCTTGTCTGCCCTATAGCTTGTTATGGAGTTCTGTGGGGCTGGGTCCATTACAGACCTTGTGAAGAACACCAAAGGGAACACACTCAAAGAAGACTGGATCGCTTACATCTCCAGAGAAATCCTGAGGGTAAGGAAAGTGGGTGGCTACAGTGCTCCAACTCATGATCCTGTGCTTCCGTTTTCATTTTCCCAGCCCCAAGTACTTCTTTGCATTACTTATATCTATATAGATTATTCTCTTTGACAGCCAAGGGTTCTGTATATCTAGCTAGCTTTGATAATTTTAAGCTACATCATGATTTGACTCTGGCAAGTATGTAAAGAAGGTAGACTTAAATAAAAAAAGCATTTCTGAATTTACTTTCCATGGCATCATGACATACCTATTGGCAGCTTTCCTTTGAGTTAAAAGGAAATCAGAGTGGAAGGGAAGAGAAATAATCTCCAACTATTGTTTTTAAAGGAATTCTGTGTTTAAGCTTATAAATCAATACTAATGGTGCTGAATGCTGGTTTTCAAAATCACCTTGAAGTCTTTGGCATTAGCTACTAGAGTCTGTTACAATATTTATGAAGAAAAGTTCGAATGTTTAATATTATTTACAGCCATTTGAAAAGCTGGCTAATGATCTTAGAGTAAGTTTCTGAACTGCTATTTTAGCAGCTTTTAAATGGTTCTTTTGAGTAGTAAAGCCATATTGACAGCACAGGCAGAGGGTTTCTAGGATTTCGTATTTGAGCAGTGCATGTAGGATATTACCAGTGAGTCTCTTCATTTGGCTATCACAGTTTTTCTCTCTACTTCATCCCTGAATTACACACAGACATTACTTGGTTGCATTTCATTTACCTACCACATTTAAAAAAAAAGATTATGAAGTTAAATTGAAGCCCAATTCTTAGGCTTCCCCCACTAATAAAAAAACTTAAAGTAACTAATAAGTTATTTTAATTTTTTTAATAAGTAAAGTTATCCCACTTTTTATATTTAAGATTCATAGAGGATTGCAGGTTTAAAAACTGCCATCTAGACTTCCTAGAGAAATGTTTAATTTTTTTTTATTTAGATATTTATGTAGTCTTTGAAAATAGGCAATTCCCCTAAGAAGACTAGTTGTGAAGGGTGGGGTAGGGTGACAGGAGAACCATCTTTTTATAAACACTTGCAAATGTCATTAAAATGTCAGGATCTTTTATGACTATTATAGAAAGCAGAGCCTAAATGTGGGAAACTAAGCTTCCTGCCCTATACTACTGTAAAGGAAGTCAGGTACTGGGCCAGATGCATTTATTCTATTAATAACTAAAACTGTTTAGCATGGTAGGCAGGATAGAACATTGGTTGAGTGGTTGGAGACTAGCATAAGTCAGACCTGGGTTTGAGTCCTACCTCTGCTGCTTACCTATATAGCACACCCTATGTTATTCAACTTTCAGGACTTACTTTCTCCTCATCTATACATACCAACCCTTTGAAATTACTTTTGTTAGGAGAATTCAATGAGTTAGTGTATATTAATCATCTAATGTAACGTGGATACATAGCTACCTATCAGTAAATATGAATTGTTGTCATTGTTCTTTGTTTTAAACACCCACTCCCTGGCCATACACATCCCCACCCACGCACCCACACCCCTACTTTGCTTGTATGTAATTCCAGTATGTGATATCTCAAGCAGAGAACTAGCTTTTAGCATAATGTCCTAGGCATCAAATGTATTTCAGCCTTCAAAGACATCAAAGACAACTTACATGTGTTTCTATACCCAGGCAAGCATTGTTTACCTATCATATGTAATATGTACCTTTAGCCATTTTACCATCAGTAATCTCCAGTAACATTTAAAAGAAGCCCAAGTTGTTTGACGTCTCTAAGCCAACTTGAGTGTGGTACGTGAATGAACATCTTTTTGAGACGTAGCAAATCTTTTTCACCTCACTGGGCATCTGAAACACAAGCTTCCTTTGCCTACATGTCATCTAGAATGGGAGTTTTTCCTTGTGACAAAAGTTTAAATTAACTAAAAACAAGCAAATGCCTCAGGGAGAGTTCCTGTGTCATGCAGTAAGTAGTGTGTGTTCATTATAGGGGTTACTAAGAGTCGGCTTTGGTAAAGAGAAAGCAGCATGATAAACTGGAGGTAAGGTCTCATGAGAAAGGAATGCAGCCACCCCCAGACAGATAAGCTGTGTTCTCAAAGACAGTTGGGGTTAAACAATTTCTGTGGTGGCAAAACCTTTCCTCATTTCTCACTAGATGTTGGATTTAGACATCTTGATCATTATGATCAGACCCTTCGAATGGGGAGGGTCCTGAGCAGGTAGGCCTCAGCCAATAGAGAAGTGCTTTTTGGAGCCTGCACACTGTTACCCTGTGGACCACAAGGCTTAGCAGCAGGCCAGCGTGTTCTTTTCAGCCCACTTCCATGTTCACATTCCACATGGCAGTATCTTCATATTGAACATGGGAACTGAGAGCTTTCTATAACCAATACTGTATGACAACCTTTGCCTGCTCTTTTATTCTGTGACCATGCATGATACAGAGTTAAGGGAAAAATGTTTCCTAGTTCAGAAACACTGATGCATTTGCTCGAGGATAGGTCCTTCACTGAGTATTTGGACTTGGCATCTCTGCTAAGGAAGGATAATTGTGGCCTAATTTCTGGTGTGGGATTAGCTGAACACACATACACTCCCAGGTACTTCATGGAAGAAAAATGTACTTATTTTTCAGAATAATCATATAACATTGTTTCAGAGCTGCTAGACACACCTTAATTCCCTGTAGAAGCAGTGATCCTGTAGCAGTATAGACAGGAAAACAGGCATTGTTCCATACATTTACTGCTAGTAATGAACAAGAGTGCATGCAAGCCACATTTGTTGGACAAGATGTGGGTGCTTATGTTTGTTGTTAAGATAGTCCTGTAAAAGTTTAAGAAGAGGTTGTGCAAGTTAGAGAGCAAAAATGAACTGAAATAATAGAAATAGGAATTACGAAGAATTGGGAAGTTAGCTTTTGTGTCTCTCCTTTCGCTGTTTGAAGTTATACCAAGCTGAGAGGAGGTGCTTTGTTCCTAACTATAGCAATAAGGTACCATATATTTTTAGTGCTTTTTTCTCTAGTCAGTGCTTTGCGGTATAATACCGCACATCCTGTGTTGTGAAAAATAAACAGAGCTGTCGAATAAGCTCTGCTCTGTTTCATAGACAGACCAGTAAATGAATGTTTTGAAACCCCCTATGTTAGAAAAATTAGTATTCTAGAGGAGCTGTTGTATTTAATTCATATCTTACAAAGTAATGATAACAATAAAACCCCATGAAAAAAGAATAAACAGGAAAAATCAAATAACCCTTACTTATAATCTGCCCTTTTGGATTGAGACATTTTAGAGTAAATAGGTTGCTTGTATCTTAAGGAGGCGAGCTGTATATTTGGCTTCTCTAGCTAAGGACAGAATAAGTAAATGAGTTGTGAGAATGATGCATTGCTGTCTCTTGGACCATATTTGGAGGCAACATGTGTTTTTGTTCTTCCACCACCTCTCGTAAGAGACAAGCTTTTGGGCCTCATTCCAGATACAAGGTCATCAAAAAGTGTTATATGCCCAGTAGGTTTGTTTCCTTGGGAAAGAAAGATACTTTATTTGAACACAAGGCTCTTTTGACAGCACAATCGTTTTATGCTTGGGATGGAGGTGGGATTGATCAGCACTTAGCAGTTTGTCACTGTGCAGTGGGAAGGCTAGCCAGTGTTAAAGAGCCAGATTTCAAAGCCCTCTCTTGCCCTTTGCTTTTCCCCTGAGATGTGTCTAGTTCAAATATGCCCACGGGGTCACCCTCTAGACATTTAGCGTGGGAAAGGAACCACCCTGTACACAAATAGCACAAATTATAGCACAGAAACTGCAGATGGTAATCTGCAGTGTATCTTAAAGGCACAGCTAGAAGTGATCACGTTGCTCACACGGGGAACCTAACCCACTGGGAATGTGGAGGGTGGGGAGGACTTCTTTCTGTGTGTGTGGTAGTATTGGTGCTGTCTTCCTGGGAATGCACTAAGACGAAGTTAATGTTCATGAGCTCACAAACACCTTTGGTCCACATGTGCACTTTCTTATAAAAGGTGTGTTCCTGGCTGTTTACTTATAGTCACAGAAAACTAAAATTCAGGTCTGTCTTTCCTATTCAGGGACTGGCACATCTTCACATTCATCATGTGATTCACCGGGATATCAAGGGCCAGAATGTGTTGCTGACTGAGAATGCAGAGGTGAAACTTGGTATGTAATGGATGTGCGGCGTGATCTCATAATTGCACCTGGCACAAGCCAGCTGCACTCCCAGTTCTGCTTCCATCTAGCTAAAAGTTCAGTCTTACCCATGTTTTCTATTTCTGTTCTTCTTAAGAATGTGGGAACTGAGCATATTACTTAGCTTGGCTCCAGCCTCCCCACTTCCATGTTTGTGCCCCCCTGCCCCCTGGTTCTCTATACAGCAGCCAGACTGATCTTCAAATCAGACCATGCCACTTTCCTGCTTAAAGAACCTTAATGGCTTCCTATTTTACTTTGGATAAAACCTACATTTCTCACCCTTGCCCATAAAAAGCCATGTAGGATCTGACCCGTGCTACTTTTCCCTCCTCATTTTATGTCCCTCTTTACTTCTCTCTTCATCAGTCACTGTCTTTTTTTTCTTTTCTTAAACTTTTTGGGTCTTGCCTTTGGGCCTTTGCATGACTATTTCCCATTGGGAACACTTGACTTCAGTTTTGAAGTCACAGTTTTTTTTCTCATGTTACGGGCCTTTTCCAACCTCTAATCTGTCTTGGGCCTTGCTGCTTGTTTCTTTCATAGTATTGTTCACAATGTATAGTTATGTGATTGTTTTTTACTTCTGTTACTGTCTCCTTTGCCAGAATGTAAATTCTGGGAATGCAGCAAATAGTGTATTACCCAGCATCTAGCATTGTGACTTCATTGTAGTAGGTGCTTGATAAATTTCTGCGTGGTTAGATAATTACAGCCCATGGTGTTTTCCTGGAGTTACTCACAAGGGTTCTTTTATATTTCTTGTTTCCTTTAGCTGGGTCTGAACTCATTCCACTTTCATCTAAGTGTTGTATCAAAATTTTAAATAGAGTTTGTATTAATTTTTCTTCCACTAACACATCACAACAAAATTCTTTATGTTTATATGGGTCTGGTCAACCTTTCTTTTAGAAATCATAGGCACAGCTGTTGTACTGTAAAAGTAAGATCTTCATAGTTACTTTCTTGCCTGTGGTTGTGTTTGTTGGTTTTCTATGGAGGAATCTGCCCAATTGGAAACTCCCCTCAGAGCTAACATAGGAAGCACTTGAGCAGTTCTCATACCAAATGACTCAGTGAGTTGTGTGTTCCCTGCTCTGGTCTCCTGGTACCAGCCTGTGATAGTCCCTGAGCGATCACTTAGTGATTGGTTACCATTGCCTTCCAAGTTGCTGTGATGCTCGCTTAGGCTTCCTGCACTGGCTGGCCTGTGTGTCCCTGGTTCCTGCACTGCCTGGCCCGTGTGTCTCTGTCTCTAAAGGAGTACTCAGTGAGTGAGTCCACACCCTGGACGAGCCATTTTCTGAGCGTGTTCTGTGCATGAATCTATGATCCCTTTAAGTCATCTCAGCATTTCGTAGGCCTTTTTGCATGGGCTCCTCCACCTTTGCAGGTTCCTGCTGGGTTAATGGCAGTGTGCGTAGTGATAGTGTTGGCAGGGAGTGATGGGAGGCATTCTGTTAGAGGTCATGGTCTTCCTGCCAGCTCTGCCTCCCGTCCTTGAACTTTCCTCTAGACCACCACCACCATCCAATTGGGTGGGATGCAGAAGTCACTGAAAAATCAGCAGAAGTTCCAAGTGCTTTAGGGTGTGTTGTTTGTGAATATGTGATTTAGCTTGATTTTCTTTATTTGATTCAGTACTGTGTTTTTTTTCAAGAAAACTTTCGTGAAATTCTTATCTTTATGGTTATTAGTGCTGTTTAAGAAGGTAAGTCAAGTGCATCTCAGTCAGTTCTCCTGAACCTGGGGCTCTCTGTGACTTGATCTTGTTTGTGGCAGTTCTCTGAAAGCACTGAAGGTTGTGGTTCATTCAAAAGGCCCTCTGCTGGTCACTGTTGGAGAAGCTGGGGAGGCAGCCAGATCCAGGCCTCACAGAAGCTTCCAGACTGGTAGAGGATCTCACAGTCTCGGTGGCTTTACTGTGGAGGGGCACTCCTGACCAGTGGTGCCTGCCTTGAGCAGGATCGCATATTCATGAAGCACTGCTGTTTCAGTTTACTATGAAGACATTTCCTCCTTGTGTTTTTTCCCAAGTATATCTGGTTTGTAGTTGTGTTTATCTTTCTTTATCTGCCTTTTTCTTCCTCCCACAGTTGACTTTGGTGTGAGTGCTCAGCTGGACAGGACTGTGGGGCGGAGAAATACGTTCATAGGCACTCCCTACTGGATGGCTCCTGAGGTCATCGCCTGTGATGAGAACCCAGATGCCACCTATGATTACAGAGTAAGAGGCACCTGCTCCGTAGGCCTTTGCAGGGCCACTGGCATACCCGAGGGATGGGGGCTTTGCTTATAAATTGCACACCCCTTGTCTGCCTGCCTTTTCAGGGAGGAAGACCTTCAGTGAGGAAAATTGCAGGTGCAAATTTTCCAGGACAGTATTCAGATGCTGTCTTTTTTGTCCATTTGCATCACATGACTGTGTTCTCACTAAGGAATACACTGGTTTCAAAGCAGTCTGGAGCACTTTGTTGTGCCTAGAACTTTTTGTTCCTATTTGCTATCCATTTTTTAACTTGAAGAATATATTAGAATCAAATATTTATTCTTTTAAAAATATTGCCAATATAAAGTAATAGCTTCATTTGAGTGAAATTTTATATTCTTGTTAAACCACTTTACAGCTTTTATTTGGTACACAAATTTATTTAAATTATTAGAGTGACCTCTAGGGACTTGAGTCAGTAACACACTTTAAAAAAATCTAGATGTAAACCCATATTTGATATCAAACTCAGGTTACTATGTTTACAAAAACTATTTTTAAAAATCCATGCCTTAATTAGATGAGCCAGACTAGTTAATATACCCGTTAATGATATGCAAAATGGAATTCATGTCTTAACAGTTTCCCATGTATTTTAGTATTTATTACAAATATCCAATTAATGAGACTTAATTTAAGACTGTAGTGCAGAATGTTTTATTTTTTATATACTGAAGTATCTTAAAATAGATAACCGACTTTGTGACTTTCCACTCTTTACTGTGTCATTACTTGTCTCTAAAATTTGAAAATGTTTTCCGGCATTCCCCAAATAATTATTATACCTAAGTAAATACAAATAATTAATACAAAGTTGGTAATTAGACCTGACTGGTATGCAGAACAAGGCAATGTATTTGGTTATTTAGTCTCTTTTAATCTGGATCCCCCCACCCCCACCCGATGTTTTTGTTTTTGTTTTTCCATAAAACTGACTTTCTGAAGAGCCTGGGCCTGTTGTCTAATGTTCTACCCTCTAGATTTGTCTCATTACTTCTTTATGTCATTTAGTTTGTTTCCTGTAAACTGGAAAGGTGTAATTTGTATCAAGGAAAACCTTCTTAGCAAAATCACTGCTGGGGAGGTGGAGGTAGAGGTGCTTCATGTTGCCTCACAGCAGGGGACATGCAGAACTGTTCATCCCCAACTCATGTTGCCAGGAGTGGCCACTGGGTTAGGGTAATGAGCCCCTTTGTGTACCCTGATAGTATAGAAAGCTTAATGAAAATAAGGGAGGAATGATAGGTCTCTCCTTTTTGTTGTATTCGGATATATGTGTCTGAACTTTGTAATGTAAGTGTAGATTATTTAGAAAACCTTTAAATTGAGCAACTTTAATTCCTTGGTTAAGATAGCATATAAACAAATACATAGTAATGATAATAACTATCCTCATCTACTTTTCAAAAATCCTTTTTTTTGGATTTTAAGAAATACCATCTGATGGCCGGGCATGGTGGCTCACGCCTGTAATCCCAGCACTTTGGGAGGCCGAGGCGGGTGGATCACGAGGTCAAGAGATCGAGACCATCCTGGCTAACCCGGTGAAACCCCATCTTTACTAAAAATACAAAAAATTAGCCGGGCATGGTGGCGGGCGCCTGTAGTCCCAGCTACTCAGGAGGCTGAGGCAGGAGAATGGCGTGAACCCGGGAGGTGGAGCTTGCGGTGAGCTGAGATCGCGCCACTGCATTCCAGCCTGGGTGACAGAATGAGACTCCATCTCAAAAAAAAAAAAAAAAGAAATATCATCTGATAAGACTTTAGTATATCAGGCAATGTTTAGTGAGTACCCGCCATTACAAAAGTAAATAAAACTGGCAAAAATGACTGCTTTCATGGAACTTATATTTGAGTAGAAAGTAAAGTTTAATTCAAATTTTAAATTTAGTATTTCAGGGGAATCAGAAAAAAGATTCCATGTACAGAAAACCAGCTGACTTGTTTGGTTTGCAGGTAGGGTGGGGATGCTTAGTGGCATGATTTCAATTAGTGAACCACATTAGGTTTTATGAATTCAGTGGTGAACACTTTGTAAAAAATGGTTTCTGGCCTTTAAACTTTAAAATCTTAATTAAATTTGAGTTACTAACAATAAACATAAATCTGGGCCAGAAGTCTTAAGTATTAAATGCTTATGAAGAAATGAAGAAACATACAGTAGTTCACAGTAGACAATTCAGAGAGATGCTTTTAAGTGGACCAGCTCTGGTTCATTCATAGATGTGAGTGGTTTTAATTAAATCAATTTTCTCCTTCCTTCCTTTCCTTCCTTTCCTTCCCTCCCTTCCCTCCCTCCCCTCCCTCCATCCCTCCATCCCTCCATCCCTCCATCCCTCCCTTCCTCCCCTCCCCTCCCCTCCGCTCCGTAAGTTCTACAAATGTGCTTGTACTTTTAATTTTCTGGCAAATTTCCTTTTGGTTTATATAGCAAAGTTGTGTGAATACCCAGACATGTAAGTTAGTGGCTTTGTATCTACTCCAGTATCTGTAACGTACTGTTTTATTTTTGCAGAGTGATCTTTGGTCTTGTGGCATTACAGCCATTGAGATGGCAGAAGGTGCTCCCCGTAAGTAACTTTCTTTTCTTTTTAGCTCACTTGTTACATGTGACTTAAACCCCTCCCAAGACTTCAAAAAGAACAGCTCAGCTCCATGGATAAAGGCATTTCTGGTGGACTGTTTAGATGAAGGCAACATAAATATAGTCAAGTTTTAGATGTAGAAGGAATTCTTGGCAACCACTATTACTATTCCTTTTGAATATCTCTAGGAGGCCTATAGGCTACATTTTCTTTTATTTAAGTTGTACTCACATGTGTGACCTGAAGTAGTGCTGAGATCAGATAATAAGTAGTAAGTTTTCTTTTTACATTTTAAATTGAGTAATTCAGTGAAACTAGTCCTAACACATGAAATTTTAGTATTAAGTTTTGACTTTACAAATGGAGGCAAAACTTTATTGATAGAATAATTTTTTGTGCGTGTTAACTGAAATTTTGTGAGTGTTTGCTTCTCCATTGGATTAATGAGAACTTCATATAATTCATTGTTGATCACGGATGAGGTAGAATTGCAGAGAACAAAGGAAAAAAAACACTGCATTTTCTGCTGGTCCCCATTAAAAAAGGTATACACAAAGAATGTATAACTGTCTGGCACGGCACATAGTTGCTGCTGAATAAATATTTGTTGAATGAATGAAAATAATTATCGACAGCTAAAAATTAGTTTTCAGTATAGAAATAGAGATCTGCCTCAAACACCATACATTCCCCTGTGCTTCCCTCTAAGAAAGTAAGGCAGGGAAGTACCACCTCATCCTTTCTCTCAGTTTTTGTTCACAAGGGGAATAGTATTGTCTGCCTCTCCTCATTGCCCAGATGCCTTGTAAGGGTCTTCTGAAGGTAAAGAAACACATGAAAATGCACATTGCATATGGTGATGTAGTAATGCCTACATGTGTGCCTAACACACCTTTATTGGGTGAGTCATAGGAGTACAAAGAGTAATTGCACAGAATTAAATCCATTTCATGCTCAATTTTTGCTCTTTCTAGTATTTTTAGCTATAACAACAAACAGCATTTCTGGAGGGCCTAACTGTGCTCATTCTGTTCCAGGCATTGTATGAAGGCCTTTGCAAGCCATATCTTATTTAATCTTGACAACAACCCTATGAAAATACAATCATTTTCATTGTAATCTAACAGATAGTTTAACAACTTAGGTGTTAGTTCCTATAAGACTTAGATTTATGAAAACTTTCCAATGTCTTTTTGAAAATGTATATTCTTCTTGTTGCTCTTGTCCTCCCACTTTGCTATTTTTAAATGGGAAATTCAAGATATGCCCTGGAGTTCATAACTAGATGTCTAGACTGCTTGGTATGAAGCCTGTCAGTCAGACGATGGGCCAGAGCATTTCATGTTATTTATGACTGAACCCTAGAAATCAAGAATGAGTGAAATAAGTGCCATACTGACACGACCGTCTCCTCTCCCCAGCTCTCTGTGACATGCATCCAATGAGAGCACTGTTTCTCATTCCCAGAAACCCTCCTCCCCGGCTGAAGTCAAAAAAATGGTAAGCTATATATGGTTTTTTGTTGTTCTTTTCCCTTTTTTTTAAATTGCTTCTTTTTAGTTATACTTTCCTCTGAGATAAAATTCTGGCCCTTCTAATTCTGGGGAACCCAAGAGCCAGTTCTCCAAAACACCAATTAAAAGATGCGTTGATTTTTTTTAAATGAGATTTTTCTTGTTAAATTCTCTCTGAATTACAAAACGGTGACAAATGACCACATGAAACACTATAACATGTCTAAAGACAAATGTTCCATTTTAGTATTTAGGCATTCTTTTAAGTGTAATATACTTCTAAACATCTTCCCATTAAAGAAAGAAAGCGACCGGGCGCGGTGGCTCGCACCTGTAATCCCAGCGTTTTGGGAGGCCAAGGCGGGGAGGATCACCTGAGGTCAGGAGTTCAAGACCAGCCTGACCAACATGGAGAAACCCCGTCTCTACTATAAAACAACACAAAATTAGCCGGGCGTGGTGGCACATGCCTCTAATCCCAGCTACTCGGGAGGCTGAGGCAGGAGAATCGCTGGAACCCAGAAGGCAGAGGTTGTGGTGAGCCGAGATCACGCCATTGCACTCCAGCCTGGGTAACAAGAGCGAAACTCTGTCTCAAAAAAAAAAAGAACGAAAGAAAGCTGTGTTGACTTGCATTTCCTCACATGTAGTAGGATTTTAAAATTAATGGAGGCTTTTACTGTAATTATTATTATTTTAAAAATTGAAGTTAGACATACCAGCTTTAATCGCAGAATAGCATATTAAACAGAATGGTTTTATATTCTTAGGCTGTCACTTTTCCTTCTCCTTGTAACTCTCATACATTTGTCAAACAGAGTACTGATACCCGCAGAGAGAGAGGAGGATGACTTTCCCTGAGAAAAGCTGTTAGGATTGCAGCATTGTGGGAACATGGTGTTGGGTTAGTTGTAAAATCTTGAAGAAAGAGAGCAGTGTTTCTGGTTCTCCTGAGAATTTTGCCCCCTCTTTCCCTCCTGAATTTCTTTCTGGGTCCTTTCTTGTTTGTTCTGGTCTGTACTCTGGCTCTTCATGCATGGTCTCCCCTCCTTTTTGTGTTCTTCTTTCTGTTTTTCTGGGCTCATTGATTCCCACCTACTATATGGCTTTTTTTTTTTTTTTTGAAACAGTTCTTACTAGTTTTCCAATTGATGCTGCCTCCTCTTAGGTTCTTGACTCTCCTTCTGAAATATGCAGGACATCTCAGAGTTAAGCTTCCATTCTGAGTTTGGCCTTCAGCTGTTCCTGTTTATGCTTTTTTTTCTTGTTTACTCACCTTCTGGTGATTTGCAGTTCTCTTTCCCCTATATTGTTGCACGCTGACACCCATCTTCATACCAGTTTTCTTCATGCTTCTCCCTGTAGCTCACTGTCCTTGCCCCCAACACATTTCACTGTTCTTTGCCCTCTGTCTTCTGCTGGCAGGATTTTTCTCATTTTTTATACAGTCTTTAACCACATTTGTCTCCATGTGGCTAATTCCATTTACCCCGTGTTTAGAATGGTTTTTATTGCCACAGAGTTGTAAGGATTTTAACCCCAGTCAGTCTTCTGTATTAAGACATAATAACTCTGGACATCCACGGGTGGCCACGCCTAGGGAAACCATCAGTGTATATAGCTGATGTCACCAAGGAATCAGCTGTGGAGCTGGAGTAACTCTACCCAGTTCATGCTTTAATTAAGTAGTACTCATTTTCCCCTTTTCTTTATCTCTCTCAGATTTTGTTGACAGAAGTCTATACTGGAAGGATTGCTAAGTTAATGCTGTCTTCAGGGTACCTCATACTCTGATTTTTCTGCCCATTAGCTACAGTTCTGTATTAACCACTGTGTCCAACATATAGTGATACAAAGATACAGTGGTAGACAGCAATGAATGCTTCCTGTATTCTTTTCTTACACCAAACTTTCTTTAAACTGGGTTAGACGGCATATTTCATCCATTTTATATCCCTGTTCTAATGTTACCCAAGTGTTCTAAAAGGATGAGAAAATTATGGACGTAAAGTCCTTCTTCCTTTGTGATTGCTGTCCACCGTCTACCCGATGTAAATTCTACTGTTTTTTTGAGAAATAGCTTTCAAAAGATGATCAGTGTCCTTCTGCCAGCAGAACTTGATTCTTGACTTTAGGAAATACGTTGTAGATCATTGATTCCGAGATGTTAGTCTGTGGACACAATGCTTAGGAATCCTTTTGGAATCTTTTAACTGATGGCTCCAACCTCAAAGTTTCTGGTCTGGGGAGTGACTCAGGTATTTGTATCTTCAATAAACTCCCCAAAATGATCTTTGTGGACATTGGGTCTTAGAACTATCTCTGTGTTAAAGCATTTCACTGTACTGTGTAGAATCTTCCATGTTCCTCATTAAACGTAGAATAAAGTAACAGCTACTTTGAATGACTTCAAGGACTTTTCTCTGAGCTGACCCTAACCTATTTTTCCATTCTTTTTCACTTTTAATACTAGCCTCAGAAAATAACTCATTATTCTCTAACACTTCCCTACTTTTGTTCATATCATTCCTTCACTCTGGAATGTTGTCTTCTCTGTCCTACCTTATGAATATCAAGTATCCCACTTTTTCTTCTTGTCCAGTCTACTGTAACAGGTTTTTTCTTCCTCTGTAAGTTTGATATATGTCCGCTGTTGTGTATACCTAAATTTCTCCACTTTATTTCCCATGTGTATGTGTTATAGAACCTGACATAAACAAATGCAAATAGTTGATACGTAAATATTTGTTGAATTGAAAAAAAGTAAGTTTTAATGGAAATACCAGACAATAGAAGTGATTCTTAAAAGCAGTGAAGTGGAAAGAGTGAACTAATTTTCTAACTCACATTTTTAAAGACCGAAGAATACCTCATTCATTCAACAAAAATTTATTCCATACCTATTGTGGCATGCATGCCTAGTGTTGAGCATTGCCTGCAGGTTGAGATGTAGGAACCAGTTTTTGACGTGTACCATTTCAACCTTTCAGTGGGACAGAAACAAAAAGCATGCAGTCTGTTAAAAGCAGATAACCCCAGAAGAAAGGCTCCTAAATTGGGGACACATAGGACAGAGTGTTGCCAGGAAGATTTACCAGAAGTGGTGATTCTTGAGATGAGTCTCAAAAAATAGGATAGGTGATAGGTAAGAGTGTCTTGACCAAGGCTAGGGCCATGGTCCTCATGAGCTGGGCATGGAGAAACAGGAAGAAGTAAAAGTGGCTAGTATGGCAAATGTAGGTGACAGATTAATCTCTTCCCTCCATCCCTCCAAAAGAACCAACAACTGTAATTTCCACCTTTGTAGGTTAAACAGAGGGAACTGACAAATCAACCAGTTTGGAACTCCGGTTGAAATGTCAAATTAACAGGTTCAAGAGACCCAGCATTTCGTCATGGATTCTGCTCCTTTTCTTATCTCATTGTCTGTCCTTGTCTTCTAGGTACCAGACATCTGTCCTGTCTGCCTTCATTTTATCAAAGACCTCCCTTTACCCCCTTGCTGCCACCACTCCTGTTAATTAAGTGATTAATGTGCAATATTAGATTTAAACCCAGTTCATTTAAATCTGACCTCCTTGTTAGCTCCCTGTTTGTGGTGTGTTGTTAGTGATAGGATGCACCACTTAAACTGTGCTAAATTAATGCTCCTGATCCTCAACAGTCCTGAGTTCCTATTTATGTTTCATACATTATTCCTATGCATTTGCAGAATGTTCACAGTGAATTCTGAAGCTCTTCTTTATGTTGAGGCTTGTAAGTTACTGATATTTTCGATCTTTACTCTTTGTGGTGGAAATTTGATGATCTTTTTCACTTCTTACAGGTCGAAGAAGTTTTTTAGTTTTATAGAAGGGTGCCTGGTGAAGAATTACATGCAGCGGCCCTCTACAGAGCAGCTTTTGAAACATCCTTTTATAAGGGATCAGCCAAATGAAAGGCAAGTTAGAATCCAGCTTAAGGATCATATAGATCGTACCAGGAAGAAGAGAGGCGAGAAAGGTACTAAGCCTGTTTTTGTTTTCATCCTTTAAAATTTTTATGTTTAGTTTCTTGCCAACTAGAGTAGGTCCCTCCCTTCCCAGCTGTGAGAGTGCTCACTTGGCCAGTGCTTGCATGGTTTCTCTGCTTGCGGTTCAGTGCTTAGGCCTGGGGTCCAGTCTGGCTCCAGGTGGAGTTGGCTGGAGCTTTGTGTTGTGTCACCAAGCTTACAGCAAATAGATCGGCATTGCGATGGGATGCTTTTCTTGTTCCCGAGGGTCACGTTGTTGCTGCCCATTTTACTTCCTTACGGATGTGTTCATGGTATATTTCACTGGGGTGTATTGAGCATCTGCTGTGAGCATCACCATCAGTGTGTTTCTGTATAATTCTCCTGCCCAAGAACCCCCGCTCAGGGGATTTTTACTGCTCTACTCTATTACAAGCGGTGTGGTAGCATGGGCCACATGCATAGTCAGATGACTTTGCTTTAAGTAGCATGCATAACACAAGCATGCTGTTGTGCTAAATAATGAAGGTTCTTTTCTGTTCCCAGTAACTTTGTTTTATGTCTTTGCACATACTTTGCCCACCTTCCTGGAATGTTCTCCGTTTTCCTTCTGTCCAGCGAGGTGCAGTTCAAACATCGTCACCGTCTTTACTAAACCATCTTCTCTGAGGCTGCTAGCTCACATTGATCCTTCTCTTTTGTGGGTCCTTATAATAACTTTATAGAACAACACTTGGTTAAGTGGCATCCTATTACTTTTTGGTTCAAATTTCAAGGTCAGAGAAGAAACCAAGAAGAGCAGGTTCAAGGCAGTAAAAGAATTGGTCAAAGTCTGGAGGCCTTTCTGCCTGTACTGGTATTCATAGTTAAGTCATCATTGATGTTCAGAATAACCTTTTTCCTTCTGATATACTTAGTTATAAAAGTAATTAGGCTTTGTACATTAAGCTATGCACTTGTAACACAGTTAATTAAAGTTTGAAAACAAGACTTTTTTTCCTTAACTCAATTGACATGGAAGCGCTGTTCAGGAAAAAAATTATTTGCATATTGGATCATTTTCCCATGACTTGACTTAGTAATAATAGCTAATGTTCATGGAACATTTGCCAGATACCTTGGATCATCTCATGTTTTCCTCATCACCCACATTTTGCAGATGGAAACAGCAGAGCACCTTCCCTTCCTTTCTCTTCAAGTCACAGTGACCTCTTCATTTTCTTTTTGGGTTTACCTTCCAGATACCATTAGCCTCTTGTCAATAATTAGTAATTTGTAGTGTAAAATTACAAACATAGCAGAGTACCTATTTTAAGGATTCTGAAGATTATTTAAGCTGGAATTTCCCTTTGAAGCTAGCATAATCTATTAAAATAGCTTTGATGGTCTAGCATACAGAAGAGCTTATATGTGTAGACTGACAAATTTGTACGGAACCATATTTTAATTGCCCAGGCACTTAAAAACCAGGAAACTGATTTTCATCTTTTTTTTTTTTTGGAGACAGAGTCTTGCTGCTCTGTCACCCAGGCTGGAGTACAGTGGTGCGTTCTTGGCTCACTGCAGCCTCCGCCTCCCAGGTTCAAGTGATTGTCCTGCCTCAGCCTGTTGAGTAGCTGGGATTATAGGCATGTACCACCACACCCGGCTGGTTTTTGTATTTTTAATAGAGACAGGCTTTCACCATGTTGGTCAGGCTGGTCTTGAACCCCTGATCTCGTGATCTGCCCGCCTCAGTCTCCCAAAGTGCTGGGATTACAGGCGGGAGCCACCACACCCAGCCTGATTTTCATCTTGTATATCTTTGAAAAAAATAGAGGTGTGTGTGTCTAGACTGCTTTTAAATCTCTTCAACCTGTCTGGTTTTTTGATTGATTTCTGGAGTGAAACTGCTCACTGAAAGTTGGATATTGACATTAAGTGAAGGGACCAATAAATGGCCTTTTGGGAAAACTGTCTAAAACCTGTAGAACTGAAAATGAGTTATTGATGTTGAAACTTTTGTTTGTTTGAAGTCTGGCCTAAGTAGAGCAAATTTTAGTCTCATTCTTTTGCTATATGGTTTAATTAGTTTTCCCTGGTTTTGCCAGGTTTGTTTGTGGGTACATTTGGCTTATTTTTCCTGTACCTAGTTAATGTTTCACTTTGTGTCCATCTCCCAGGCTTTTCTCTCTGCTGCACTCTCCGTGGATCCCTAATTGCAAAAAATCACCAAGTAAATTCTCTTGGTTGCCTTAGTTTCAGCAGTTACATATCTTTTTGAATTTTGCCATCAAAGTGGATTTTGGTGAATTTGCTAGTGCCCTCGGGTTCTTTTCTCATGTATCAGGGGCTCTGGATCCCCTCTCGTGGTCCTGCACGTCCTCAGCAGTACATCCCCATACAAGGTTGGCTCGAATGCCGTGGAATCAGCTTTTCTGTGGGGAGTAAGGCTGACCAGGGAATAGATGCTGTCACTATGAGAATGTGGTGTCTTGCCCCTCCTCCCCAAATCCTCTATACAAGTTGCTGTTTTCACAGGGAACTTGTTTATTTTCTGCCAAGGTGCTCCTGCAGATGCTTGTCTGAACAGGCGTGTGTCAGGACTTGTGAACTGTCCCATTTATCTTGTCCTTTTCTTCATAGATGAAACTGAGTATGAGTACAGTGGGAGTGAGGAAGAAGAGGAGGAAGTGCCTGAACAGGAAGGAGAGCCAAGGTAACCACAAAGCCACTGTTCAGTATCCTGCTTTATGAAGGGATTAAGTTTTATGTTGTGCCAGGACTGCAGAAGACTCCTGTGTGGTACAAAGAATCTTAAATTACTTAGACAGCATCTTACTATCTCCATTCTTCTCTATTCTTGACAGATTCCTGTAAACATTTTTCTTCCCTGGATCCTCTTACCCAGTGATTCTTTACCAAGGGTTGTATTGTGTCCCCTTCTCCAGTCACTGAAAAATGTGTGGGCCTGGGCAGGGGAGAGTGCCCCAGCATTTATTGTTCCAGAAGCCACGGATGGTGAAGGTGCCATTGAACACCATTTCTTGTGGTATATAGAACATGGCTACACAAAAAGAATTGTCCCGCCCATGGACCAGCAGGACTGTGTTGTGTCCTGATTTATTTTACAGTCTGTGTTTTAGTTTATCTCTGGCTCCCCAAAGTTCAGTAAAGCAGAAGGTTAAGGAGTCAGATGGGTTACATGAACCTCATAATAACTGATGAATCAGAGAATAGAGGATTTTTGGATTGTGATGTTGGGTGTGCCTGGCAGTTGTCCATGCTGCAGTATGTGGCTGATGAAGTGAACAAAGGGAGGGTGGAAGGGCATCTCAAGTGACCTGTGGGGAGCCGTGTGCCAGAGAATGGGACTTGGAACAGAGAGAAGAGAATTTATTGAAGCTACTGCATAATCTCTCTTTCTTCTTATGTAGGAGAGATTTTAATCCATTTTAGACTAAGAATTTCAGAGGAATTTGAACTGATTTCATAAGCAATGTAATTGTTTTTGAATAGGAGGAGCACTGTATGACGAAAAAGGCAATTTAAGGAGATATGTTTGCCATGCTGCTCTGGATGCTGTGGCAGTGGAGAAGTAACTCGGTGGGGAGGTCAGCTAGGAAGGGTGTGTTTAATTGATCTGTGTAGTGGCTAATTCGTAGGACCCGCTTGGGCTCAGCTGCTGACCTGGAAATAAGAAAGTGGGAGGGAATTATGACAGGGCTTGGTGGTTGACCAGACAAAGACAAAGGAATGGTGTAAACACTGAAGAGTGGTCTGATGGTTCTGTTTGCTGAAGAAAAAAAAAGTGGTTAAAGGACTAGTGAAATCAAAGAAGGTGATTTCAACCTTTCCTTTTACTGAGTTTGAATTGTTACGCGAATCCTAAATAGAAATGTCTTGTCAAGCAAACATCTAGGACAGCATTTTAAGATATTTACTAAATAAGTAAAAGAAGATATGGGACTATTGAATTGTAGATATAGTCATTTCTGTGGATGTATTAGTTGTCTCCCTGGAGTCAGAGGAACTCAGAGAATGAATGTAGAAATGGGATAATATGCTGGTGCTATTGACTCACTTATAGGACAGTGTGATCGGTGCACACCCCTGAAAGCCCTGCTTTTTCCAACAGTTCCATTGTGAACGTGCCTGGTGAGTCTACTCTTCGCCGAGATTTCCTGAGACTGCAGCAGGAGAACAAGGAACGTTCCGAGGCTCTTCGGAGACAACAGTTACTACAGGAGCAACAGCTCCGGGAGCAGGAAGAATATAAAAGGCAACTGCTGGCAGAGAGACAGAAGCGGATTGAGCAGCAGAAAGAACAGAGGCGACGGCTAGAAGAGGTAGCAAAAGGAAAATGTCCAAGTTGGTTGGTCTTTTCTCTTTCTGCATTTACACTGGTAGTTAGCCACTCAGAGGAATATCCTCTGTAGCTTCCTGGGGTAATACTTATCCCCTGGCACAGCTGTTTACATAACTTGTGAAAGAAAGCTTACGCTTTGGACTGGCAGGCCTTCACATTCCTTGAGGCCTTAGAAATGTTTTCCTTCCTTGTGAAAACTTTAAGGATCTGCCCCACAGTTACTCATCAACATACTGTGTTAGATGCAGAGCAAGTGTCCCAAAGATGGCATCAGACCAGTTTTGTGAAGTCTTTTTGCATTATGGTTTAAGTTGGCTTGCTCAGGATTGACCTGATTGCTTTTCTACTCTCAGCCTCTGGGTCCCAGTTTGTATGTGCATATTTTTCTGAAACTTCAGACTTTTTCACATGAAAGTTTTTTTTTTTCTAAATGCCTTAACCTTGGGTATACTCAAGAGTAGGGGATGCAGATGAGGACAAATGGCTAATGCAGGGCTTAATACCTAGGTGACGGGTTGACAGGTGCAGCAAACCACCATGGCACACGTTTACCTATGTAACAAACCACGTTCTGCAGTGTATCCCAGAACTTAAAGTAAAATAAAATAAAATAAAAAAGATAAGATTTGGACATAGAGGCGGAAACACGGGAAGAGTGCCGCGTGGCAAGGGAGGCAAGATGGGAATGATGGTCTACAAGTCAAGGAAGGACCAATATTGCCTGCAACCACCTAAGCTAGGAAGAGGCAAAGAAGGACCCTTCCCTAGAGCCTTCACACCTTGATATCAGAGTTCCAGCATCCAGAACTGTCAGAAAATAAATTTTTACTGGTTTAAGCCAAAAAAAAAATAAAAATAAAAAAAAAAACCGAACACACACGCACACACGGTAAGGGATGCAGAAAACAATTTGAACCTGGAAGTTGTAGTGTCCTCTGGTGGAGAAGTACATTTTACACCACCTGCTCATTTAACTCATTAATATTGCTAACATTGGTAATGTGGTTACCTTACAGCTTTCACGTTTTTAATGCACAGAAATATATTATTTCCCTATACAGTCATGGGTCGCTTAATGACGGGGATACATTCTGAGAAATGCATCATTAGGTGATCCGTCATTGTGGGAACATCATAGAGTGTACCTACACAGACCTAGATGGTACAGCCTACTGCGCACCTAGACTATGTGGTGTGGCCTCTTGCTTCTAGGCTACAAACCTGTACAGCATGTTACTGTGCCTTATACTGTAGGCAGTTGTAACACAATGGTAAGTATTTGTATATGTAAACATAGAAAAAGTATGGTAAAAATATGATATTATAATTTTATGGGACCACCATTGTATATGCAGTTCATCATTGACCAAAACATGGCTATTTCACTTGGGGATCAGAAGAGTCTTTTGATTTTCTTTTTTTGACTGGCTTCTGCTGCATACCTCACAGGTCCAAATTTCTCATTCATTATCATTTCTGTTTTTATTTAATTCACAGACATTATTGTTTTACCTTTTTTCCCCCAGAAAAATGGGCCAACAACAGTAAAGCCCTGTATTGATATTATCCAGTGGAATTTAACCTATTAAGTAGCAACACATGCTATTAAATATTATCCTACTAATTTAACAGCACACTTTGGCATGGAATCTTTCATTCACTTTGTGTATTTGTAGTCTGGATTCTGAAAACTCTTTATAATTTGCCGCTTGTTTAGAAAAATCAGTGCCTGCTGAACTAAGGAGCCTGCAAATATTCAGCTAGGACTTTTAGAAGAAAACAGGACGTACGTTCCCCTGTAGTAGGGACAACTTCGCTGCTTTTATAATGCTTTTTGTAGCTAATTTGCAAATTCCTTGTGGTATTTTTGTTAAGACTCTTTTCAGTGTTCTTTGAACGTAATAAATCTTGAATGAGTTCAGAGATCTGTTCAAGTTGCATATTGACTGTACTTACTATATTAGAATGCTTGAGTTTTGAGACTCTGGCTGTTTCTAGTTGTTTCTTGAAGTGGTGTTTTCCACTATCTTTTTTTGATCCCGGCCTGTACTTTCCTTAAGCAGGTGGCATAGACTACTTTGGTGGTTTATAACTTGAAGTGCCAAGGACCAGATCAAGTTAGCACTCATTTGTAACACAGGCACTGGAAATGTCTTTCAGGCTGTCACTAGTGAGACGAGTATCCATTATCCAGCCTCTGCATGTGGTAGGTGGTGAAGGTGAGCGATGGTAGAAGGTGAAGGTGAGCGATGGCTCACAGGGAAGAGCTGAAATTTTAAAGTCATTTTGTTTTATAAGCTAAGTAGATGCTGGTGAATGTCTGTGAAAACAACAATTTTGTGCTTGTCATGTTTTAATTAGCCCATTATGGATTTTCAGTGTAAGTTCAAACTCAGGGTCATCTCTTTGAGCTTCTTAATTAGGAAAGATTAAGAAAATATTGGAATGGGAAAAGTCACATGAGTAGAATTCCACTGGTTTGGATTTTTGGTCAGCTAGCTGCTTGTTACTAGCCTGGGTAATTAAGCTTTATTTACACTCCAGGTCTGAGGAAGATAATTTGGGAATAGAGTGATCCCGTATTTGGGGGTTTGGTTCTAGGACTTCCCATGGATACCAGAACTGCAGATGCCCAAGCCCCTGATATAAAGTGGCCTACTATTTGCATATAACCTGTGCACTCCCTTCCATATATAGTCATATGTTGCATAACAACGTTTTGGTCAACAACTGAGTACATGTATGATGGTGGTCCCATAAGATTATCATGGAGCTGAAAAATTCCTGTTGCCTAGTGACATCATAGCCATTGTAACGTGTAATGGGTTGTAGCGCAACCTGTTACTCATGATTGTGGTGATGCTGGTGTAAACTCATGTATTGCCCTGCTGGTTGTATAAAAGTATAGCACATACAATTATATACAGTATATGTTACTGGGTTTATGTATTTACTATATTATACTTTTTAATCATTATTTTAGAGTGTACTCCTTCTACATATTAAAAACCAAGTTAACTGCAAAAGAGCCTTAGGCAGGTCCTTCAGGAGGATTCCAGAAGAAGGCATTGTGATCATAGGAGATGACAGCTGACAGCTCCATGTGTGTTATTTGCCCTTGAAGACTCTCCAATGGGACAAGATGTAGAGGGAGAAGATAGTGATATTGAGGAACCTGACCTTGTGTAGGCCTAGGCTAATGTGTATGTTTGTGTGTCACTTTTTAACAAAAACATTTTTAAAGCTAAAACATTTTAATTAGGAAAAAGTTTATAGGACAGAAATTTAAAGAAAGAAAATATTTTCTACAGATTTATATGAAGTGTTTGTGTATTAAACACAAAAGAATAAAATTTAAAAGTTAAAGTAAGAAAAAATTACATTAAGATTAATTTAATATTGAAGAAAGAAAAACATTTTAAAATAAATTTAGTATGGCCTGAATGCACAGTGTTTATGAAGTCTACAGTAGTGTACGCTAATGTTCAAGGTCTTCATATTCACTCACCACTCACTCACTGACTCACCCAGAGCAACCTCCAGCCCCTCAAGCTCTATTCATGGTGAGATAGCATTTGTAATCTTTTATAGCATGTTTTTACTGTACTTTTTTTGTGTTTAGATTCACAACTACTTACCATTGTATTGCAGTTACTTAGCATATTCAGTATAGTACCATCCTGTGCAGGTTTGTAGCCTAGGAGCAATAGGCTACACCATATGGCCTAGGTGTGTAATAGGCTGTACCATCTAGGTTTGTGTGTGCACACTATATGATGTTCATACAATGAAGAAATCACCTAACGACGCATTTCTAGGAACATATCCCTGTTGTTAAGCAACACATGACTGTACTTTATATCATCTCTGGATTACTTAATACCAAGTACAGTGTAAATGCCATGCAAATACCTGTTACACTATATTATTTAGGGAATAATGACCAAAAAAGTCTGTACAGATGCAGTGCTTTCAAATATTTTTTGACCCAAGGTTGGTCGAATCCATGTGGATGTGGAACCTGTGGGTACAGAGGCTGACTATTTGAGCCATAATTGGTTCGTAGCCCTTTATTGGCATTAAGGATTTAGTCAGAACTGTTTGAGGAACAGAGATTATTTTATGAATAAAGTAAGTAAAGATGGTCAGCCTCACTCATAAGATATTAAAACTGAAAGGAGATAACTGTTATCTATCAGCAGACTGGCAAAACATGATCCAGAAAGTAAAGGCTGTGGGCAAACACAGTGCAGATGCCACAAAACCAGGCCCACTGGGGTTGGGGATTTCTCCTGCCATCCACACACTCCTGTCTCTGCACCCTTTTTGCAGGTGAGGGAGGGTGCTTTTGCCCTTCATAGGTCCTTCATCTTTAAGAAATATGTACACTCCCACCCTCCATCTCCCTTGGTGCTCTCTGATAACTGCTGCTGCTGGTATCGCCCTCCTTTGCTTCTCTGCCTCCTCCTTGTCTCTTGTGTGAACTGGATCTTCTTTGGAAGTCCTTGCAACTCTTTTGGAGTTTGTCTCCCGGTTTTGCTGAAAATGAGGTTTTTGTTTTCTCTTCTTGTTTTGTTTGGATGGTTCCAGGAGGAAAAGGGGAGAATGCTGAGCTCATGCAGCCGAGTTCGTACTGAGAGTCTCAGCATTTCTTCCCTGCCCCTCCCCGCTGCTCTTCATGTGTGTGACTGTGCTCCCTGGGTCCTTCTCTTCTGGGTACACTCATATTTTGTCAGTTTACTCTAAGTGAATTACCCAGATTCAGAAAAGGATAATTTTCTTCCTCCCTCAAAAAGGTGTTTTGTTTTGGAGACAGGGTTTTGCTGTGTCACCCAGGCTGGAGTGCAGTGGTGCAATCTCAGCTCACTGCACCCTCTGCCACCTGGGCTCAAGTGATCCTCCTGGCTCTACCTCTCTAGTAGCTGGGTCTACAGGCATGCACCAGCATACTAGGCTAATTTTTGTATTTTTTGTTTTGTAGAGATGGGGTTTCACCATTGTTGGCCAGGCTTGTTTCTAACTCCTGGGCTCAAGCAATCCACCCGCCTCAGCCTCCCAAAGTGCTGGAATTACAGGCATGAGCCACTGTGCCCAGCCAAAAAGTTTTAATACTACTTTTCCTATTTAGAGCATCATCACATCTTTGGCTCATACAAGACTTTGGGTCTAGTTAAATTTTTTTTTGCATTTTGTTCACAAGCCAACCTTTTCTTCCATCTAGTATTTATTTGCTTTTTAGGAAAAATGAAGCTTACTTAATTGTGGTGTCATTTTATCTCAATAGTTTTGTGCTCTTTTTTTTTTTTTAAATTGAATCATGGTTTGGCATCGTTTATCTGTTCCTCTGTACTTTCATGACACTCACACATTTGGTTAGCATGTTTTCTTTGTTCTTTGTCTAAGTTTAATAAAAATAGTCTGGGCATGATGGCTTACATCTGTAATCCCAGCCACTTTGGGAGGTCGAGATGGGATGCTCACTTAAGCCCAGGAGTTTGAGATCAGCTTGGGAATATAGCAATACCCCATCTCTATTTAATAAAAAAATAAAGAGTAAAAGAAAATAAAAATATTAAACAAGATGGTGTCCTGGAGAAAACCTGATTAGTTTTCTGCTACTTGTAATTTGAACAGTACTGATAGGATATTCAGGTCTTTCCTGTCTCAGAGTCTTTTAGCTGGTATTTAAAAAAATTTCTTACATCTTTCCTTTCAAAGCCTTTACCCCTGGACTCTCAGTTGTCACTTTGTGATTTTGGAAAGTCTGCTTCCTCAACTAAGGGTAAATGTTAGTGTGAGCATCAGCAGTTTCTTTTTGCCTTTCTTCCACCAAGAGGACACAGAGTAACATTTATTTCTGTCATTCCTACAAAATCCCAAAGGGATTTCTACAAATCTCAAAGTTAAATTTTAGAGGGGCGGTGGAAGTAGAAGACATTGAAAACAAAGGGAAGCAAGAGGAAAAAAAACTCTGTGTGAAATGGGATTAGTATTGATATTAAATTGTAACACTAGGAAAACATAAAAGTTTCTCAGTAAAAAATTAATAAACTGTGCCATGCATGCATTATGTGTTTCTTGGTTCCGAAATTTAGAAGGAAGGCAGTGAACTCCTTTATTCTGAAGCACTTTCCAGCAGTTGCTGTGTATTTTAAAGAAATAACAACCATTTTCTCACTCCTCCTTTCCTACAGAAAAGGTCTTTGTTTTGCAAGCCATTAGTATCTAACATTAGGAGTACATGTTAGCACATGCTACCTTTCTTAAAAAAATAGTTCCAGCTTTAATACACACAGTAATCATAGTGTCCTGGCATGCCAGTGCCCCTACAGCTAAGGCCTTGCTTCCTGTCAAGCTAGCAGCTCAGTTGGTATGCAGAAGGTGGCTGGCTTGCATTTAAGAACTCCTCATAAGTTCTTAAATATTCTCTTGGCATCCCAGTCTGGCATTTGGTTATATTTGCAGTTAAATTTTGTAGCGAGTTTAATTCCTCATACGTGATTTATTACCTAAAGATGGGGAAGAAATGAATAGTTCTCCACTGTAGCTTCATCAGAACTTACAAATAAAAAAACTCAGGGGTTGATGGTATATCTGTGTAGTAACATGACCGCAGAAGTTCTTGGAAATAGCAGTCCAAAGAATTAACTAGTTTATCAAAATATGTTAGTTTCCACTGAAGCCAGTAAATCCAGTGGAGTATATTTAACTAGATCTCACTATTACTAGTGTAATTTTATTTAGAAAAGTTTTTAGAATTGTGAGATGAAAGCTTTGCTTTTAAATACCAAACTAGAATAGGAACTTAGATAATTAAAGCTTAGTTGGACAAGTACATATTTACTTAGGCACGCTTGGGAAAATTTAAGTAATAAAATCTCTGTAGTTTGAGAGATTTGATGATCACGTTAGGACATCACACAGTTTTTCTGTCTGTTTGATTTTATTTTTAAAGAAAGGATAATTTAAGAAAATAAATTACATCAGTTTGTAAAAGCTTCAAAAGATTGTATCATGTTTATCATTCTTAGTTGGGTAAGCCTGAAGAAGCATGTTCATTAAAATTCCCTGGGCTTTGTTATTTGCAATCATAGGCATAAGGTTAACAGTACAGACTGATGTTATTTTGTTGATGGTGTGTATGTTTCAGTTTTTGATATTTTCTTTTGAAGTTCTAATGCAAGAGGCCAGCTTTTCACATTACCTATTAAGATATTAAGGACTTTCTTAATTTTTTAATGATTCCTCTTAGTGCCCCCAGCTACCTCCAAATTGAGGGCCTATTCTGAATGTAGTGGTTTTTATGGTTGGTAGTTTAAATTCTTGCTCTCGATCTAGTTTACCACTTCAACTATTAGAATATAATGTGGAAGAGAAGTTGGTAACTGTCCTCTTTTTTTTTTTTTTTTTTTTTTTTTTTTTTTTGCCTTAGCTATTGTTCTTAACTATTTGGTCCCACTAACCAGGACTTGCTTAGTGGGATAGTCTTGGGAGATTTACCACTTTCCACATTGTCTTCTACGTTTTTTTAAAGGTATGTGACTCACCTAACCTGCAAGATTTGGAGGAAAGGAGCTGTTTCTAATTCATCTTTGTATATCTGTGGTGCTTAATAAGTATTTCTCAAATAGATGGATTAGTTGTTTGTAGTCTTGTGTGTATCTCTGGAAAGGAAGGGCTCATTCAAATTTAAGCCTATGTGAAAATGAACCCTTGGGCTTGAGAGCTCTAATTTGAGTACCAGAGGTACCTTAGAGTGAGTACTTTAGAGGACCTTATACAATATCTGGAGGCATAAAGGAGGTGTTTTTTTTTTTTGTTTTTATTAGTATGAGGCACTACCCAGAGTAATAATTAAATCTCAAGACTTCGTGCTCTTACTTGGTGATCTTGAAAAGATTGCCTTAGGATTTGATTGGATTTCGTAGGACCTAGAGACCTAAATGGATTCCTGAGTCTGTCATCACTCTAAATGCTAAGCGTTGGGTAAATTCACAGCAGTTTCTGTTAAGATGTCATATGCTAGGTATAAAGGTTAGATTCAAATAAAAAAGTATTGAATTTCTCTTCTGAAGGTAATGTGTGATATTTACTATAGGGGGAAAAAAGGAGATAAGACATGGTTCCTGCTTTCAAGACGTTTGGAGTCTCTTTTGTGTTGATCTAGTAACCAAAGGTATAGTAGTATCACCTGAAATTAAAAAAGAAAAACCCTCTCAGAAGGTTTCGGTTGAAGTTGAACTTTTTATATAGCGTATCCTGTTTGTAAGATGTTGTTTGCTTGCTATTTTTTCTTTGATAGTGTATTTTGAATTAAATTTATACATTTTTATTAGTTGAATAAAATGTAATTATGTTGACATTATATGTACATATATACAGAGAGAGTATGCACACGTGTGAACATGCACAGTTAGACTACCCTGTCTTGTGCAGCTTGTGTACTGAGCATCCCCTGCCCCCAGCAGGTGCAGATATATGCTACCTGGGAAAAGTGAACAACAGAGACAGGGGAAAAAACTGAGTATGTGGTGAAAGATGAACTAAAACAAGGGCATTAAGTGAAAATGTAAATACTAATCAGTGTGACTGCAAGCATGCTCACTTCACTCAGCTCCCAAAATGGTGGCAGACACACTTATTACAAATGCTGTATCTTTTTCATGCACCCTTTCCTCAACCCCGTAGGATATTGGAAGGATTCCCAGAATATTGTGACGATTTCTCTCTGGAGATAACTGATCAGCCCAAAGGAAATAAGGCCCCAAGTGAAATGATCAGGGTGAATCATAATCACCTTACTCTGTTGCTAAGTAGTTGCCAGGTGCTGTTTGTCTATACAGTCCTTATAGTTTGCATTTTAGAATCTTAAATGTAAATGGACAGCCAAGATTACCAGACACTGAGAAAAATCTCTACCATGAAAGATTTTGGAAACAAATAGGAAAAAGAACTCGAAGGATATAGAGACAGTGGGGGAACAGAGCAAAGCATCTCCTACATATATACATATACACACGAACAGACACAAGACCTTATCCTTGGAAAGAGAAGATACTGTATTTATGGAACAAGAATACTCAGAAATTAAGAAGGAATTTTTGAGTTTTTTTCTTTTAATGAACACTCCTAGACAGTGGGGAAGAAAAGACAAGTTGGTGGATAATAGGACACAAGGAAAACTTACAGAATCAATCCAGGATGTCCAACTTCTATTTAATAGATGCTCTAGGAAGTGAATACTACAGAAAGAACATACAGGAATAATTTAAGCAAAATTTCTGGAACTAAGAAGTACGAGTTTCTGGATTGAAAGCCTCGCTGAATACCCAGCACATGAATGAGAAAGGGCTCACACAAAGGCACATACATTATCGTGTATGTGCACATACATACATATATACATACATCATCATCTTTAGAATATTGAGGATGAAAAGAGGATCCTAGAAGCTGAAGTTGGGAGCAGGTAGAAGAGTGTGGAATGGGTCCTGTACTAAGTATCAAGAATCTGAATGGTCTCAGAATCTCTAGGAGCAACATCAGAAACTAGAAGATGACATAGCACTGCCTTCAAAACTTGGAGGGAATGTTAATTTTCTTCAGCGGAAATTGTGTGTAACATGTTAGGGTAAATAACAATTTTGCAAAGTTCCCAGAGATTTTTTTGTTTGATTTTGTTTCGTTTTGCCTCTTCTTCTCTCTTCCTCAAGAAGCTGCTGGAGGATGTGTTCCAGCAAAGTAAGAAAGAAGATGACAAGGATTCCCGGGAAGTTTGTGGACAGAAATATAGGATGACTGGAAAACAGTCAGTCTCCAAAAATAAAGAAAGAATACCTGATTTCTTCAACTGTGTTGAAAGGAGTGTTATGGTAGTGCAAGAGACTTTATAGATTATTTGTGATAGGTCCATAGAAACCCGGTGGAACAAACAAAAAGTGAGATGAGTAATAACACCTTGATAAATAAAGATGGCATAGCCATTAAAGTTGTAGTTTTTAGATACTAGAGCAGGAGCATCATTCATTTTATGACCCCATCTCCACCCATGGGAAGCTGATGAGTTTTGTGTATTGAATTCGAAGAGCAGAGAATGGGGGAAAAGGAGATTCCCCCATTGAAAACCTAGATAATGAGAGAGGCGGAACCAAAAGCAGACTCAGAACTTCACTGAGAATAATGGGGGTGTAGTAGTCAGGTGAGAGAGACTGGACTACCAAATCATCGTTGCTATCCAGTTATTCCAGATGAAAGATACTACTTTACATTTCTTAGGGCATCATTTTTAAGTGTTGGCTTTCAGATTAAATACTAGTTGAGAGTGGTGGGAAGACCCAGAAGGAATACTTAAACTATAATAAATATGTACTTTGTGTATCCATTATAAATATGTCTAACATCCCTGATAGCTTTACCCTAAGCTTTCTTGTTTAATGGTTAATTTTAGTGTCACAAATAAAGTTTGTGTTAATATTATTGGCTCTCTGTGTCTGGGAAATTTGATGGCTGTGCATCCCCTAGAGTTGCTGCTACCCAGTAGCCACTAGCCACATTTGGCCATTTAAATTAAAATTAACTTCAGTGCAACAAAATTAAAAACTCAGTTTTTCATTCATGCTAGCTATATTTCAGGTGCTCATTAGCAACACGTGACTAGTGACTACGGAGCAGTGCAGAGACAGAACATTTTTATTATCCCAGAGAGTCCAGAGTCTAGCTTGTGCTTTACTGGCAGACAGCCTTGAGCTAGAAGAGTGAGTTGTCATCACGTGCCTGGCATGTCATCTTGCTCTGTTCTGTAGGGTTACATAGAACAGTCTGGATTTAGAAAGGCTGAGTGAGTCTGGTGATTCAGTAGCACCTTTTACACCTGTTGATGGGATGCAGGGTAGAGGGTGGTTAAGAGTATGTATGGGCCGTAGAGGCAGAGCAGCTCTTCCAGCTGGGGGCTTGCTGGCTGTGTGACTTTGGGCAAGTCACTTACCTTTTCTGAACCTGCTTTCGCATCTGTAAAGCAGGGATGAAATAATGACTTCCTTGGGTTGTTAGGAGAATTATATTAGGTAAAGTAAGTGGAATAGAAATATCAAATACTTAGCATAGTGCCAGGCACATAGTAGTAAGCATTTGCTCAGTAGCAGTTTCTGAAATACTTATATTAATAATAATGGTCCTGGTTATTCTTGTTGACGTCAGTTCCTCTTTTCCTGATGTGTGCTTCTTTTTTTCCTTTTTTAAATTCTTTGTCTGTCTTTGCTGTATTTCTATTTCCCTTTATTTCTTTCTCTTAATGTATTTTTCTTCTGACTTAAGGGTCCTGCATAACCCTGTTAATGATATCCACGAATAAAGAATTTTCTGTCCCCTAATTGCTGTGGTGCAGTGAGCAGTGGGGAATAATTGTTATCAAAATGAAACTAAACCCTATAAGGATTCACAGAGTCACAATACTTTTGACCAGCATTCATGAAGAAGCCCTTACTTATGGGTCCGAGGGGCAGTGTGGAAATAATTGGCCAGTAGATATGGGGCCCATGAACCTCACCTCATTAGTGTCCACCTGGCACTGACTGATCAGCACACTATAACATCATGAGAAAGATGGCGGGAAGATCCCTGGTAATTATACATTTTTACTTACGTAGCAACAAAGGAGAGAGCGGGAAGCTAGAAGGCAGCAGGAACGTGAACAGCGAAGGAGAGAACAAGAAGAAAAGAGGCGTCTAGAGGAGTTGGAGAGAAGGCGCAAAGAAGAAGAGGAGAGGAGACGGGCAGAAGAAGAAAAGAGGAGAGTTGAAAGAGAACAGGTTAGTTCACAGATAACATAGCAGGCATACACTTGTGAAGTTTGTTACTTTGCAGAGCTGGGGGATTTTTAGAAAGTATACACACATGTGATGCATACACACATGTACACACATACACATATACTTAGAACTTCAGATGTATGAACGTGGTGAAACACAGTTGGAATGACACCAATAAATTCAGTCTCTTGTCTTAAAAAGGGTTTATAAATCATTACACTTTAGGAACCTGTTGAAACCAGTTAAGTGGTCTCTAAATAGTATAATACCTGAAAGATGTCTGCATGTATCTTCTCAGGCTTGGCTTAAATGCTGTAGACCCCAAATATATGGGTGATAATTAACTTTTAAAAAAAAAATGAAATTAAAAACCAACAGTAAGAAATTTCTTAGGAGAAATATTTGAATATCCAGTGGCTAAGTGAATACTGTAATATATATCAGCATGTAATTCTGTATATACACAGCACATTAAAAAAACTAACATTGATGAGTTCAACCAAAAAAGATCAGGTTTTAATAATATTTGCAGCATTTTATTAATGTCAGGTATGATTTTATTTAGAATTATTTTTTTGTTTCCTGAACCACCTGTACAAATACAATTTGCCCTTAGCCCCTTTGCCTTTCTTGTCTTTGAATTGATCTCTTTGTTATGAGCTTGGAATAAAGAAAAAAATGATATGTGAGGACCAATTTAAATAGCACTTGGTATCTGTATTTTAAACTTATAAACCATGGTGTTAACTTTCAAATGTGACTGTTCAGCTGCCGTCCTTTATGCTTATCATGTGTCTTGGGCTTTCTAAGCTTGGGTCTGCATGCTCCTCGGTGTTTTCCCAGGAATTTCAGTGACGCTTTTTATGTTACCTAATTGACGTTGTCAACCATTTAACTGTGTAGCGCGTGTGCTTTAACATTCCACTTATGTTTATACCTGGGGTCTGCAAAGAGGAAAACATTCAAGCTTTTAAGAATTAAATCACCTAGAAATAATGATTACAGTTCGATCATGAGAGGAGGGTGTGATGGTAGCAATTCATCTTTAATGCTCTAGTGGCAGTCATTAAATTTTGTGAATAGCAAGTATTTGGCACCACTTTTAAAAAAAAAAATTCTAAAATCGGTTTTATTCTGTTTTTCCCTGTTCTATTGTGAAATAGTAATTCCCATGTTAACAGTGCTGTAGGACGCATTTCATTTCAGCATAAGTGTGTATGTTTGTGTAGATGCGTGTTGTGTATTGTTTGTTCATTGACTATGTGTTAGGACCTTTGTGGTTTGGAGAGGACATGATTTTTCCAGCTGTCCCTGTGTTGAGGGCAGAAAACAAATGAGTGTACTGACTTGATCTTTCGAGTTAAGATTTAATTCTGTTTTGTTCAAAAAAGAAAATGAGTTGAAAGTCAGGTTCCTTTGCTCCGTCACAGTTGGGTTAAGGCCACAAGCCTTGCTAGGGTAGGTATTGCTGTAGCATGTACCATGGAGGGTCAGACATAGACACAAGAGACGTAGATCCCAGGTCAGAACCAGATATGTTTGTCAGTAGCCTTCTGACTAAGTCCGCCCCACCCCTCTGCCCACACCCCCCCAGTTGGCTTTTTTGGCTCAGTTTTCTTTGTAAAGTAAGGTTTTCTAAGGATTTTTATATGCTGTAATTTCAATATTCTCCCAGAGATATTGGTTAACTAAAACTTCTGTTCAGCCCATATTGATGGCTATTTTTGTTTCAAGGTGTGCACCATGACACAAGGGGATGGTCAGCAGTAGACACTCTTAAAAGGGAATCTGAATTTCAGGATAAAATGTCTCCTCGTAGTCCTTCTTAGTCTATTCCTCTTCTAGAGCTTTTTTCCCTGTCCAAAAAAAGGAAGCCTCTTTGGCTTGTAAAATGTTTTATGCTTTTCAAGGTTATTTCATATCAATCTCATGTCTGAACCTTACAAAAATTCCTGAGGGTTGGGAGAGGAGATTTTGGATGCTCATTTCTCAAATGAGGAGACTGAGAAAAGGGGAGCTTTAGAGCATGCTAGGGATCATAGAGCCAGTCCTCAGTGGAACAGGGACTGAGGCCTCCTGGTATCCCTGTCCTTTATAATACGCATGCAGCTTTGAAGTAGGGTTTTACCCCTCTCTATAACATATTTGGGATGTGTTTACTTGTTTTCATTGTTATAATGACTAATCATTCTCTTCTCATTGAAAAGAAAAACCACCCCATCCTCACTTCCTGCTGTCTTTCTCTCCCCTTGTCCTTGTCTGTCTCTGTCTGTCACACACACACAAGCTCATCATGGAGCCTGGGTCTGTTCATTTGAGGAGAGTTGCCCAAGTCTGGAATGTAGTCATTCCAGGTGCCTTTGGAATTGTTAGTGAAAGCATGAATCATGTTTGTTGTATTTTATTATTAAGCAGGTTTTGGTTTTAGGTTTCAAAAATTGGTGATCTGTGCTTGTTACAAATAATGACTAATAAGCAGATGTTTACTAATCAGAACCCTCTGATACTTTTTAATTAAAATCTTGATTTCTCTGGGGTTTACCAACCTTAAGAGGAATGGCATACTGTTTTAAAATTCTGTATTTGTTTACAACAGCTGTGTTCTAACAGAAGTACTCTTAGATCCCTTCGTGTATATTATGGGAATGCATATCATCATTTGTTAGACTCCTTAGGTCTTACTGGCCAATTTGAAGTTCTTGGAGAAATCTTTAGCAATAGATTTTCTTCAGGTATTTACCACTAAGTGAATTGTCACTAAAGGTGATTGGAGCAAATGGTTCTTGGTGCTCCATTCAGGTGGTTCTGATGCTTTTCTTTGGGATAATTTGATTGCTGGGTGATTTCTGTGTGACAGGAGTATATCAGGCGACAGCTAGAAGAGGAGCAGCGGCACTTGGAAGTCCTTCAGCAGCAGCTGCTCCAGGAGCAGGCCATGTTACTGGTAAAGCCCCGCCTCTGTTTCATTCTGTAGCATCAGGGCTCCTTCATCCGTCCCCAAAGTTGAGCAAGCTGTGGTGGTCACCAGACCATTTTGGTTTTGCTGTGGGCAGCCAGGCTGAAATAGTGATGCCCATTTTGTGGTCCTATTGCTAGCACATTGCAACATGGTCTTTATTTATTTATATCTCTTTAATAAGTTAATTGTTCTTGTTTGGTAGACCAACAAGGTTTTGAACAGAACTTGGCACTCAGTGAACACACTAGAATGCTGAGGGCAGTAGGTTGAAAGCACATGTCACAGGATTTTTACCTAGTATCTATACCACTAAAACTCACATTTAATTGAATTATCTCTTACTCTGTCCAATGATAATTATGGTTAGCAACAGCTGTGAGATTTTTCCACAGGTAATGTGCTATTTAAAATCCCAGCCATTTTGCTTTCTTACAAAACACAGAGGGAAAATATATGGTCACTTTTTTTAAAAGCCGAACAAATCCAGAGAAGAGGCGAGCTCTCCAGTGTCCCATAGATTTAGTGTTATCCTCTCCCTCTCCAAGGAGTGCCGATGGCGGGAGATGGAGGAGCACCGGCAGGCAGAGAGGCTCCAGAGGCAGTTGCAACAAGAACAAGCATATCTCCTGTCTCTACAGCATGACCATAGGAGGCCGCACCCGCAGCACTCGCAGCAGCCGCCACCACCGCAGCAGGAAAGGAGCAAGCCAAGCTTCCATGCTCCCGAGCCCAAAGCCCACTACGAGCCTGCTGACCGAGCGCGAGAGGTATCCTCTTTCCTTTGTCACTTAGACATTGCCCTGGAAAGTCGTATAACGACTCTTCAGAACTGTGTCATATGAGTTCTAGAACGGGCCATAGAGTTTAGCTAATTATCTGGTTTCTTCATTTTCTAACTAGGAAATTGAATTTCAGAGGAGTGGAGGGCCTTGCCCAAGGTTTCATATTCAGTCAGTGCTTTTTCCATAAAGGACCAGAGTGCCTCAGTTAACATATCCCAGAAGAACTTGAAACTGAACTAAACTAAAAGATTACATGACACAGTCACTCTTAAAAATGTGGATGAGGGAAAGAGTGGTCTGATGAACTATTCTGCCAAGCTAGTATAAAGCTAAAGTGTGCCTGTGGCTCAACTTTCTGACTTTGCAGATGTCAAGATGCCCTGCTAGATTGGTGCATTAGGGTTACCCAGAGCCTCAGAGTAGGCTGCGGCAGGGACTGCTCGGGGGTGCAAGATGGGCGACAGGTGTGCCTCCAGAGGTGTTGAATCCCGGCCCACAGGTGGCAGCAGCCTTCTATTGTGTCTGCCCTCACAGGCAGTAGATTCTAGAAACAAGTGTTCTGTTTGTTCTGGAGTGCTTTTATATTTGGTGGAGTGAAATGCATTCCGGATTTCTGATGATAGTTTTTTAGTCTGTTGGTTTAGTTGCTTGTGACAGATTAATTTTTTTCTACTTCATCATCATATACAGTCTTAGAATTCTGAGCAAGGAGGAGAGCTTAGAGACTGCCTTGCTAATTTTTATCTTCATAAATATTTTCTTTTTCCTGAATCTAATCCTAGCACTGCTTTATGTACCTTCTTTTTTCCAGCTACCCCTCTCTTTTCTGGTAGCAGAAGAAAACAGAAAACTTACCTTTAGATTTCTTCCACTTTTAGACTTTCTTTGATATTTCTGCTTTTCCCCTACTAACACTGAGTTATGTCTTCTAATTCTCTGATGCAGGTGGAAGATAGATTTAGGAAAACTAACCACAGCTCCCCTGAAGCCCAGTCTAAGCAGACAGGCAGAGTATTGGAGCCACCAGTGCCTTCCCGATCAGAGTCTTTTTCCAATGGCAACTCCGAGTCTGTGCATCCCGCCCTGCAGAGACCAGCGGAGCCACAGGTAGCGACAGCCAGCTTTGCTGTGGTTGAGGAGACTCATGCAACGGCTCGCTGAGCCGCAGGCCTGCTGTAATATCACAGTTTAGTTTGTCACCACACTGAAAAAGAGGAGAGATTAGCAGGAGTGAGTTTAGACTAAAAGAAGGCATAGACTCAGTTGATAGGGAAATATCTTTTTCTTTCTTTTTGAGATTTCTATGTACTCATTAAGAGTATCTAGAGTGAGTGATTTCTTCTAACTTTTTGCCTTCCCTAACTCAGGTGTTAAGTGCCTCCTTTTTCTGATACAAAGATCTTTTAGTTTAGTTTTTAGAGAACTGGGATTATAAATACATAGAGGGAGAGCCAGGAATTTTCTTTGAAGTATTTTAAAAGTAAGCGCTTTACTGTGTGAGCCCTGGCTCTTGGCCAGTCCTATGAATGGGCCTTAGATGATGCCCCTGAAATTGCATGCAAAATGTCTTTATTTGCTCAAATGTGTATTTTTTGTGGGGGTGGGGGGAATGACCTTTTATCAGATTCTCACAGGGTTCAAGATCCAAAAAAGTTTAGATCTAGTGGGTTAGGTGTGGATTTCTCTGAAATAGGCCAGGGAAAAGGCTGTGACCTCTCCTTGGGTCTGCTGCAGCGTTCTAGCCTTGGCTAGGTGAGGGGAACTGTTGGGCCGATGCTGTGTGGCTGGAGCAGAACCCACAGTGCTGTCCATAGAGGAGAACAAGCAACGAAGATCATGGCTAAAGATCTTAGAGATCCTTAAAATGCCGATTCCTAATCTCTTGCTGAAAACTACTGACTTTTAGATATTTTCCCGCTTGCCACTCTGTAATCCAGAATATTAGGAACAAGTTCTTAAACTCGAGTTTACTTTTCACTGGTGTTTGCATGTGTGGGGGACAAAAGTTTATGTTCTTGTGGCAGGAAACTGTGGGATCTGCAGCATGGAGGAGTTAAAAAAAAAAAAAAAAGGGCTGGGGCACAGTGGCACGTGCCTGAAATCCCAGCACTTTGGGAGGCCGAGGCAGGCAGATCACCTGAGGTCAGGAGTTCGAGACCAGCCTGGCCAACCTGGCAAAACCCCATTTCTGCTAAAAATATAAAAATCAGCCGGGTGTGGTGGCAGGCACCTGTAATCCCAGCTACTCAGGAGGCTGAGGCAGGAGAATAACTTGAACCCAGGAGTGGAGTTTGCAGCTTGCAGTGAGCTGAGATAGTGCTACTGCATGCCAGCCTGAGTGACAGAGTGAGACTCCATCTTAAAAAAAAAAAAAAAAAAAAAAAAAAAAGGAACAGCTAGGACTGAGGCCAGGGCTGTGTGAGGGTGAGTGGGTATTTCCATGGGACCAGCAGTTTTTTGAGTCCCAGGAGAGCTAGCAGATGGGTAGCTCCAGAGAGGAGAGGATAGAAAGGAAAGAGGAAAGCAGGAGAGGGTAACTGGACACAATTAAAAGAGGATGAGAAGAGAGACTACTAGAATAGGTCTGAGGACTCGTGTTCTTTAGCAACTTTGCACTGCTTGAAGATTAAAAGTTTTCACACTGCAAGTTAAACTTCGCATAAATGGACAATCTTTGGCCACTAATAGTTTAGAAAATAGGAGTTTCTGAATTATCTAATTTTTGCATTTGTTATGAATTTGTGTAGTAACTAGAAAGAGTCTCCCATTTCCTCCTCCTGTTCATTCTTTGGGGGAGACTTTTCTCGTGTAGGACTCTATTTTAAAACTCATTTTTGATTATAATTTCAGGTAATACTTTGAATTACATGCTTTATCTCTGAAAATCTTAAACATTTTAGAAGTCTAGGATTATACCAATATCTGGTATTATACAAATCTCACCTGTATATTGTAGAAATCATACAATAGAACTAATTTCACATCTTGTATTTGGAAAGGTTGAACAAATTGATTCAGTATTTTCAGTTTATGTCAAGTACATTGATGTAATAGATATGTAGCTATCATTTTTTCAGTTGCCATATTGAACAATCATTTTAGAACAGTAAAACATAATTTAATGAAAATATTTTATGGATTTTTTCAGAGATCATTTTCCCAATTTAGAAGCAACCAGATAAACTCAGTTGACAAGTAATTGTCATATTTTTGTAATTTCCCAAGTGGAAGGAATACCCCAACAATAGTCAATTCAGGGAATCCATGGTACTGAATATTTTTAAAGAAATCACAATTCTTTATTTTCATCACTAATATGAAAGTATATGGAGATACCTGGGTTATGGGTGTTTGTAGACTTGGGAAAAATAAGAAAAATTGTTGGTATATTTGAAAAATTAGCTGTTCTTGAGATATTATAGTCTCAAAACGTGGGGTTTGTCTTTGCTCGTTGAACGTGCCATTTTGTTACTCGCTCTGGTGTAAAATGTGACACTGCAGGTAATGTGAGGATGGCTAGGTAGGTTTGCACATTTGGCAGTGCGCTTTATCTTACAATTTTTCTGCCTCTCTCTGCCTTTCCAGTCTCTGCTTTGACATGGATGTGCATGCAACACATCATAACCCCTTTGGGCTCTGAGAGCCTCTTTGTGGGGAAAAAAAAAATAAAAATCTTCACATTAACTGCTATCTGTAATGTTTGTCTGGATATTAAAAAGAGTTTTCCTTGTAAATGTACATTTGTTCTTTTCTACATACTGTGTTCCCAGACCACTTCTTCACTTTGAAGTGTAACTGTTTCACTGCGTGGCTGACCTAACACTGTACCACCCCGGTGTGTATTCCGCCTCTGCCAGTTCCTGCTTTGGATTTGGTATTGACCAGAAAAGCCAGTTTTATGCAGAACGCATTGAATGTTTTGTGTTTTGTTTTCTTGTAAGGTACAGTGGTCCCACCTGGCATCTCTCAAGAACAATGTTTCCCCTGTCTCGCGATCCCATTCCTTCAGTGACCCTTCTCCCAAATTTGCACACCACCATCTTCGTTCTCAGGACCCATGTCCACCTTCCCGCAGTGAGGTGCTCAGTCAGAGCTCTGACTCTAAGTCAGAGGCGCCTGACCCTACCCAAAAGGCTTGGTCTAGATCAGACAGTGACGAGGTGCCTCCAAGGGTAAGGAGCAGAAAGACAGATGTGTGCTGCTTTTTTCCTTTTTGTTATTTTTTTTTAAAGATTATTTATTTTAATTATGGGTATGCAACTTGACCAAATTTAAAGGGGCATTGAAATTTCAAAGGGACTTTTTACTGGTGAGGATAAAGTTCCATAGTTAGGCAATTCTGTTTAGCCAGTGGTCAGTTAGCGTTTTATTTTTGTTAACCCTAAATAAGGTAGCAAAATGATGTAAGAGTAAGTCTACAAAGAATAGGCTTCTTAAACAAATTCATAATCTATTTTAGCAGTTTTTTATATGTTTATACAGAAGCTATGCAGTTTTGCAATATTAATGTCAAAATTTTTAGAAAAAGTCCTATAAGAAAAATTTTATTTTCTTTTTAAATGTAGGGGATTTTGTTTTGTTTTTGTGTTTACATAATAGTGAAATTAAACAAAGGAGCCCATGTCAATTTATTTTTCCTCATTTGGAATTTGCTTCCTCTGAATATTTTCTTGCTTCCTGCTAGTCTTTGCTTCCTGCTGATCCATTTATAGACCATTGTTTGGTTTCTTTGAGCTTATTTTCCTGATTCTCACATTATCTCAGCAAATGCTTTGTATGTCCCTGCTACCAAGCTTCAGTCCAAACATCATTTAAATGTTACAGGAGCATAGAAAGCCTGTTTGTACTGGCTTCTTGGATGCTTGTGACTAAATTTTCTCTCCGATTGTATCAGTGTAGGACCAGGGAAGGAGTTGGGGTGGGGAGTGGAGGTGATAGGAAGGACTGCTTTTAAATATTAGGACTGCTTTAAAAATATATTTTGGTAGGGAAGTATTTTTTTTCCTTTTCATGTTTTCAATAATTTAATTGCTATATTTTCTACTTAAAGGTTCCTGTGAGAACAACATCTCGCTCCCCTGTTCTGTCCCGTCGAGATTCCCCACTGCAGGGCAGTGGGCAGCAGAATAGCCAGGCAGGACAGAGAAACTCCACCAGGTAAAAGACAAGTGAGCACTGAGAACAGGCCTTCTGTGCAGTCTACCACAGCCTTACATTGTCTGTTTCATAAAAATGCTCTTAAACACAGACGTTCTGGGGCTAAGAGATTATCAGTTATAAAAGGAAAAGCTGCCATAAAATCCATCAACGTGGATGGCATCAAGTTGATGTGTAGTAAAAAGTGGGTTTGAATCCGGATGTGTATTATAGCAACTCTGAAATTTAAACTACTTTTCTCTGTAAGAGTAAATGGAGGGAGCAGCAAGGAAGGGGGAGAAGTTCTAAGAGAATTGTGATCGGGGGGAGCTTTTCATCTAAGGGATGTTGTAAGGCCTGTGGCATAAAACAGAAATCACAAACAGGTTACTAAAGAAGTCACTGGTTGACTTCACAGTCTGCAGTAAACAAGTGAATTCACCAAATACTATCCTTTTTAGGTTCTAGAGCTGCTCTGTCCAGTACGATTAGCTACAGAAGCTTCCTTATATTTAAATTAAAGTTTAAGTTTAGTTAAAATGAAATACAGTGGAAACTTCATTCCTTAGTGCACTGGGTATATTCATGAGCTCTATAGCCACATATAGCTAGTGGCTATGATATTATCCAGCTCAAATATAGAACATTTTCATCATAACAGAACGCTTCATTGACCAGCACTATCATAGGGAAGAAAAGATGATTATGTTGAATGTTTTATATCTTGATCATCACTGAACCTCTAAAGTTAGCCTTCTGCGCATGGAACCTTGGTCTGACTTGAGGTGTCAGATGGATGATAGCCCAAAAGCTGCACAGAATCCTCAGCACTGCTAATGGCAGGGGGACTGTGGTGTTCTTCCCTGACCAAGTCTGTGTCATTAATTCTTACCTAGCACATGTGTGCTTTGGGTCCATCCATGGCAGGAAATCCATCCCAGCTCATGCTTTCTGTACCGTTTCCAACAGCCCATACAAAGGACTATTCTTTGTAAGTGTCAGTTTTTGAGAACAGTAACAGGCAGGTGAGAGCAGCAGCCTAGAAACAGAATATAGTTTTGTGTATAATTATACAAATACGGAGTGTTTTCCTAATATTAAGAACTGACTTGTAGCTGTGACAGAAATGGTGCTGCTTCTACACTGAACAGTAGCATTGTATCTCACACCTGATGATTTTAGATCTACTAATGGTAGGATATCATTTAGCATACAAACTAAAAATCGATAAAAATCCATGAACAATGTCATTATATCTTTTGGTGAATTTAATGTTGAGTGCTGTTTATAGACTGTTTTTTGTCTCCCTACACTTTAAAGACATTGGATGGGCACACCATGCACATGTTGGTAATTTGGTGCTGCATCTAGAGATGACACATTAGCTGTTCTCTCTTCTTCTTTTCTAACAGCAGTATTGAGCCCAGGCTTCTGTGGGAGAGAGTGGAGAAGCTGGTGCCCAGACCTGGCAGTGGCAGCTCCTCAGGGTCCAGCAACTCAGGATCCCAGCCCGGGTCTCACCCTGGGTCTCAGAGTGGCTCCGGGGAACGCTTCAGAGTGAGATGTAAGCTGCCTTTCCTTTCCTTTTTCCCTGCTAATGTTTTGAGCTGTGATCCATATCTTGGAAGTTTGTCTTAATCTGTAGTTTGCGTGTAGCCACACGTCACAAAACAATGTTTTAGCATAGGTTGCTAGTGACAATAATAGTCATCCTGATTTTAATCATAAAGGAGCTAAATTTTGAGAGCTTTATATATACCTAGCACTGTGAGCGCTTTACAATTTAGTGGGATTAACTAACTTTCCCAAGGTAATTGGCTAATGTGTGAGCTAGGATTTGAACCCATTTCTTTCGGTCTGGGCTCCAGAGCCTATACTGTCATCAATATTGGTTATTTTAATGTACTCATAATAGATGAGTGAATATTCCCTCTACTGTATTATTGACATACCATGACAAGGTATATATTGTGAACACGTGTCAAAGTGAGTGTGATGATGGAGGGTTTAAGTAAAGAGTCAGGAAGGCTGCTGGAGCCCTCCTTGGGCCCCCTCTGCTCTGTAATTCAGACCTGCAGGTGGAGAGCCTACCATGAGTGGGCAGACAGGAGTGGGCGGGGTGGGCAGGGCAGCTTCATAATACACATCCATATGTTGATATGTGTCTGTCCATCTTGTCCCTTTTGAACCCAACAGCATCATCCAAGTCTGAAGGCTCTCCATCTCAGCGCCTGGAAAATGCAGTGAAAAAACCTGAAGATAAAAAGGAAGTTTTCAGACCCCTCAAGCCTGCTGTAAGGATTGTGCAGGATCAGTTTTACTTATTTCAGACTTGAATGAGATCTTTCTATTAAAAATATGTGGTTGAGAGGCCTGCAGTCTTTTCTGCGAGGGCCCCTCACAGATTTGAGGAATTATAAGGAATGACCTAAACCCCAGACATACTTGTTCCCTTCCATTGGTATCGTCTGCTTTCCCTGTATAAAGTCTCAAGTGAGTAAAACCTTTTTTCTGTTGTTCCAGCCATACACTTGGTGTACAGTCAGCCTTACAAAATTATGCAGAACAAAGTATAGTTCTTATTTAATGAAATTTCCTTCTAAGGAAACTGATGCTTTAAAAAAAATACAAAAGAAAGAAAAGCCTTTTTATCTCTTTCTTGGCATTAACCTTTACTTATTCTTCGTGAGTTCAGCATTTACAATACTGGCTTTTAGACTAAGTTTTTAAAAATCACCTTCTTAAACTCACTGGTTGCCTACCTTCTGCTTTTTGGTACCTGGGGTGATAGTTGTGACTGCTTCTCACCCTTCTCTTTTAATCCCTCTGATGTTACCTGACCATGTAATTGTGCACGCTTTGTGGAATTTTAAGCCTGTCAGAGTTTTCATTTCCTGCTTGAACTGATTTCTGTACTTCTCCCTCTCCCCTTCTTTCTCCCGCGCTTCCTTGTACTGTGCATTCCTCATCAACGATGGCTTCTCGGACTCCACGAAACTGCGCTGTACTGAAGGGCGAAGTGGTAAGCGCCATCTCTGAAAAGTTCCACTTCAGAGCAGCACTCCGACCGCCTGTCAGCTCAGCTTGTATTCGAGCTGCGGTCCTGCTCCTTCCTCAACTTGACTTCTTGTTCTTTTCTAGAATTTAAAAACCTCAAACTTTACTCCAGTTTTCTTAACATAACATTTGCTGTATTTATTGTTATTAAATGTAGCTTTTTTGAGTAACTGTTTAAAAAGCTTCAGCTATAACCACGAAATACTAATAGCAAGACTCAGAGCCCATCACTGTTATTTCAGTGGCTCAAGCTCAAAGAAAAGAAACATTCTCAACTATGAAGAAAATAGAAAACCAAGTTGGAACTGCTAGAAATTAAAGACAGAAAGAGCTACATAGACTGCGTTTTTAAAAAGTGATTACTTTTACATAAAATTCCCCAAAAAAGATGAATTTGGAGTTTTATATGAAAATGTGGAGTATAAATAGTAATCACTCTTGAAAATTATATTTGGTGGATTGATTGAGTCTTAGAGTATCTCAGTGTGGAAGAGTAAAGGGAAACTAAGCCTTTTGAACAAATTCCACTATTGATTTCTTTCTGATGTTCCCTTTTATACGTGGTGTCACAGGGTGATGTGGGTAAGGCTTGAAGGAGGGCGTTAGGGACGCCCACAGCCTCCTGCCCCCAGCACTCAGGGTCGCAGTGTCTCTTCATGTGTCACAGACTTGTCCATGAATGTGGCAGGTTGTGAACAGTCGGTGAAGTGAGATGTCAGTGGCATCCTAGTGCTCACTTCACTCCTTTCATTTTAATGTAGGTTTGAAGTTTTTTTTTTTTCAGTATGAGGTAAAATTCTAGATCAACAAATGTATATACACAGATCCTTGAGCTTTGGTGTAAAGACACATGTCTATATGACAAAGTCTTCTTTAAAGGGGTCAGTCCAGAAAGCAAGCCTCTAGTTAAATAAGCCTGATTTAAAGAGTTTTGGGAGGGAAGTTATGTTTCTACAACTTTTATTAATAAAATATTAAACCTAAAATGTTGATTTTAGTAAAATATTAATATTTATTACTAAAATTTCATAAATATCCTATAACTAGTAAATAAAAACATTAAATATTAAACCTTAGCGCTTTGAAGTTTTTAATAATAAAAGTTGAAGTAAAATAAAAATGTGTCTCTCAAAACCTTTTTTATGAGTCTAAAGAAGACTTTGTCATGTAGGGAGATCTCCTTACAACAAAGTCCAAGAGTCTGTGTATATACATTTGTTGATCTAGAATTTTACCTCATATTAAAAAACAACAGTAATACTATCAGCTTAACATAAGCAGATCTTTTTTTTATTGTCATGGGATTTGAACTGTATATGACATCTTTGACTTTTTTTTGGTGTCTTCTATTTTTTTTTTTTAATCTCTCTCTTGACTTTATTTGGTCTTTTCTATCAAAAGCCATAGGAGCTCACTTTCTCATGAAACTGGGTAACTATAAAAGTCTTACAAAACTGACATTGTGGCAATTTATGGTTAAAGAACTTCTCATCTTCTCCTGTCCCTGCTCCTGCTTGCCTTACTCTCTCTTTTCTGTCCTTTGCTTTAGGATCTGACCGCACTGGCCAAAGAGCTTCGAGCAGTGGAAGATGTACGGCCACCTCACAAAGTAACGGACTACTCCTCATCCAGTGAGGAGTCGGGGACGACGGATGAGGAGGACGACGATGTGGAGCAGGAAGGGGCTGACGAGTCCACCTCAGGACCAGAGGACACCAGAGCAGCGTCAGTCCCCGGTCTCTTTTAGAGCGGATGAGAGTATTCTCTCAGAGCCTGCTTTCCACTGGGACCTAGTTGTTCCTAGACTATTCCGTGACCCCATGAGCACTTACTATGTAGTTCTCGTGGATTCAGCAGCAGGTCGCCTTGTGTTTCCCCTTCTCTTCGTTGGTGTGTGCATATGTCAGTGCTTCCCCCAGCACCCCAGCGTGTACTTTATTTTTTCCTTTTGATTTGAGGATATATGATCCAGGGGAAATTTCAGTTTGGTATAACTACTTTAATTAGCCATAATTATTCATTCTAAGTTTTTGCTCAGAAACAAATGGCACTGGAAAGAAATTCTTTGTTAAAGGGAGAAAGCTAAGCAGTTGCTTTTTTGGAGGAGGCTTTATATCGGTAGCCTCATCTCATGTTTTGATTTTGAGAAGGCGAAAAGCCTAAACAGGATCTCCTTGACTCCAGAGATTAAGGCCTTTCACGTCTGGATTTTTTCTCCATAGGTCATCTCTGAATTTGAGCAATGGTGAAACGGAATCTGTGAAAACCATGATTGTCCATGATGATGTAGAAAGTGAGCCGGCCATGACCCCATCCAAGGAGGGCACTCTAATCGTCCGCCAGGTACCCGTGTCTTCTCTGTTGTCAGAGGCTGAGCTTCTCCTGTGGTCATTAACCCACTTGCTCATTCACTCACTCATGCTGTTTCTCCATCATCATCTGTTTTCATGTTAACAAGTCCCAGAGGGTCAAGTGTCGAGTGTCGGGGGCTAGGGAGGCAGGTGTGTACTGCATGCCCAGAAGGTAGCGAGTAGTCTCCACCCCACATCGCTGCTCCTCTGCATGTCTGCGGCAGCCCTCATTCAAGCACCGCGCTGAGTCTCACAGTCTATGTCTGAGCGGGAGAGAAGCCACAGGGAGTCCTTAAACAGGCTCACAGAGTGAGGAAGCAGGTCTGGAGTCTGGCAGAGCAGCCACCATGGCTCTGCAGAGCACGCTGGGCTCTGAGTGTCTGCAGTGCCACAGTGGGAGCGGGTGAGGCAGGCAGGACGAGCCTCATCACAGGCCCAGAGACTCGGAGAGCAGAAGGGTTCGGGAGGTTTCTCTTCTATGTTCCAAAATGTTAGTTTTCTCACTTGTTGAATAATTAAATGTGTGCCACCCAGATATGCTCAGTTTGGATCACTAAGCTTTATAACTGTCTGTTCATTTCTTAGCTTAGACTTAATTAAAGTGATACGCTTCTCATTTAAATAGAACAGGGCACCTATTTAGTATTTTGGACTTTGCCCTAAGTGTGTTTCATGCTATGGCAATGCATTCGGATGGAAAGTAGGAAGAATGTGGAAAAGACCAGGATTCAGAGAATCCACAGGTACTTTCTGGAGCTTTGCAAAGAAAGATTTAAAAAGAAAAAAAAAAGGATACTGGTTTTGGTAACAGAAGCTAGCGCAACAGATAAACCAGATTAAACACTCACTGCTCGAGCCGTGCAGCCACCAGATTAGGTACTTTGAATTCTGTTGGCACAAGTTAGGCATTTGGTGAGGAAGTGTGAGCAGTTCAGGCTAATTTCTTTGGTTTTTCCTTGGTAATTTAGCAGAGTTTATAAGTCACACAGCACCTTAAAGCAGTTATCAATAGGGCCATAGGCAATTTTAGCAGCGCTTGAGCGAGACAAGTGTGCCTGTTTTTTCTACAGAGTACAGTTGACCAAAAGCGTGCCAGCCATCATGAGAGCAATGGCTTTGCCGGTCGCATTCACCTCTTGCCAGATCTCTTACAGCAAAGCCATTCCTCCTCCACTTCCTCCACCTCCTCCTCCCCATCCTCCAGCCAGCCGACACCCACCATGTCCCCACAGACACCCCAGGACAAGCTCACTGCTAATGAGGTATGTCTCGCACCACAGCTGGCTGCTTTCCTGGGGTTAGACCAGCACTGCCTAGGAGTTAGTTTGCAAAGGAGACCTTTCCAACACCCTCACCCCTTCCCTTCCCACCCTGCTTTCTCTGTCACCTACCCTTCTCCCCAACCCCAAGTAACATGTTTCAGATCTGCATATAAACCCCTTAACCCTAGATCAGCTCCCCCAAACTTGCCAGTTCACTGTTTACTGTTCTGTAGATAAGTATAGTTGCATGGCTTTATCTAGTTTATTTTTTAAAAATCTAAATAAAATGATTGCTCTGTCCTCAGACCGGTATTATGTATTTGGCATGAAATTCTTATAGTCATTTGTGGAATCTGCCTTTTTCATTCTTTTTATCCAATAAATAAAATATAGGAAGATTCGGTTCAGCAGGCTTGGCCTTATCTGGACAAACTTATTATCCTGTACAGGAATCTCTTTCAAACAGAACTGATTTTTTTTTTTTTTCTTGTTTGGGGGGTGGGTTGTTGGCTGATTACTCTTACTTGTTTTCACCAACCCTGTTAAGGAGTTTGTTCTTTGACATTTACAATCACTCAGAGGTTTAGAAGCCAAATTATTTTTGGGAAACCTAGAAAAAATTAGGATGTTAAGCAAGAAGGACAAAGGTTTGAGCTTGTTTTTAATTTAAAATTTTGTGTGGGAAATCTGTGTGCTCCTTTGAAGGCTTGGTTGTGGTGCTCGGTCTGGGTGTTAGCTCAGTCTGGGTGATTCTTTGCTCTTTGAACAGGGTTATACTCCAGGTGTAGTGACATAGCCCACTTGAGCACCCGTATTGAATTAAACAAGTGATTTGATTCCACAGAAGATTTGGTTTAAGTGTCTTTATCTACCAGTTGAGGGAGGTTAGAAAGAATCAGAAAAATCCTCTCCTCCGGAGGAGCAGTGGCAAGTCAACTGCTTCCTAGACAGGCTTGGCATCGGCTAGACTGGCTCCTGACTCATGGGACAGGGAGGGAAGCTGCCAGGGGACAGATGTTCAGGTGGGAAGCTTAGGGGAGGGCATGGGCTCTAGGACATGGTGACCCTCAGGTGTCCATGGAGGGGGTCCAATGGTACAGGACAAAAGCACTTGATCAGACATGTTCCTTTTTTCTCCTGAGGTATATATCCCACCTACACTCACATTCTTCCTTATATTTATATTTTAAACTTTGCTCCATTTCGCTCTAATGTGCAGTATTTTACTATAACCCTTAACTCACTAAACCGGCAAATTTATTTTTCTGTTTGTTTTGTTTTTAATTGTCATTACATTTCCACTTAACAATTTGTTTCACTTCCTTTGTGTTTTTTTGTCTTAAGTTACATTATTAACCAAAACACTAGTGCTCCTAAAAGATCAAAAAGATACGCCTTCTTTTGTCATTTGCACCTTTCACTAATGAGTCCTCATTTGGTATGGGTTTAATGGTGATGCACCTAAAACAACAGTAGCCAAAGCTTCTGTAGCTTTCTGGCAAGAGGCTCAATTTAAAATAACTACAATTATTAACAATTGCCAATATTCCAGCATAGATTATTTGGACTCTTGGGTAGGAGAATAAATTCAGAAGTTGGTGAATTGAGATCAAGACATTTCAGACCTCCTTTAGGAGTTTCATTATAAGTATTTACTTAATTTTTTTTTAAAGCTAGGCACATGAAGTCTAGATTTCATTGGTAGCTTGCAGCACTGCTTTGTAAGTGAGCAATGTCTCTGGTAGAGATACGGCTCCTGCAGTGGTTCCAGGTAAAGCTGCCCTGAGGGGTGCTATGCCACGTGGAAGCTCCCCGCAGAGCATTTTTTGGGGGAATGATGCAAGGCAAATAGAGCAAAGTATTGGGAAATAGTGCAATATAGAAGTGAATTGAAATGTGTATTTTTAATGTTCATTTTTAAAATGCCAGTTGTATTAATAACATTGAAATTTACATTGCAGACTCAGTCCGCTAGTAGCACACTCCAGAAACACAAATCTTCCTCCTCCTTTACACCTTTTATAGACCCCAGATTACTACAGATTTCTCCATCTAGCGGAACAACAGTGACATCTGTGGGTAAGTACAGTAGCAACAAGAAAGCAGCTGACAAATGGGACTTTATCTTTGAGTTGCTCTTTTGGGTGGCTTAGGTGTAGCTGGTTGTTCACAGGCACAGACCTCGGGTACAGAAACTTCCCATCCCAGTTGTATGCCTTATTTGCAATGAGATGCAGAGTCCATTTCCTTTTTCCATATACATTGCTTACAGATTTCTTCTCTTTGACAAAGTGTTGGTTATACCACATGAATATTTACTTGAAGTATACTGGGGAAGGGAGGCAGGCATAGTGTGTGTGTGTACAGAAAATAATTTCAAATATATTGTGTTTCAGTGGGATTTTCCTGTGATGGGATGAGACCAGAAGCCATAAGGCAAGATCCTACCCGGAAAGGCTCAGTGGTCAATGTGAATCCTACCAACACTAGGCCACAGAGTGACACCCCGGAGATTCGTAAATACAAGAAGAGGTTTAACTCTGAGATTCTGTGTGCTGCCTTATGGGGTAGGTGTCTAGCCACTACTCCAACACTTTCATTTTTGTTCTGAGTGGTGGCTGGTCTTCTAGAGAAGTACTGCATTGAATAGTTTGTGGATAGACAGGATGGAAGACTTCTATGATGTCCATCTCCTGTTATATGCAGAGTGGTATATTAGCAGACTGGTGTGGCACATGTATATGATTGCACTCATTTTAACTGTCAAATATTGGCATGATTAATCTCCATTTTATTTTTATTAAACAAATTTTTGTAGTAGTTTTGTTACGTGGATATATTGTATAGTGGTGAAGTCTGGGTTTTTAGTGTAACCATCAGCCCATTATACTCAATAGTGTACATTGTACCCCTGAACCCTGAGGTTGACTGTTCTCACTATAAAATTCAATCATATCTAGCAGTGGAAATGTTGGAGAAGTATATTTATAAAAACTTACTGCAACATGCAACCCAGTGTTTTTCATTTTTCATGCTTGTAATTTCCAAGTACTTTACAGTGACTATTCTTTTGACTATTAGCATTCAGTACTTTATAAAATTATACAACTGTACAATTATACAACTTGGAAATATATCATGGAGAAGTAGAAGATAGAGTGTAAGTGCCACAATACCTGCAGCTTTTGTGTTTTGAAAAGAGTCTTCAGCTTTATCTTGTTACTCCCTCATTCTTTCTCACTGTAAAATCTTGAGGTTGATGTTTATATGTTAGTTTTTAGAAACACACATAATAGGATTTCTTCACAAGGCCCATATTTTGTGTAGTTATTACCAGATTCTTGACATAGGAGTTTAAAAAAATCTACTTGATACTGAAGATTGACCAGGAAAATATCAAAATATTGTGTAAAATAGAACCTTTGAAATGGTATCTGTCTGGCAGCAGTTCTATCAATAAATATCTGTCTTTTCTACCAATAATTTCTAAGCTGTTTTAGATCAACTTGCCTAGATATATGCAGGGAAACCTAAGCATAATATTCAAATAAGTTCCACCTTGACAAGGATATAGTCAGGGCAGAATGGCCAACCTCAAGAATAAAATTATATGAAAATGAATCACATATTACATATTTAAATATTTTTCTTATACTGATAATCTTTTTAGTTGTACAGCATTTTTTTTTTTTTAATCTCTAAGGGTTAAGTCACTATGCCCACAAGCATTGCTTGGGTAGATACTGTCCTCCAAATGTTGGGATAATCCCAACTCAATCAACTCTATAAGGACCAGGCATGAACAGAGAGAGGGCTGTAGGAGCGTTGTTCTCTCAATGCCGTCACAATTATTTATTTCAGATTATCTGGAAATAGGGTGTGGGTGGGTGTGGGCATACATGTATGTGCCATGATATTCTTCCGCCTCACTCCCTCTACACAAATACTTTATTCCTTGTCTTGGTGAGTTTATGACTGAGGAAATCAGTACACACAGATATGTGCCCAATTCCCTAGGAATGTAGGGTCATCTGTGCTACATGTTACAAAGGTGATTCTGACAGTGAAGGTTCTAGGTCAAGGAACAAGAGCATTTGGGGAAATACATGAATGATCAAGAGGGAGAAGTGCTTTGGCCAAGGGGCAGGCAGTCTTAGATGCCAGTCCAAGGCTTTTGGAACAATTTCTACATGGAATGTGTAGTTTTTGAAGATAGTCATGACGTGAGTATTTTAGCAAGATTAGGATTGATTGGATGTACATCATGAGAAAGTGGAGAGAAGCTCCTTTAACAACCTTAATTAAGGTCTCTATCCGTCACTTAAAAGGTTGCCAAAGGCTGAACAATTGTGAGAGCAGAGGAAAGGGAAAGGAGGGACAGAGAAGGGGTTTTCTCTGGCTCTAGTGGCCAGTTTTAGCTAGTTTGGCAGAGCAGCTTGGGAGCTGTTGATAGAAGCAGCCAAGTCGCGAGGCTAGTTTCAGTAGAGATCTGCAGTGGGTGGAAAGCAGGAGGCAAAGTAGCAGCGTGGAATTAGGAGTTACTGGTTCTGAGGCACACTCATGCACAGGTGGGTGGGTGTCACCAGATGGACAGCAGTGGAAATGTCTCCACTGAGGAAGCAGAGGGCAGGTGTGGAAATAAGGAAGGAGGCAGCAGAAGAGTGTGGAGACTGTGACGGTACAAGGTTAGAGAAGTAGGGTGAGTCAAATATCAAATCACAATATTTTGATAGTCCTAAGAAATGGAAGGACAAGAGAACTGACTACAGTTGTTTCTTGATGATGGTGGAAAGTGATCTTTAAGAAAAGCTTAAATGTGAGTGATGGAAGCCGAATCATAAGCTGTTAAGGATTTGAGGGCTGCATTTATATGGCCCATTCCAGAGATTTGCCAATGAAAGATGAGGAAGCACAAAGAGATCATGGTATCAGATGAAGGTTTGTTCAAATGTGTGATGTGGCTAATTAGACATAGAATCTGTAAAGATAGGAAATAATCAGCATATAACATTCTCGAGGAACTGAGGAAGAACTAGAAACTAATGGATTATTAAGGAAATTGATGGGATGAGGGTTTCTTGTTCTTTCCCTTATCCTTTCTTATGTTTAAATATGTCAGCATCATTGCTACATGGTGATGTATTGCAGGATTGGTTACTTTAACTGTTTAACCTTTGACTATTTTAAGGATTTCTGCTTCTGGGTGAATTAAGGAAGCTACACTTTTTTCCAAATAGATGATGTTATCCTTTCTATACAACCTGGGGATTTGCCAAGCACAGCATAAAATTGAGGCCTTTCTGTGTCCCTGAAACAGGAGTGAATTTGCTAGTGGGTACAGAGAGTGGCCTGATGCTGCTGGACAGAAGTGGCCAAGGGAAGGTCTATCCTCTTATCAACCGAAGACGATTTCAACAAATGGACGTACTTGAGGGCTTGAATGTCTTGGTGACAATATCTGGTGAGTGTTTGTTTTGTAAACCAGAATATGTGACACCATCTTAACAATATTGTAGCTTTACACACTAAACTTCAGTTAGCTCATTCACTGATGTACTGGCTAAATAAGGTACAACCACATTGAGACTTGACAATAATGTGAGCTGAAGACGTATTCAGAGGTGACACACACGCCCATTTGATCTCTGGCTCCTCCGAAAGCAGTCTTGAGAAGCGTATGAATGTGCTCTTTCTCACTGGCATCTCTCACTGCCCTCTCTGCCCAGTTGCTTGTTAGATTTCATTTGCCTTGTCCAATATGTAGGTCTGTGTCCACTCCTTTCCACCAGACTTTTTTTTTTTTTTTTTTGAGACGGAGTCTTGCTGTGTCGCCAGGCTGGAGTGCAGTGGCGCGATCTTGGCTCACTGCGAGCTCCGCCTCCCAGGTTCAAGCAATTCTCCTGCCTCAGCCTCCCGAGTAGCTGGGACTACAGGCAAGTGCCACCAAGCCCAGCTAATTTTTGTACTTGCAAAAGGAAGTATTCTTTGCCATTATTGTAAAAGTATTGTATTATGGTTTTTATTATGTGAATTAACACAATTATGTCTCTTTTTTACTTATTTATTTATTTATTTATTTTTTGAGACGGAGTCTCACTCTGTCACCCAGGCTGGAGTGCAATGGCACAATCTCCGCTCACTGCAAGCTCCGTCTCCCAGGTTCACACCATTCTCCTGCCTCAGCCTCCCGAGTAGCTGGGACTACAGGCACTTCCCACCATGCCCGGCTGATTTTTTGTATTTTTAGTAGAGACAGGGTTTCACCATGTTAGCCAGGATGGTCTTGATCTCCTGACCTCATGATCCACCCACCTTGGCCTCCCAGAGTGCTGGGATTATAGGCATGAGCCACTGCGCCCGGCCAATTATGTCTCTTTTTAAGAAGAGCATTTTTCTTAGTATAAATTGTGTAATATAAACTAGTACAGGAAAACAACTACAAGAAATAAAAAGTAGAATCATCCAGAGATCATATCTTTTAACTTTTATAAGTTTTTAAATTCCAGTTTTTTAAGCATACACCACACTCACTGTATACTTAAGGGAAAAAATCTGCATAAAAATGGTTATACAATATTTCAAACATAGGATAATGGCACCCAAGTACTAACTATAACTAGCCAGTTTGAACAGTTGTTGCAGTACACTGTTGTACATACAGTCAGCATCCCTGTTCCTCCCATATCTACCTGTCCATGGCAACCTCTTTCCTGAAGTTAGGGTGTATGCCATCCAGGCCTGATTGTCCAAAACACGTAGTCTGCTTTCTCCATGCCATTGAACATCCTTCCATGGCCTCCATTTTATATGGCTAGAGGATGTTTCCTTGCATAGATGTATTAAAATGTATTTAGTTATCTTCTCTTGCTGCCCTTTAGGTGTATTCCCTTTTTTCTCTCATGTGAACATTTTTCACAGATATCCTTGTAGCTTACTTAACCTTCAGGCACATACCATGTTGCATAGATCATAATTTCCTAATAATTAGTGTTATTCCTTGGTCAGATGGCATGCAAAATTATAAGACTTTAAATGAGTCTTATATACCACTACTTACAGTCACTTATGATATTATAATCACTTATGATACCACCAGTGATTTTTATTTAATTATCTGCTTGTTAGTACAAGCTTGTTATGTAACATATTTGCTTGAAGTTATTTTACTTCTAATATATGCTTTGGTTGTTAAGTAAAGGAGTTTCTTGAAATGCAAAAATTTCACTATTTATACTTAAATGAGGAAACAGCCATTTAAAACTAGAGTGCTGATGGATGGTAGTTTTTTAAGTTGGAGAAAACAAATCTGCATTTAGTGATCCAGTGAAACAAGACAGTTCATGGGGATCAATACTCAGCTGAGACCAGGTGCGGTGGCGTATGCCTGTAATCCCAGCAATCTGAGAGGCCAAGGCAGGAGGATTGCTTTTGCCTGGGATATCGAGGCTGCAGTGAGCTGTGATAGCACCACTGCACTCCAGCCTGGGTGACAGAGTGAGAGCCTGTCTCCAAAAAAAAAAAAAAAAAAAAAAAATTAATAATTATAATCAGCTGATACCAGTAATCATTTTTTGGTCTACTTTTCTGTTTTTTTTTTTTTTCCTTCCTTATTAACTTTCAGTGGTTTTCACAATCATAAATGTAGTACATGTCAATTGTAGGAAGCTTCAAAAATAGAAGAAACTTAGGAAGAATAAAACAAAATGTCACCCCCATCTCAGAGATAACTCTTGTTAACATTTTATATTTCCCTCTCCTTTTCTCTGTAAGTATATCTCACAAGATGGAAACAAAACATTATATATAAAACTGTGTGGTCTTTTTCTTCTCTTAACATATATTGAATATTTTCCTGCAAACAATTCCCCAAAAGTTAAAAGGATTATACTGAAGTATGATATACAGAGAAAGTACAGATAAGCATACAGCTCAATGAGCTGTCACATGCAGAATCCATCCAGATAGCCCCACCCTGGTGAAGACATGGAACATTGCCAGCACCCCAAAACTGCCCTGTGAAGCCACCCTGGGACTGCCCCCAGAGGCAAGCACTGTCCAGACTTTGAACATGTTAGGTTGATTTTGCCTTCATTGAACTGATTTTATATAATGGTAAAACAGTATGTGTTCTAGTGTCAGCTGCTGCTTTTTTTTTTTTTTTTTTAAGTAGACTTTTTCTAAACGTTTTTTCAGTATTTTGCAGTTTAGCCATTCTGAAGGGGTGTAGGAATTAATAGGTGTATCTCATTTTAATTTGCAATTTCCTAATGATGTATGGTACATCTTTTCTTATGTTTGTATATCTTCTGGTGAAGTATTTCTTCTATCTTTAATCCATTTTGTAATTGGATTGTTGCTTGCTTATTGTTGAGTTTTAAGAGTTCTTCGTGTATTTTGGATCTAAGTTTCTGATGAGATATGTGTTTTGCGGATATTTTCTGCCAGTTTGTGGCTTGTTTGTTCATGCTGTGGAATGATGTCTTTTGCAGAAGAGAAGTTTTTATTTTAGTGAAGTCCAACTTACTAGTTTTTTCTTTCATGAATTGTGCTTCTGGTATTGTATCTAAAAAGTCATTGCCAAATCCAGAGTCACTTGGATTTTCTTCTGTTACCTTCTAGAATCTGCTTTACAGCTTTGTGTTTCACATTTAGGTCCACAATCCATTTTGAATTGATATTTGTGAAAGTTTCAAAGTTTGTGTAGATTTATTTTCTTTTGCCTATGGATATCTAGTTGTTGCAGCAGCATTCATTAAAAAGACTAACCTTTCTCCATTGAATTGCTTGTGCTCCTTTGTAGATTACTGCTATATTTGTATAGTTCTATTTTTTTTTTTTTTTGACACGGAGTCTCAATCTGTCATCCAGGCTGGAGTGCAGTGGTGAGATCTCAGCTCACTACAACCTCTGCCTTCCGGGTTCAAGCAATTCTCCTGCCTCAGCCTCCCGAGTAGCTGGGATTATAGGCATGTGCCACCATGCCTGGCTGATTTTTCTATTTTTAGTGGAGACAGGGTTTCACCATGTTGGTCAGGCTGATCTCAAGCTCCTGACCTCATGATCCGCCCATCTCTGCCCCATAAAGTACTGGGATTACAGGCGTGAGCCACCGCGCCTGGTGTATAGTTCTATTTCTGGGCTCTATTTTTTCCCATTTATCTATTTGTCTCTTTTTGTGCTAATAACCACACTGTTTTGATTACTGTAGATTTATAGTAAATCTTGAAGTCAGGTACTGTCAGTCTTTCAACTTTGTTCTTTTTTAATGTTATGTGGACTGTGTTGGGTCTTTTGCCTCTAGAGTCAGCTTATTGATATGTACAAAATAACTTGGGATTTTGATTAGAATTGCATTGACTCTGTGGATCAAGTTGGAAAGTACTGATGTCTTGACAGTATTGACTGTTCTGTCCATTAACATGGAAATCTCTCTCCATTTATTTAGTTCTTCTTTGATTTCATCAGAATTTGTAGTTTTCCTTAAGTAAAACTAGCAAAGGGCTAATTTTATTAGATTTATTATACCCATTTTGTTTTTTTAAGTACTAGTATAAATGGTGTTGTAGTCTTAATTTCAAATTCTAATGATTTGTTGCTGGTATACAGGAAATACAGGAAAGTGACTCACTTTTATTTTATTAGGCTTGTATCCTGCAACCTTGCTATAATTCTTGCTATAATTGCTTATTAGTTCCAGCAGGGTTTTTGGTTGGTTGGTTGGTTTTGGATTTTTTTTGGTTGATTCTTCAGGATTTTCTACCTAGACAGTCATGTCTTCTGTGAAGAAAGACAGTTTTATTTCTTCCTCCCCAGTCCTTGTACCTTTTATTTCCCTTTTTTGTCTAATTGCATTAGCTAGGACACCCAATATAACATTTACTAGGAGTTATGAGAAGGGAAATCCTTCACTTGTTCTCTATCTTATGAGGAAAGCATCTAGTTTCTTGCCATTATGTATGACGTTAGCTGTAAGGTTTTATGGTAGATGTTTCTTGTCAAATTGAGGCAGTTCCCCCTCTATTCCTATTTCCCTGAAAGTTTTTATTATAAGTAGGTATTGGGTTTTGTCAAATGTTTTTCTGCATCTGTTGATATGATCATATGATTTTTCTTCTTAGCTTGTTGATGTGTGTGGCTGACGTTGCCCCCCATCATTTTTGTTGTTGTTGCTTGTAGCTGTAGTCTCTTTGTTCCTTTAGATGACTACACCACAATGTATTTACTCATTTTACTATCCATTCAGACATTATTGTTTCCTGTTTGGAGCTATTAGGAACCATGCTGCTATGAACATTCCTGTTGTTGTACTTGGGGGCATACATATACATTTATATTAGGAGAGAGATTACCAGACCATATGTAAGATATGCACATATCCTACTTTAATAGATAGTGCCAAACTTACAAAAACAGTTCTAACAGTTTACAACACTAGTTTCTGAAGTTTCTAGTTGTTCCACATCTTGCCTACCTTTGATATTGTCAGTCTTTTGAATTCTAGACATACTGATAGGTGTATGAAATCATCTTATTACTGTTTTAACACACGTTATTACTGGTGAGAATGAGCATCTTTTTGTGTGTCTGTGAGATCACTTCTTTTCCAAAGTTCCAGTTATAGTGGCACGTCCAGTTTTTCTATTGTTATCTCCTGTTCTATTTGATTTATAGGAGTTTTTTTACATATTCTGGATTATGACTCCCTTGTCAGCTGTTTCTGTGGTACACATCTCCAACTTGTGACTTGCCTTTCACTAGGTTTAAGTGCTGGCCTTAAGTGATTGATTTCTTTTGGTTACTATTGTTATTAATGATGAGACCTACTTCTGGATATGCATGTAAAATATTTATATTTATTTTGCTAGGCAAAAAGGATAAGTTACGTGTCTACTATTTGTCCTGGTTAAGAAATAAAATACTTCACAATGATCCAGAAGTTGAGAAGAAGCAGGGATGGACAACCGTAGGGGATTTGGAAGGATGTGTACATTATAAAGTTGGTAAGTTCTAGAAGCGTCATATTTTGTTTTTCCAGAGTTTGATTAGAGTTTGAATTTTAAACTTTAAATTTTCACAGGTTTTTTGAAGTTTGTAATAATAAACTTGTTTCTGAAACACGTGGATCATTTCTGGTGTTCTTTCTGTTTCCAAGGCACATTCTAATCTTGAAGTCTCATCTAGACATTGTCTTACTCCCTCTGTGCACCTATATGCATAACAGAGTTCGTCCCTGCAACTCACTCCGCCCTCAGTCTCCCCCACGCTGTGCATCTTGTGAGAGTCTTTCCACTCCTCCTCTTTGACAGTCCACATTCTTCTCCTCTGTAAGATGTGGTTCACAGTAACCTCTTTAAGGAAATCTTGTCAGTGGAAGCCAGCTGACTTGAGTCCTTTTTTACATGCCAGGCTTATTCTCCACTTAGAGGTCTGGAGGTCCTTGGCAGGCACTGATAAGAGTGTTTGAGAGTTTGACTCAAGGGCTTATGGCCTGCCATTTTGAATTAAGTGCCTGTGCACAGCTACTATGCTCCTTACTAGTAAGTGAGCCCAGCTGGCCAGTCAGTGTTTTATGGCAATTGTATTGTTTTTTCTCCTTGGCATGAAGCAGTGATTCTCATGAAGTAAAATCTCACAGGAACAAAACCAAAACTCTTTTTTTTTTTGAGATGGAGTTTTGCTCTTGTTACCCAGGCTGGAGCGCAATGGTGCGATCTCAGCTCACTGCAACCTCCACCTCCCGGGTTCAAGCAATTCTCCTGCCTCAGCCTCCTGAATAGTTGGGATTACAGGCACCTTGCCACCACGCCCAGCTAATCAAAACAATTTTTTTTTAAACATGAAAAAACCAAAATACTGGCACTAATGTTAGACATACGGGAGAAATAATGGACCTTAGCCAAATTAAAGTTTTATAGGAAAGATGTTATAGTCTAACAGAATTTAAACAGGAAGTTTTTCTATATACCTAAAACTGATTAATGTTACGGGCCTATTGAATGTTTGTTTCTGCTTGTGTGTTTTCTTTTTTCTATGTTTATGAAAATATATACATCATCAGTTCCTCTGTTCCGAGGGATGTTGTCATGCTTGGCATTGTCTTGTTGGTGTAGTTTGTCTGCACCCCTCAGCTCGTGGGTTAATGGTGATTGTGGGAGCTGCCTCAGTATCTCTGACAGTTCTAATGATACGGGAAAGTAGAACTATCTGCTTAGGATAGATTTTAGGATTAGGGTTTTCTGTGTTTATGTGAAGTATTTTTATGTGTTGAGGTATAACTAAAATCATCTAAGGCTAAATGTAATGAAACAGCTCATAACAGATGAAATGTACATGAATAGATTATCCTGCAGGGGGAGCAAGAGGCAGACGGGTTAAAAGTCTGTTGGGCTTTTCCCCAGAACAAAACAGTAGGCCTTCAGGCCTGTCACTCATACAGAATGAATCACAAGTATTTTCAGGAGATAAGTGTGGGTAATATCATTCATTCGTTGTCATTATGGTTGCCACCAAGAATAGGGAGCTATTTAAATGTATATTAAATTAATAAAAATTAAGGAAACCTTAAAATTTAGCTCCTCAATGGCACTAGTACATTCTAAGTGTGCAATAGCCCCATGTGTGTGGTGGTTATATTAGCAATACAGATACGGAGAGTTTCTATCATCGCAGAAGTCTATGAAACAGTACCGGTTTTGTCAGACTGTTATAAACCTTTGTGTCTTAATGTTCGTTTATTGATTTATTTAAACAGTGGTAATATATAGAGTTTAACAAGGGGAGTTATCAGTTAACAAGTTCCTGCTCATGCACAAAGAAGAAATCAAGTAGCGGTGTGATGTTAGCTTGTAAAGAAATCATGGATCTGCATTAGTAAGTCACAGGTACTCAAGGACCCCTGGGAGTACTTGTTTTGGCAGAGTTGCCTGGCAGTAAGGGCACCAAAATAGCTATGGGAAGGAGGCAGTTTTACTACTTCTGTAGATCAGGAAATGGTCTTAGTGATACTTGGACTTGTTCACAGATACTTCTGTTGGTAGAATTCAGGACTCATGAATATTTTAGTATAAGCCTTTTTTCTTCCTCAGTCTGTGTGAGCCCCATGCAGGACTAGGGAAAGTTGTAAGGAGGACCTCGGTCTCTGTGTGTTTCAGGAGTCTCTTGGCTGATTAATCATGTTGTTACTCATTTGGAGTAATACTAAGCCCTTGAAGACTTCAGGGTGGTATACCTGGCATTGTCCTTGATTTTAAAATATCTTGGAATCTATTATAAGAAGATTAGGATCATTAGCGAAAGTACTCATTGATGGTCAAAATACATTAAAGAGCTGGAAAAGGAAACTGTGAGGTGTGATCTCTCTCTCTGAATTTTTCCCCTGCTTGTTTGGATGAATGAATAGAAGGCATATTTATAAAGTTTGCAGAAGACAACTAAAACAGTTTAGAGGGCTATGTTGATACTGACCTGTGCTTCTCTTGCTTTTTTATTTGCTGCTTTTCAGTAAAATATGAAAGAATCAAATTTCTGGTGATTGCTTTGAAGAGTTCTGTGGAAGTCTATGCGTGGGCACCAAAGCCATATCACAAATTTATGGCCTTTAAGGTAACAACATCAAGTGAATTTAAAAGTAGTATTGGCCATTCAAGCTGCAACCAAGAGTCAGGGAATATGTTTAAAAAGTCTGAATGTTAAAATTGCTAATATAAAAGCTATGTGCTAATATAGCATATAACTTTATCATAAACCATTTCTAATGTAATAAGCTTAGTTAAGCTGCTTTCTAAGCCCACAGTGAGAAGGAGAGAGAGATAAATGTTGGGTAGACACTTTAATCGATGTGGCAATGTGTTCACAGAGGAAAAGAGAACAGTACTTCCACCCTTCAGTTAAAAAGGTGACCTTCACCTGAGTCATGGAAGCGTGTAAAGATTTAGATGTGTTTTTGATAACAAAACTGTGTCTATCGGGCAGTTTTAAGATATATCTGTTCATAAAATACTAATTAAAAATTAAATTACAGAAATTCTGATGACAACATTATATACTAAGTGAAAAAAGTTAAAATATTTCATATGATTCCATTTTTGTTTCAATAAAAAACTCAGCTATAACATCTGAACTAATGTACAAATTAAGATGTTTTTGCCATTTTGCATGTATACAGTTTTAGGAAAGTAAATGATGGAGTACTTAGTCTTAAAATTAGGACTGTTTTCATTTGTGAGTTCACAAAAATACTCATGAAATTTACAAATATACCTCACATTGCCTGGTGATTGGCTTTTTAGAATAGTTTTTTTATATTTTATTGAAGGGGTAGGTTTCATTTATTTGCAAAATTTGTGTTTTTGGATTGCTTACTGCTTGATTTCCCAGTGAAGCAGGATAGATGGAGTCACAATATTCGCTTAAAAAATAATATTCACTTAAAAAATAAATCCAAGTGTTACTGAATAAAGAGAATTGGTTATACAGTTATATTATCTTCTGAGATCTGGCCTTAATATCCTTTATATACCAGGTACCGTACTAGTTGGTTTTATACATATTACCTTATTTAAAGCTGCTGTTTCATTATCGTAGTCTCGTGAACTGTGGGTAGTGATGTCAGTGAAAAATGGAGACCACCAGCACAATCCAGGCTGTTGTAGCACATACAGCCTTTTCACCATTTTAGTCTAGTCAGAAAATTAGAGACCTTATGCTACTAGTATGATAATAGTGATACAATTTTCAGTGTGTGACTCCTACAACTCCTCTCGCTCTACTGTGCATTTGAATAGTTGAGTAGCATTTTTAGGAAAGTCCTCACTATTTTACTTTGCATGATTTTCTGATCAAGGCAGCCAAAAGCACAGTAAATGACAGAGCAGAAATCTTGATCTGGAAAGGGAGATTTGGAACATATCTTCTGGAAGAAGTGTCTTCTAGATGCTAATTAACAGGCAAAAACGTAATAAAGACTAATTTTGTAGAGTATTGTTGCCTTACGGTTGTTGCCAGTGTGGCTCAGTAATTGCATAACTGAGTATGTTGGGTCTTCTCTAGTTTGATCTATTAGAAGTAAGTTCTCCGGCCGGGCGTGGTGGCTCACGCCTGTAATTCCAGCACTTTGGGAGGTCGAGGTCAGGAGATCAAGACCATCCTGGCTAACATGGTGAAACCCCGTCTCTACTAAAAATACAAAAAATTAGCTGAGTGTGGTGGCGGGCACCTGTAGTCCCAGCTACTCGGGAGGCTGAGGCAGGAGAATGGTGCGAACCTGGGAGGCGGAGCTTGCAGTGAGCCGAGATGGCGCCACTGCACTCCAGCCTGGGTGACAGAGCGAGACTCCGTCTCAAAAAAAAAAAAAAAAAAAATGTTCTCCTTCATCTTCTCACTTCTCTTATGGCTTCTTTGCAGTCATTTGGAGAATTGGTACATAAGCCATTACTGGTGGATCTCACTGTTGAGGAAGGCCAGAGGTTGAAAGTGATCTATGGATCCTGTGCTGGATTCCATGCTGTTGATGTGGATTCAGGATCAGTCTATGACATTTATCTACCAACACATGTAAGAAAGAACCCACACTCTATGGTTGGTTGACTGGCTTCATTTTGTTTTGACTTTCTTCTTTACTCTGCTTAGTGAACTAACACAAGCAGGGATTCATTTCCCCTTGGTGTGGGGGTGAGTATTTAAATGATACGCAATTTTCAATAGCTCCATGCTCTTAGACAAGTGGAAATCCGCCTTCCTGGCTCTGTGGAGCCCTTGTGAAAACCTCTTAGCTCTTGCTTTGACTAACATGGGATGGATTTGGGGCAGTTGCTGCCAGGCCAGAATATCCCTGGGTTGGGAGTGGTTCTCAATTGGAGCCCAGCATCCAATGTTTCATGGGCCTCAGGAGATATGAGTCAGTAGAGTATATTACTGGGAAAAAGCAGAGTTGGGGATATATATTGCATGACTATTCTAAAATGTTAATCTAATTGCTGTATTTATCTTCAGAGATATGGTACCAGTGCATTCACTAAGAGTCTTACTGAGCACTTGCACAGGGCTGGAAATAACCACAGACGTTCTTCCCTGTACTTTGTTCCTGTTCTCTAGATCCAGTGTAGCATCAAACCCCATGCAATCATCATCCTCCCCAATACAGATGGAATGGAGCTTCTGGTGTGCTATGAAGATGAGGGGGTTTATGTAAACACATATGGAAGGATCACCAAGGATGTAGTTCTACAGTGGGGAGAGATGCCTACATCAGTAGGTATGGAGAACTTGGGGAAAGGCAGCATTTGTGAAAATGGAGCCGTGTCTGAGACTCCATTTATTTATCATGCTGATTTTGTATGTCCTTCAGACCTTTTGACTACCATTGAACAGAGTAGTTGGCAGTAGATGGTGGAAAGTTAGATTGTAGGCCGTGGAAATAGTCATAGGTCTATTTTAGAACAAAATCCAAGTAATTATTTTCTACTTTAAAAACTCTATTATCATAATCTCTCATTTAATCCTTAAAACATCCAGAGGAATATCGGACATGTTTTTGTTGACCACTTTGTAAAGGGAGACAGAGAATTGGTAAAGAGACAGAGAATTGGTAACGAATTGGTAAAGGGAGACAGAAAGGGAAGTTATTTGCACAGAATGCTAGAGCCATAACTACAAACAGCCTTGTGCATACTTTTCTAGTTTGCATTCAGTAATAAAGACCGATATTTGACATTTTCATGGGTTTCTATTCCAAAACTATTTTGGTTTTATTGTAATTAGGTCACTGTCTCTGATCACTCATGATTTCTCTTCCCTGCCGTCTCTCATGACTGGATTGATAAAAATCTGTGCACTAAACTCTAAACTCAGTGGGTAATTTTTCTAGATAGGCGTGAAAGGCCTAAGGAAAATGAAATAGATCAACCACTGATGCAAGTAACTACTTCACAGGATAGGCAAGGTGGTTACAAAGGCAGAGTTCCTTGAAAACAAATCCTTAAATGCTAGGCATTTAAATTTTAAATTTTAAAAAGATTTAGAAGTATAAAAATATATTTTTATTAAGTAAGCAACATCTTTTCAGGGCTGTTTCCTCATCTTTAACGGTTTGCAATTTTTCCCTCCCCAAAAGCATATATTCGATCCAATCAGACAATGGGCTGGGGAGAGAAGGCCATAGAGATCCGATCTGTGGAAACTGGTCACTTGGATGGTGTGTTCATGCACAAAAGGGCTCAAAGACTAAAATTCTTGTGTGAACGCAATGACAAGGTAATAGTTCCCTTATGGATTCTTTTTAGTTGCTCTATCTTTTAATAATGGCTTGTTTTCCATGGAGTTTGATGATTAATTTCCTTGGAGTTTTGATAAAAATAATCAAGGAACTTTTTAAACGTTGCTTTTTAGTCATGTTTGTGAGGATTGGGGAATGTTTTGCTTTTTGCTATGAGGGGATAGAGATATTTTTCTCTGTAGAAATTAACATATTTGGGTTTTGCTTTGTATATGTATTTTTAACTCTATTAGATGACCAGTCTAGGCTATAATTAGAGATAGGGAAGATAAAAGCTGCCAGTTCAGTTGGCTGGAATTCTTTTGTGAGTGGAAGGAACCGCCGTGCCATTTGGGTACATCAAAAGGTTCCTCTGACCTAATGTGTGTCAAGAAGATGCCCCTTGTTAGTCTGTGAGTGGTGAAATTGCTTCCTAGGTTTGCATGACAGAAATGTTGCACAGTAAAAATCATCTTATGCAGACATAACATACCTCCTGCACCAGAGACCCCATGGCATGACACCCCCTTTGCTTTTCAAAACTGGCCATATCACTCCAGGGACGATTCCTGTGGCACCTTCCTCCCAGGAAGTCCCTTTTAAACTGGCTTTGGAGTTGAGCAGATAGATGGCCAGGGGCGTTGACCCATCCCTGTTTGCCAAGGGAGAAGGCATCGAGGGTGGAACTGATTTTTACTAAGCCTACCCTTTCTTTCTTCTGCCCAGTCAGACAAAGGCATGTCTGACTACCTAAGGCAAGACACCACGACCTTTGAAACTTGGCCCTGAAGAACGTTTCCACCTTTTGCGTCACATTGACAGACTAGCAGTCAGCCCAGTTCTCAGATTTAAACATTTAGTCATTTAATGCAAGAAAGAAGAAGCTACACATATGTCCTTGGCAGCTGGTCCTGCTTGCCCGATACATCCCAAACACAAAGTCACTTCACCTCTACCCACTGTCTTCTGCAACCCTACAACTCAGTTTCAAGTGGAGTTTTGCCTACAGATTATCTCCCAAATCTGTGACCTTGAAAATCTCTACAGCTCAGACCTAATCCAGGATTTTGTCAGCTTGTTGGCTTATACTTTCCTAAGTATGTTTACCATAGCTGCAACTATAGCATTCTTTGAATTTCAGGCATTTAAATATTTTTATCATGCATGTCATGTCCTTTAAGATTTATTAATAAATGGCACAAAAATTCTATTTATGGGTTATATGAAGTAATTAATACATTTTTTGTTGATTTTTAAAAAGAAATTAGGTTGTTAAGGAGTCTTCCGTGATGCTCATTGTGTTTTTTAAAGACATTTATTTATTAGAAGGTGTTAACAGTAGAAGTGGAAAGAAATAACTTCAGAAACATCCATTTTTTTCCTTTGTTGTCTCACAATATGCCAACGTGTAAGGAGTTAGTAGTAACAAGCCTGAGTTGTAATAAAAATTGGCTGCAGATGGTCACTCCTTACAAATTATAAATTGATAATTGCCCCAGAGGTTTTTGTGGGTTGTTTTTGTTTGTTTGTTTGTTTTGGTGACGGAGTCTTGCTCTGTCGCCCAGGATGGAGTGCAGTGGCGTGATCTCGGCTCACTGCAACCTGAACCTCCTGGGTGCAAGCAATTCTCTTCCTCAGCCTCCTGAGTAGCTGGGATTACAGGAGCCCACCACCATGCCCAGCTAATTTTTTGTGTTTTTAGTAGAGATGCGGTTTCACTATCTTGGCCAGGCTGGTCTTGAACTCCTGACCTCATGGTCCGCCTACGTCGGCCTCCCAAAGTGCTGGGATTACAGGCATGAGCCACCATGCCCAGCCTTTTTATTTATTTATTTATTTTTTGAGACAGAGTCTTGCTCTGTTGCCCAGGCTGGAATGCAGTGGTGTGACCTTGGCTCACTGCAGCCTCCACCTCCCGGGTTCAAGTGATTCTCATGCCTCAGCCTCCTGAGTAGCTGGGATTACAGGTGTGTGCCACCACATGGTATTTTTAGTAGAGATGGGTTTTGTCATGTTGGCCAGACTGGTCTGGAACTCCTGGCCTCCCAAAGTGCTGGGATTACAGGTGTGAGCCACTGCACCTGGCCTCAGAGTTTCTTTTGAAAAGGCTCTTTGGGAGTCTAAGCTTCTCGTACTTGACAGTGTTGAGGATGATGGTGGCTTAGATTCCCTGGCTGGAAGTGCTTCATGACCATGGTAACCATTCCCTCTCTTTTCTTGCTTTTGCAGGTGTTCTTTGCCTCTGTTCGGTCTGGTGGCAGCAGTCAGGTTTATTTCATGACCTTAGGCAGGACTTCTCTTCTGAGCTGGTAGAAGCAGTGTGATCCAGGGATTACTGGCCTCCAGAGTCTTCAAGATCCTGAGAACTTGGAATTCCTTGTAACTGGAGCTCGGAGCTGCACCGAGGGCAACCAGGACAGCTGTGTGTGCAGACCTCATGTGTTGGGTTCTCTCCCCTCCTTCCTGTTCCTCTTATATACCAGTTTATCCCCATTCTTTTTTTTTTTCTTACTCCAAAATAAATCAAGGCTGCAATGCAGCTGGTGCTGTTCAGATTCTACCATCAGGTGCTATAAGTGTTTGGGATTGAGCATCATACTGGAAAGCAAACACCTTTCCTCCAGCTCCAGAATTCCTTGTCTCTGAATGACTCTGTCTTGTGGGTGTCTGACAGTGGCGACGATGAACATGCCGTTGGTTTTATTGGCAGTGGGCACAAGGAGGTGAGAAGTGGTGGTAAAAGGAGCGGAGTGCTGAAGCAGAGAGCAGATTTAATATAGTAACATTAACAGTGTATTTAATTGACATTTCTTTTTTGTAATGTGACGATATGTGGACAAAGAAGAAGATGCAGGTTTAAGAAGTTAATATTTATAAAATGTGAAAGACACAGTTACTAGGATAACTTTTTTGTGGGTGGGGCTTGGGAGATGGGGTGGGGTGGGTTAAGGGGTCCCATTTTGTTTCTTTGGATTTGGGGTGGGGGTCCTGGCCAAGAACTCAGTCATTTTTCTGTGTACCAGGTTGCCTAAATCATGTGCAGATGGTTCTAAAAAAAAAAAAAAAAAAAAAAAAAAAAGGAAAAAAAAAAAGAAAAAGAAAACGTGTGCATTTTGTATAATGGCCAGAACTTTGTCGTGTGACAGTATTAGCACTGCCTCAGTTAAAGGTTTAATTTTTGTTTAAACCTAGACGTGCAACAAAAGTTTTACCACAGTCTGCACTTGCAGAAGAAAGAAAAAAATTCAAACCACATGTTTATTTTTTTTTTGCCTACCTCATTGTTCTTAATGCATTGAGAGGTGATTTAGTTTATATGTTTTTGGAAGAAACCATTAATGTTTAATTTAATCTTAATACCAAAACGACCAGATTGAAGTTTGACTTTTATTGTCACAAATCAGCAGGCACAAGAACTGTCCATGAAGATGGGAAATAGCCTTAAGGCTGATGCAGTTTACTTACAAGTTTAGAAACCAGAATGCTTTGTTTTTACCAGATTCACCATTAGAGGTTGATGGGGCAACTGCAGCCCATGACACAAGATCTCATTGTTCTCGATGTAGAGGGGTTGGTAGCAGACAGGTGGTTACATTAGAATAGTCACACAAACTGTTCAGTGTTGCAGGAACCTTTTCTTGGGGGTGGGGGAGTTTCCCTTTTCTAAAAATGCAATGCACTAAAACTATTTTAAGAATGTAGTTAATTCTGCTTATTCATAAAGTGGGCATCTTCTGTGTTTTAGGTGTAATATCGAAGTCCTGGCTTTTCTCGTTTTCTCACTTGCTCTCTTGTTCTCTGTTTTTTTAAACCAATTTTACTTTATGAATATATTCATGACATTTGTAATAAATGTCTTGAGAAAGAATTTGTTTCATGGCTTCATGGTCATCACTCAAGCTCCCGTAAGGATATTACCGTCTCAGGAAAGGATCAGGACTCCATGTCACAGTCCTGCCATCTTACTTTCCTCTTGTCGAGTTCTGAGTGGAAATAACTGCATTATGGCTGCTTTAACCTCAGTCATCAAAAGAAACTTGCTGTTTTTTAGGCTTGATCTTTTTCCTTTGTGGTTAATTTTCCTGTATATTGTGAAAATGGGGGATTTTCCCTCTGCTCCCACCCACCTAAACACAGCAGCCATTTGTACCTGTTTGCTTCCCATCCCACTTGGCACCCACTCTGACCTCTTGTCAGTTTCCTGTTCCTGGTTCCATCTTTTTGAAAAAGGCCCTCCTTTGAGCTACAAACATCTGGTAAGACAAGTACATCCACTCATGAATGCAGACACAGCAGCTGGTGGTTTTGTGTATACCTGTAAAGACAAGCTGAGAAGCTTACTTTTTGGGGAAGTAAAAGAAGATGGAAATGGATGTTTCATTTGTATGAGTTTGGAGCAGTGCTGAAGGCCAAAGCCGCCTACTGGTTTGTAGTTAACCTAGAGAAGGTTGAAAAATTAATCCTACCTTTAAAGGGATTTGAGGTAGGCTGGATTCCATCGCCACAGGACTTTAGTTAGAATTAAATTCCTGCTTGTAATTTATATCCATGTTTAGGCTTTTCATAAGATGAAACATGCCACAGTGAACACACTCGTGTACATATCAAGAGAAGAAGGAAAGGCACAGGTGGAGAACAGTAAAAGGTGGGCAGATGTCTTTGAAGAAATGCTCAATGTCTGATGCTAAGTGGGAGAAGGCAGAGAACAAAGGATGTGGCATAATGGTCTTAACATTATCCAAAGACTTGAAGCTCCATGTCTGTAAGTCAAATGTTACACAAAAAAAAATGCAAATGGTGTTTCATTGGAATTACCAAGTGCTTAGAACTTGCTGGCTTTCCCATAGGTGGTAAAGGGGTCTGAGCTCACACCGAGTTGTGCTTGGCTTGCTTGTGCAGCTCCAGGCACCCGGTGGGCACTCTGGTGGTGTTTGTGGTGAACTGAATTGAATCCATTGTTGGGCTTAAGTTACTGAAATTGGAACACCCTTTGTCCTTCTCGGCGGGGGCTTCCTGGTCTGTGCTTTACTTGGCTTTTTTCCTTCCCGTCTTAGCCTCACCCCCTTGTCAACCAGATTGAGTTGCTATAGCTTGATGCAGGGACCCAGTGAAGTTTCTCCGTTAAAGATTGGGAGTCGTCGAAATGTTTAGATTCTTTTAGGAAAGGAATTATTTTCCCCCCTTTTACAGGGTAGTAACTTCTCCACAGAAGTGCCAATATGGCAAAATTACACAAGAAAACAGTATTGCAATGACACCATTACATAAGGAACATTGAACTGTTAGAGGAGTGCTCTTCCAAACAAAACAAAAATGTCTCTAGGTTTAGTCAGAGCTTTCACAAGTAATAACCTTTCTGTATTAAAATCAGAGTAACCCTTTCTGTATTGAGTGCAGTGTTTTTTACTCTTTTCTCATGCACATGTTACGTTGGAGAAAATGTTTACAAAAATGGTTTTGTTACACTAATGCGCACCACATATTTATGGTTTATTTTAAGTGACTTTTTATGGGTTATTTAGGTTTTCGTCTTAGTTGTAGCACACTTACCCTAATTTTGCCAATTATTAATTTGCTAAATAGTAATACAAATGACAAACTGCATTAAATTTACTAATTATAAAAGCTGCAAAGCAGACTGGTGGCAAGTACACAGCCCTTTTTTTTGCAGTGCTAACTTGTCTACTGTGTATTATGAAAATTACTGTTGTCCCCCCACCCTTTTTTCCTTAAATAAAGTAAAAATGACACCTATTTTATGTGGCATGAGTTTCGAATATGTTCTGACCCTTCAGAATGTTTCCTTCCTGTGAGGATCCATATTTTATGCATACCTGCCTACCCTGAGCTTCCCGTACCAGAGCAGGCTCCTGTATTTTGCTATTTCAGATGACAGGGGCTTGCCCAAGGCCAGGTATAGATTACAAAAGTAGCAAATGTTTGTCTAAAGACCTCAGAGATGAAGTGGGAGATGAACCTCCATCACCAGGTTCCTGAAGACAGTATGGAGTAAAGCTGGTCCTTAAAGAAATGTCACATTTTTGCAGTTTTGAATTTGGATCAAAAAATACAACAGCATGATGTCTGTAATAGGTCAATTAAAGTAGCTCTTTCTCAGTTTGGTGCATAAATACTAACTTGGGTTTAATAATTGGAGCCCCTTCAATGTAAGGTCATTGTGTCTTCAGCGCTGGGGTTCCCCATCAACCCCCCCATAGGCCTGGTAGGCATGATCGCCGTCGGGCAAATCTGGGGCCATGCTCTCAGTGTTGGCACCTCGCCTTAGTCTCCAGGGCTGCCCGTGCTGCATCATCATCAATTAGGCATATTAATAAACCACTTCGTGTTTCATCCTAGAAACATGCTATTCTCTCTAAAGGGAAAATATAACTCCTTAGGCTGTCAGATGAGTAAGTTTTTTTTTTTCCTACTTGGTGTGTTGCAGTTGGTGGATGATTATGAATAAAAATCTGGTGGAGTTTTCTTGGGACCATCATGCAATCCTCCTGTTCCAATTTTCTCCTCCACTGGTTGAGATTTCACTTAATGGGAGCAACGGGGGATCCAATCAAGACCCTTCAGCCAACACCAGCTCTGTGTTTTAGCATCACATTCAAAAATACAGTAAAATTGGTGCATTCTCTGGCATCTCCTTCAAAAAAAAAAAAAAAAAACAAACAAACAAAACAAAACCCGTGCTTCATTTAAGCAGAAGTAGCTAATGTATTCTATAAAGTAAAATGGCTAAGGAATCAAAACTTGGGGAAAGTAGTTACTATATTTTCTTACGTGAGAAGATAGGCACTCAAATACTGCGTTCCCATACCTGGTCTACCTCTCCCTTAGGTTAATCAGCCTGTGTCCTTGTGTCAAATTCTTCCTGAAACAGTCTCATCTTTGCCTCTGTCCTGCCCAGCTTCTTTGCTGTTATCTTGTTCACTATTTCCTAAGGGATACATAGCCTGCATATTAGCCGAGATTGTTTCTCAAATTTAACCACTTATTAAATTTAAACTCTGCTCCTCCTGAACTACCAAACATGCTGGCACAGAGCAAGCACTCAGAGTCCCTGGCTGTTTGCTTAAGTAGCATGAAATAACTCCTATGTTAATCCAAGGGAAAACCAGCCTGCCTGTGCAGTGTGGGACGGGCAAGGAAGTGCTCTGGTCTTCCTCTTCTTCCAGGTCTTCCTTCCAGGAAGTGCTGGGGAAGTGTAGTCCCAGGAGGGCTGCAGAGCTCCATTGCACTGGGCATGGGCCATCCTGTCCCATAACAGGTTCCTAGTACTTACCAGTCCCTCCAGCTGGAGCTTGGGTGCTGGAATAACACTGCAAGGACTCTTGATTTCTGAGACCAATCTAGTTTGCTTGTTTCTAAGAAATTTGGATTAGATATTCCAGCACAAAGTGACTTTTAAAAAATACTCATTTCTATTTTGGCCAAAAGTGTAAAATTCAGGCAAGTTACTCACCAGAGTTCTGTGGAGGGATGCGGACAGAGCTGACCAAGGCCATTCTGCTCTTACCCTGATGTAACAGCCCTTAGAAACTAACATTAAGTAACTGTTCCACAATAAATGGTATTGAGTACCTCTTGATTCTTTGACAGCTTTATTGAGATACAATTCACATACTGCATAAGTCACCCATTTAAGTAGACAATTGGGTGGCCTGTAGTCTATTCAGAGTTGTGTGTCCATCACTAACAATTTTCCCACGTTTTTATTACCCCAAGATGATACTCCATACCCCTTTGCTGTTATCCTCCAATCTCTGCCTCCCTCCACTCTGCCCCCTCAAGCTTTAGGCAGTCCCTAATCTACTTTCTGTCCCTATGGATTGGCTGTTGTGGACATTTATAGAAATGGAACCAGTCACCATGTGGCCTTTTGTGACTGGCTCCTGTCATGTAGCATAGTGTGTTATAGCTCATCCATGTTGTAGCACGTGTCAGCACTTCATTTCTTTATATTGCCATCCTTGGTTCTTAATCTATGTTCCTGGTGTTATACTTGCAACTAACTCACTGACAGCTAGGTCCCCAGCCTCAAAAGTTGCAGAGTTAACCTTTCACCCCTCAGGGGAAACAGCCCCAAAAGCAGCTCCAGAAATGGGTTCCTCCTAGGTGTGTTTTCAGTTTAAGCTCTTAGAAACCCAGGGATCTCTTTCCACAGATGATCTTGATGCCAAACGTAGGCTTATCATAGGTCAGATGCAGCGAGTCAAGTTTTGGAATGGGGGACCGTTCTGGAAGCACAGTTGCCAACATAGGCCCTGCCTGCTGTGGAGAGCAAACCTCCAACCCGGAAAAGTTGGGATCTATGGGCGTTCTTTGTGTCCAAATCCTAAATCAGGGTTCTGAGGTTGTCCCCTCTAACTTATGTGGGCTCACCCCTAGGAAGGGACATAAGAGCTGGCTTTGCTGAGCTGGGATCCTTTTCTGATCCTTGGCAAACACATGGAGCTGTCACATTTCACAAGGGCCTTGTCCTGTTGGCACCTCATGTATCTTACTGTCATAGAGCACATTTCCTCAGTGCTGCCTCCTGGAAGCCCTGACTGTCCCCAGACTGTCATTTGCAGGGTACGTCATTGAGTAAGTGTAGACACTAGTAAACTTCTGGGAACTTGGTGGCATTCTGGTCAATCTAACAAGTTGAGCAACCACTGTGTGCTGAGCACAGTCTTAAGGTATGGTGCTCCTTTGGGGAAATGCAGAATTAACTAAAGGGGTTACTTGGAACAGTGCTTAGTATATTCCAGATGTTAAAGCAGAGCCTTTAGTAAGTGTGTGTGTAAAAGAGACTTAACACTTTTAAGCTACAACAGCATGCAGCTGCTAGAATAGCTGGCGTGAGTTTGAACTGCATGGATTACGAAGTGAGAGATGACCCCCTTTGGTGGTCAGGTCACACTTAGATACACTTATAGAGGGACCACCTGTAGCCTCATCGCAGGAGAGGGACACAGCAGGACAAGGCTCCAAATTAGATCCAATGAAGATGGGTCAAAAGAAAAGAAAATAATTGGTAGAAGTAAGCATATATTCCTTTAAAAATCAAAATATCATTCAACCTTGATCAATCCATCCTGCTTTGGGGTAATTAATGATAGCAATGGGATTTTATGTATATTTGCTACGCACCAGGCCGTGTGTACTAAGGGCTTTTACACTTGCCTTCTCAGCCTATAGAAGAGGAGACTAGGCTACCCATTTGTTAATTTAAACTTATTTGGAGAGACACAAATGCAGGAGCCAGAAGATAGAGCTAGGAAAAGTGGGTTGAGTGCCCTGGGAGCAGCATCGGCCTCCAGTATGAAAAGGACAATCAGAACTGTCTAACGGGATGAAACAGGCAACTTCAATGGCTGGCCAGGTTCACGGCCCTTGAGGCAGGCTTTGTTGGGCTGTAGAGGACCTGAAATCCCTTCAGCACCCCGTAGAATCACCTACCTTGAGGTAAGTTGGGACTAGGTATGTGTAAGGGTGGTGTATTAGTCCATTTTCACGCTGCCGATAAAGACATACCCAACACTGGGTAATTTATAAAGAAAAAGGTTTAATGGACTCATAGTTCATGTGGCTGGGGAGGCCTCACAATCATGGTGGAAGGCAAGACAGAATGAGAGCCAAGTGAAAAGAAAAACTTACGGAACTATCAAAGCTCATGAGATTTACTCATTACCATGAGAACAGTATGAGGGAAACCTCCCCCATGATTCAATTATCTCTCACCAGGTCCCTCCCACAACACATGGGAATTATGAGAGCTACAACTCAAGATGAAATTTGGGTGAGGACACAGCCAAACTGTATCAGGTGGTGAGCAATTCATGAGCCACTCAAGAACACTTCTGAACTCATCAAATGGCTTCAATATTCTTTGTAAATGTGAATGGACTCTGGATGCAGTAGAAATGGGTTCTGCCATGGTAGAGGTGGGGACTTCTTCAGGACACATGGATGTCTCATTGGCTCAGCGCACTCTCTGGGACCTCTCTCTGGAAGGCTGGCTACACTTGATTATTCCCGGTACTGTGGCTGGCTCCCCAGTGAACCCTACAGCAACCAGGTTAGGAAATCTACAGGCTTTCCCACCGCAGGAAATGGGCGGATCCTGCTAGATCAGAGATCAGGCAGAGTTCTGTCTGGCCCTGGAGAGCTTTCCACAGGTAGTCAACCCTTTAGGTGGCAAAAGAGAAATGGCTGCATGTACCCAGACCCAAATCTGTTAGATTTCCAACGTTAAGCATAGAGTGCCCATATATTTTTTTTAATTTTAAAAGAGTGTCGTCATATAAGGCCAATTAAAGAAATAGTGTGGATCTTAAGTTTGAATTCAAAGGTCAAGCAATGAGAATAGATACTGCCTTGCTGTTGGAGTTTATAGATAATATTTGTCAATGTCTGTATCTAATTTTTAGTTGTCTAATATGGAGAAAATTCTGATGCCCACAGGTACATGATCACAATTTTTAAATAGTTAACCTTGCAAGATAAGAACCTAAAAAATATATGAAGTCAGCAATTTTGGGATACTTTTTAATGATTCAGGTGTAACAGAAGCTTTTAAGATAGGCACAAAAATAAGTCAACCTGTCAACACAAGCTATCATTTTTCTTGATCTCTAGTGTAAAATATATAATTGTGCACATTTTAAAAAAGTAATATATTTCACAATATATTGCAGAATGTTATTTCAACATGTAATCAGTATTATAAAGAATGGGATAATTGACTTTTTTCATTTCATACTAAACTTTGAAACCTGTTATGTATTTTACACAACATTTGCCAGGTCCCACTAGCTGCATTGAGCACTGAATAGCCACATGAGGCTACCATTTTGCCAGAGGCTTTATGTACATTATTATGGTTACTCCCCTCTGGAGTCTTTGGAGGTAAATATTGTTGTCTACATCTTACTGAGCTCCTAAAAATTACATAACCTGCTGGAGGTTGTTTTAGAGTTTATCAATGGAGGAGCCAGGATTAGAACCTAGTCTGCTAATCTTTAAAGGCTAATTTTTCTGTACTTCAGTGCATATTAGTTTGGTTAGTGTTTTCAAGGAGTTTTGGGCACACTAATTTTTTGAGTCAAAGGCTTGCTGACTAAGATGTGGTTTCATTGGAATGTTACCTGTAATGCAGGCTGGGGTGGGATCCTGATAAACCCATTGACTCATTTCATTCATTCACTTTTCATCAAGAAACCGGGATTTTAGAGAATAGATTTTACACCCCCTCATCTATAAAGCTTGTGTTCCCTGCCTGTAATAAAACAAATGCAGAAGAGCCAAAAATAGGTGGAGGACACAATTTGCAAATCTCAAAGGGGTGAATGTGGTGGTGCCTGGAGCCTAGGAAGACCTCATTCCTCCTCTGGAGACAGACGTGGCACCGTGTTTCCTTCATTTCCTTGATGCTGTGAGGAAGAGGGGTATCAGCCGAGGTGTTTCATGTCCCCACAAGAAGTCGCATGCCACATACTGTAGGATCCGTGCAGCCGATTGGCTGCACTTCCCGTGGCAGGTGGTGGGTGTTGTAGACAGGATGCCGTGTCCTGTTCAGGGAAGGAGGTGGTAGCAACCTCTGAGTCACATGATAGGAGCGAGGTGGAGCCCATCCTGCCTGGAAATGAAGTTGTCAGAGACTTCTCATAGTTGTGGGGGAAAATCCCACTCCACCATTATGTATAGTTACTGGTGCCTGTCGCATAACACGTAAAAGAAGGAAAGGAACACAGACTCATGTGGTAGAAACTGAGAAAAGTGACAGTAACTCTTGGTGTCCTTGCAGCATGTTCATACATAACCTAGTCACTGACTAAGAGGATGTTGAGTGTCCATTCTTCCTGCATCACTCCGTACTGCAGGAAAAGCTCAGGAGGTCTCCTAAGAGTCCAGGCTCGAAGCTCTCTACTGCTAAGTGCAACCCCATTGTCTTAGTTTATATCTTTAATGCTTTGATGCCAATCTAGAGAGCTAGATGCAGGTGTTTCCACCAAGTTGTTTATGGGGAAGCCCTCATTGTAAATTGAGAGTAACACAGGAGGATGCCCATCTTGGAATCCACCAGAAGTAATAACTTAATCACCTAGGACTGAACCTTTATCTTACACAACATTCCTCTTAATTTCAGATAATCAAGTTTAGCTATCAGAATCTTTGTTTTTTTTTTTAACCTACATAAAACTGAACATGAAGGATCTGCATCAAAATAAGTGTTTTATGACAGTGTGCACTAACTTGTTTATCTATTCAACAAATACAAAGTACCATAGTATGTACAAGCCACTGTGTTACATGCTGAGGTTATTGTAAAAAGTTAGAGGGTCTGATTTGAGCACAGATTCCAAAAGGAATTTCACTATAAGGAATTTAAAAGATATAGTGCTTAGAGAACCCTGAGGAACACTTGAGAACAGTGCAGCCTGGGGCTCGAGAAAGACTAACGGCAAGGCTGCATACCCTTTCCAGGAGTGAACCTTTAAGCTTTCTAGATTCATGGTTTCAAACCTTAAGCATGCATCAGATCCCATAGAGGGCTTATTACAACAGATGCCTGGGCCTCACCCCAGAGTTTCTGTTGTAAAGATCTGATGTGGGGCTGGAGAATTTGCATTTCTAGAAAATTTCCATGTGGTGCTGAGGCTGCTGGTTTGGGGATTGCACTGTTCCATAGAAATTGCTAGTAAAAACAGGACAATTAAGGACATTGGAAAGTAGATTAAGATAAGCATAACCATATGAGGCGAGTTCAAGATCAGAAACAACTGCCAGAGGGGAGAGTGCAGGCTGTCACCCACACTTCTTAAACCTCATTAGAAAATTCATTAATGAGAAGGAATCAGAGACTTAGGCCTGACTCCCTTGTCTGTCCCTGCTTGTTTTGTACATACACATTGACTGATACAATAGGATGCTGAGTTTTGCTCTGGAAGCTGTGAGACGTGGAAGGCTTGTACTGGTTCTCAGCAGAGGCAGCCAAGCCTTTGCTGCCCACTTCTCTCCCAGAATAGTGATGGGTTTTGCATGTCAGGGCCAAAACAAGCTGCCAGGTCCCTGGAAGACAATTTCGCTGCCAACATCTCTGTTTAAGAGGCCAGGCCCATTTAGGAAATTTGGCCTGGAGAGGCAAAAGAGGGATCTGTTATGGACTGAATGGCCCCTCTCCCCCGACCCAATTCATATGTTGAAGCCCTCACCCCCAGTGTGACTGCACTTGGAGTTGGGACCTTTTTAAGGTAACTAAGGATAAATGAGGTCATAAGGGTGGGCCCTAATCCAATAGGACTTGTGTCCTTATAAGAACAGTAAGAGACACTAGGATGCACATGCACATGGAGAGGCCACGTGAGGACACAGCAGGGAGGTGGCCTTCTGCAAGCCAAGGAGAGAGGTCTTGGGAGAAACCATCCCTGCAGGCACCTTGATCTTGGACTTCCAGCCTCCAGAACTGTGAGGCAATGAATTCCTGGTGTGTTTAAGCCACCTGGACTGTGGCGTTTTGTTCTGGCAGCCCAAGCAGAATTACACAGGGTCCAACCAAGGTGAAAGAGTGAGCCTCCTGAAGCTGGCAGTGAAGACAAGTTTAGAAGGGGGTTCTGCAAGTGGAGGCTTGTCCAGTTTGTCCTTCATCAGGTGATGGGACCTCGGAGAGGTGAAGTGTTTTGGGAAGTGAGCAGTCACAGAGGCAGATCCTATAGGCTGGAACAATGAGTGTTCCATGGAGTGACGCTCCAGACCTAGCTCCTGTTTCCAGATGACTTTAAAGCCCCAGAGGTTCTGGTGCAACCCTACAGGGAAGGAGCCATCCCCTAAACACTCTGTAGGTTAGATTCCTCAACATTCTAACCAGTGGGGGCTTGGAGCAGATTGGACCTGATTCTTAAAAATAATGTGCCACTTTTTGCCCTGAAGTTGTGAAGCAAACTCATATCTACTACACATTGTATATATAAATAGTAGGCTAAGCTTATAGCACTTTTTAAAACTTATTATTATGGAAAAAATTTAAATATATACAAAAATAATAGAAAGAATGGACCTCTGTGTATCCATCCCCCTAGGTCAAGTATTATCAATTTACAGCCATCTTTTGAATCTATTCTCCCACCCCACTATCCTCATGGCTTAGTTTGAAACAATACCCAGACGTTATAGCATTTATCTGTAAACGTTTCGGTATCCATTTCTAAATCCACTAAACCATTATTATACATTAAAAAACTAACAATAATTCCTTAATTTCATCAAATATTCATTATTCAAATGTACTTGATTGTCTCATGTTTTTTTGAAACAACATGTTTGAATCAAGATCTAAATAAATAAAACACATTGTAATTGGTTGATATATGCTTCTTTGAAAAAAAAAAATTAGGATTATTGATGCTCAAATGGTCCCAGCTTTGGCCAGTAGAAATCTCTTCACATTGGCTCTTGGGTGTTTTAGGTATGATGACAGTAGTCTTTGATAGCTTTCTTGCTTTCTGGTATGACAAGTTCCAGGATCATTTTGTTAATTTCCCACCTTAGCCCTGGAGTCAGCCATCTCTCCAGGAATTAGGATTCTTTTCATGGGAAATGGTATTTTGCAATCACAAGCTGGTGTTTGTGTTGCTTACTGCTGCAAAGGTCATTTTTCTTCATCTTTTCAATGTAAAGTTTTCTTTCTTTCTCTTTCTTTCTTTCTTTCTTTCTTTGCTTTTTCTTTCCTCTTTCTCTCTCTCTTTCTTTCTTTTCTTTTTTTTTGAGACAGGGTCTCCCTCTGTCATCCCAGGCTGGTATGCAGTGGCACCATCTTGTCTCACTGCAACCTCCACCTCCCAGGCTCAAGCAATCCCCCTACCTCAGCCTCCCTAGCAGCTGGGACTACAAGCACGGCCACCACATCCAGCTAATTTTTGAATTTTTTTTGAGAAACAGGGTTTCACTATGTTGCCGAGGTTGGTCTCAAACTCCTGGGCTCAAGTTGTCTGCCCGCCTCAGCCTTCCAAAGTGCTGGGATTATAGGCCATGAGCCAAAGCGCCTGGCCATTTTTTTTAAATGATAGAAAATGCATCATGAATTTATACTGAAATTGGAGGTGATAGTATTTTTCTGTAACCTCTTTCAATCTCATCATCTATATCTCCTTTCTCCCAAGGTCCCTCTTCCCAATAAGACCACCAACATCATGGGTTTGCCACAATACATACACCACAGGCTCAGAGTAACATCAGCACTATCACCAACCACCAACAATATGATGACTGAAAACAGTTTGAGGCTTGTTTAGGAGACGAGTTTGTTCAGTTTTTGTTTTTTCTTTTGTTCTTAGAGTGGTTATGCCACCAACTGAGTATTTCATGTTGGTTTGCATTTTTTAGGGATTGCTTTTTATAAATTTAACTTTGTTTTATTATTATGTAAAATATTACCTGGTTCTAAAGCTAAACCTACAAACAAAATCTAGTCAGAGTATTCAAGCTTCCCTCCCTTCTGCACCAGTGTCCACCTTATCTTTGTAAGTAACAATCCTTATTAGTTCTTTGTTTATCCTTCCTCTTAAAATATATATGAACAAATGTGTTTGTTTATTTGTGTTCACCTTTTGATGACCTTACTTTTCCCCACCTTGCTTTGTTTATGGAATAATATACCCTAGAGGCCACTCCATTGCTCACTTTTATAAAGATATTTTGCATTCCTTTTCTAAAACAATTTTTAGGTAAAATTTACATACCATGAAATTCACTCATCTGAAAGGTCCAGCTGGACAAGCGGTAGTATATTTTTAGAGTCATGCAGCCATTGCCACAATCCAGGAAGGCCCCTCCTGCCTCTTTGCATCCAACCCTCTGGTCTCAGTGAGCTGCTCTCTCTGCACACTGCTATGAACAGTTGCGCGGTATCCCTCTGGAGGGATGTATCATAGTTTTTTCAGCCAGCTTATTGATGGGCATGTGGCTGTTTCTAGTCTTTTACTAATTAAATAATCCTTCAATGAATGCCCTGGTGCACAGGTCTTGCTTAAATTTTTGCCATCATATCTTTGGAACAGATTCCTAGAAGAGTTTCTGAGTCAAATTGTAAATGAATATGTAATTCTTCTAAATAGTGCCAAATCCCCCTCTGAAGTATTTTATTCCCAGCAAAAAATGTTTGAATGTCTGTTTCACCACAGCCTCACCAACAGCATATGTTGTTAAACTTAGAAATTGTATCTCAATATAGTTTCCATTTGCATTCATCTTACTGTCAAGGAAGTTGAGCATTTTTTTCATGAGCCTAAGAGCCAACGCATGATGTTGGTAGTGTTATTGGGAACAGAGACCCTCAGGATGGGAGAAAGGAGATAGAGACAATGAGACTGAAAGAAGTTAAAGAAAAATTCTATCATCCTGAATTTCAGTATAAATTCATGATGCTGTAAAAAAAAATCATTAAAATGCATCCCCACTGGAGGAGGCAGGGAAGCTTGAATAATCTGACTAGGTTTTGCTTTTTCTGTGAGATGTCAGCTCCTATCTCCTGCCCATTTCTCTAGTCTTTTTCTTGATTATTTTTAGAAACTGTTTATACATTAGGAATAGATTTCAGGCAGGAGAATAGGTCTGGAGACAGGGAACTTAAGACCAATTCGTGCTAACTTCCTAAAGCTGAATCAAGGGAAAACACCAAGGTCTGGGGGCAGGGAATCTGAGGCCAATTCCTGCTGACTCCCTAAAAGGGAAAACACCTGGGGCTGGGGGCAGGGAACCTAAGGCCAATTAACTCCAAGATCCAAAAGCTAAACCAAAAGGAAAACCCCCATCTCCCCACACCAAAGTAGCAAAAGATGAAAGGCTACTCTCCCTACAACCCTCCCCTTTCTACCACGTCTCAAATGGAAAGGGAGAGTGCCGTGGGATGGCTGTGAGCCAAGCAGGGGCCATCCCTTCATCTGCTTAGGGCACCAATTCACCTCAGCCTTTAATAAGCCACGGACCCAATCCTTTAGATAAGCGGTAGCACATAGGGACTGTATTAGTCTGTTCTCACTCTGCTATAAAGAATTGCCTGAGACTGGGTAATTTATAAAGAAAAGAGGTCTAATTGACTCACAGTTCCACATGGCTGGAGAAGCCTCAGGAAACTTACAATCATGGCAGAAGCAGAAGCAGTCATGTCCTTCTTCACATGATGGCAGGAAGGAGAAGAATGAATGTTGAGCAAAGGGGGAAGCCCCTTATAAAACCATCAAAACTTGTGAAAATTCACTCGCTATCATGAGCACAGCAGCATGGGGATGACTGCCCCCATGATTCAGTTACCTCCCACTGGGTCCCTCCCACGACACCTGGGGATTATGGGAGCGACAATTCAAGATGAGATTTGGGTGGGGACGCAGGCAAACCGTATCATTCCACCCTCGGTCCCTCCCAAATCTCATGTTCTCATGTTTTAAAACACAATCATGCCTTCCCAACAGGTCCCCAAGGTATTAACTCATTTCAGTACTAACCCAAAAGTCCAAGTCCATAGACTCATCTGAGATAAGGGCAAGTCCCTTCCACCTATGACCCTGTAAAATCAAAAGCAAGTTAGTTACTTCCTAGATACAATGGGGATACAGGCATTGGGAAAAATATGTCCCTTTCAAAGGGAGAAATTGGCCAAAACAAAGGGGCTAGAGGCCCTTTGCAAGTCCAAAATCCAACAGGGCAATCATTAAGCCTTAAAGTTCCATAATGATCTCCTTTGAGGCCATGTCTCACATCCATGGAATGCTGTTGCAAGAGGTGGGCTCCCATGGCCTTGGGCAGCTCCACTCCTGTGGCTTCACAGGATACAGGCCCCCTCCTGACTGCTTTCACTGGCTGGTGTTGAGTGTCTGCAGCTTTTCCAGGCACATGGTGCAAGCTGTTGGTGGATTTATCATTCTGGGATCTGGAGGACGGTGGCCCTCTTCTCACAGCTCCACTAGGCAGTGCCCCAGTGGGGACTCTGTGTGGGGGCTTCCACCCCACATTTCCCTTCTGCACTGCCCTAACAGAGGTTCTCCATAAAGGCTCTGCCCCTGCAGCAAACTTTTGCCTAGATACCCAGGCATGTCCATATATCCTCTGAAATCTAGGTGGAGGTTCCCAAACCTCAGTTCTTGACTTCTGTGTACCTGCAGGCTCAACACCATCTGTAAGCCACCAAGGCTTGGAGCTTACACTCTCTGAAGCAAGGACCTGAACCATAGGTTGGCCCTTTTTAGTCACATCTGGAGCTGAAAAACCTGGGACACAGGGTACCATGTTCTGAGGCTGCATAGAGCAGGGGGGCTCTGGGCCCAACCCACAAAATCATTTCTTCCTCCTAAGCCTCTGGACCTGTGATGGGAGGGGCTGTCATGAAAGTCTCTGACATTCCCTGGAGACATTTTCCCCATTGTCTTGGTGATTAACATTTGGCTCTTCATTATTTATGCAAATTTTTGAAGCTGGCTTGAATTTCTCCCCAGAAAAAGGGTTGTTCTTTTCTATCACATCATCAGGCTGCAAATTTTCCAAAAACATTTATACCCCACTTCTTGAATGCTTTGCTGCTTAGAAATTTCTTCTGCCAGAGACCTTAAATCATCTCTCTCGAGGTCAAAGTCCCACAGATCTCTTAAGCAGGGGCAAAAAGCTGCCAGTCTGTTTGCTAAAGCATAGCAAGAGTCATCTTTGCTCCAGTTCCCAACAAGTTCCTCATCTCCATCTGAGACCACCTCAGCCTGGACTTCATTGTACATATCACTATCAGCATTTTGGTCAAAGCCATTCAACAAGTCTCTAGGAAGTTCCAAACTTTCCCACATTTTCCTGTCTTCTTCTGAGCCCTCCGTTTAAAACTGTTCCAACCTTTGCCTGTTACCCAGTTCCAAAGTCACTTTTACATTTTCAGGTATCTTTATAGCAGCGCCCACTCTCTGTGGTACCAATTTACTGTATTAGTTTGTTCTCACACTGCTATAAAGAAATACCCAAGACTGGGTAATTTATAAAGAAAAGAGATTTAATTGACTCACAGTTCTGCATGGCTGGGGAGGCCTTAGAAAACTTACAATTATGGTAGAAGGGGAAGCAAACACATCCTTCTTCACATGATGGCAGCAAGGATAAGTGCTGAGAAAAGAGGGAAAAGCCCCTTATAAAACCATCAGATCTCATGAGAACTCACTATCACAAGAACAGCAGCATGGGGGTAACCACTCCCATGATTCAATTACCTCCAACTGGGGATTATGGGTACTACAATTCAAGATGGGATTTGGGTGGGGACACAGCCAAACCGTATCAGGGACCTCAAAAGGAGTACTTAAAACCCAGAAAACTTTGTAACCAGGCCCTTGAGCTGCTTGCTCGGGCCTACTCCCACCCTGTGGTGTGCTTTCTTGCTTTAATAAATCCTTGCTTTTGTTGCTTCATTCCTGTGTTTCATTCGTTTGTTACTTTGTGTGTTTTGTCCAATTCTTTGTTAAAAATGCCAAGGACCTGGACAACTCACACTCAAGGCCCTCCTTCCAGTAACAATTTTATTGTGTGTTATACATTGCAAGTAGTTACCCCAGTCTGTTATTTATCCATTTTATTTTCTAAAATTATTTTTTTATGTGAAATAAAAAGATTTTGTTTTTATGTAGTCAATAATCTTTTCCCTTATTTCATCTGGATTTTAAGTCAGTAGAAGCTTCCTCAATTCTGGTTAGAGAGGAATTGGCTCATATTTGCTTCTAGTGTTGGTATGGTTTCTTTCTATCTTTTTTAACATTCATTTTATGATTTGTTTTTATTGATTGTGATACACAGTTTGGGGAACAAATTTGATTTTATATTTTCCATATGACTTTCTTAATAGCTTATATATTAGAAAGCCCATTTTAGTCCCACTGATTTAAGGTGACATCTTTATCCTATACTACATTTGTTTATGTAATTGGGGCTATTTATGAACCTTCTATTTTGTTCCGTTGGTTAGTCAATCATGCACAAATGTCACAGTATTTTAATGATAGGGACTTTATATCTTAAACTGCTGTTTTCTTTGATTAATCACCTTTAAATATTTATTAACTCCCTATTAAGAAAAAGAAGGCTTTGGCTAATTTATCCCTCATTTCTTATTCCTCTTCCCAACTTTTCACAATTATATATTTTTATTATTTTATTGGTTACATTTTAAATTAAAGGTTGATTCTTAAAATAACATTTTGATATCAACTTTATGGAGGCATAATTTACATACAATAAAATGTAACCATTTAAAATGTACGTTTTGATGAGTTTTGACAACATATACCTATGTAACTACCAAGACTATAGAAATAAACAACATGTAGACATTGTTTTCAGTTGCATCCAATTTAGTCAGCCTGTGCTAACTCCTCATGGAATGAGATGTGTGCATTAGCCCCACACCCCCTCCCTTTGCCACTTCTTTCCCTTTTCCACCTCTCAAATTCTAACTTTATGATTTCACACTTGATAACTTTTGAATTTTGTTCTGTTACTATATTTAAAGTTATTTAAAGATATTTATATGAAAGTTGCAAGTAGATACATAGTATTTACATTATTCTAATTCTACATATTATTCTCTACCTAGTCAAGGGGTTGCTAGAATTACCTTTCCCTCTACAACCAAACGTTATGATCTCTATACCACTGAGAGGAAGGTATATCTGATATCTGGATCAAATGAATGATCTTTTCCTTTATTTTAATTGCTCAAATCTTGGTTGACATTTTAAGCATGGTTTTTCTAAGTAGCATGTTTTTTCCAAGTAGCATGTTTTTCCTAGAATCCTGAAGTAGTTTTAAAAAAGATATCTTCATCTTATCTTCAAAATCATCCAATTTTTCACTGATATTACCCATTGAATGCAATCCACTTTTCTTAGCAACATCCCTTCTAGACCACTGCCACTTCCTGTTCCAGCCTGGATTGGTTGCTATCTAGGACTGCTGGCCAGATATCATTCTGGAAATTCCCTTCACTGATCACTTCTCCTCCCCCTACCTGGGTTAGATTTCAAGTGTGTTCTGAATTTCACTTCCTTCTCTTTTTTTGTTTTCCTTCCTTATTTTCTTGAAGCACATCCTTGAGTAACTTCCGTAGAAAAGGTACATGGGAGGAAAACTTTAAGTCCTGTCTTTCTGAAAATGTCTATATTCATTCCATTTCACATAATTAATTGATAGTTTACCTGGGAATAAAATTATATATTAACATAAGCTTCCCATAGAATTGTGAAGATATTGTTCCATTGTCTTCTATCACTTGATTGGTGCTGACGTGAGGATTCCTACCAGAAAGACTTATTACTTTGTACTTGGAAATTTTGCCCTCTGGAAGCATCTAGCATTAAAAATAAACATCTTTGGTGTTCTGAATGCTTTCATTACATTTGGATTCATTTATTGGATTTTTTTCAATTATCCTAGTTGACATTTAGTAGTCTCTTTTAACCTGAAGTATTCTGATCTATCCCTACTTTCACTAACTCTGACACTGCAGGATCTCCTATTAGTTGGTTGTTCTACCTGGTAGATTGACTCTTTTTCTCTTTATCTTTTTGACTAAAGTTTATGACACTGTCTTTCTGCTTGTTTACTGAAAAATCTTGACTTTGACTTTCAGCCTGTCTACTCATTTATGTTTTCATTTGGTAATCATAATTTTATTTCTTTAAGCTCCAGAAAAGGCATCAGGTAATGATAGAAATACATGTTCCAGACCACCAAAAACAATTAGAAATGCTGTAAAAAATCCCCACCCCTAAAAAAATTTATTTGAAAGCATTGGAGAGTCACTCATGAGGACTGGACTTAAGGGGATACCAGAGGGAAGGAAGGGCATAGGAGTGAGCCCTACATTCCGTAGTGTGTCTACCTGTGAGAGGTTTGCTAATTTGAAAGTGGTGTGGGCCAAAGAGCAGGAAATAGCAGCTAATAAGCCTGGGAACGTGAGTTCAGCTTTCAGTAGCCTTGTAGTAAGTGAGGAAACAAAACATAGATGTCAGAGCTCCCAAGGAGGCCAAGACTTGGAAGTCTAAGATCCCAGAGAAAGAGAAGCCAAATTGAGACGAACCAACATTTTTTTCCACCATGGACAGTATGAATTCAAGAGCTAAAAACCTGGAAAATAATGAAGAGTTTTGGTAGTCACATAAGTCTGGGGAGGCAAAACTTTAGTGAAGAGCCCACTTAGAAGGTGGGGCTCTGGTATATACCCCAGGTTTTCTATTAATATCATGAAAAGGGTGCAACCTAGGATTAAAGGGCAAGGCAGAAAAAAGCCAGCTCTCCTTCAGAATTAAAACCTAATTTTGAATCAACTCAGTCTCAGACTGGATAAGGTGTCCCACCTCTACTTTAACTGCCTGCCAGGGGCCAAAATCGATTCTCTGTGGAGGATGATAATGTTAGCGAACCTCAAATTTTGTCTATAATTTTTCATATACAATATCCAGCATGCAATAAAAAATTATCAGACATCCCAAGGAATGGCAAAAATTAACAAGTAAGAAAATACTCTAGAAAGAAACCTGCAGGTGATACAGATACTGGAGTTATATTGGAATATTTAATTATTATGTTAAAATAAGTGAAAAGATTGAAAATTTATGCAGAGAAATGTAATCAATGAGATAGAATCAAATGGAAATTTGATAACAGAAATTACTGTTAAAGTTTCAGGCCAGGTGCAATGGCTCACGCCTGTAATCCCAGCATTTTAGGAGGCTGAGACGGGGAGATCACGAGGTCAGAAGTTCGAGTGAAACCCCGTCTCTACTAAAGATACAAAAAATTAGCCAGGCATGGTGGTGTGCACCTGTAATCCCAGCCACTCGGGAGGCTGAGGCAGAGAATTGCTTGAACCCGAGAGGTGGAGGTTGCAGTGAACCGAGATCACACCATTGCACTCCAGCCTGTGCGACACAGGGAGACTCCATCTCAAAAACAAAACAAAACAAATCAAAACAAAACAAAACAAAACAAAACAAAACCAACAAAGTTTCGTGAATGTGAAAAGACAACCTGTAGAATGGAAGAAAATATTTGCAAGTCATATATTTGTAAAGGGGTTAATATCCAGAATATACAAAGAACTTTTATAACTCAACTACAAGGCACAAACAAAAAATTGTTTAAAAAACAGGCAAAGAAATTTAATAGATATTTCTTCAAAACTGATACACAAATGGCCAAGAAGCATGTGAAAAAGTGTTTAACACTGCTAATCTTTACAGAAATGCAAATCCAAACCACAATGAAATACCACTTCTCACACATTAGTATGGCTATTCTTAAAGCAAAAAATAACAAATTTGGGCAAGGATTTGGAGAAGTTGGAATACTCGTGCACTGTTGGTGGAAATGTAAAATAGTTCAGCCACTAAAGAAAACGGCTTGGCAGTTTCTTAAAAACTTAAGCACATAATTAGCATATGATCCAGCAATTCCACTTCTGGGTACATACCCAAAAGAACCAAAAGCAAGCTATCAAAGGAATATTTGTACACCCATGTTCATAGCAGCATTATTCACAGTAGCCAAAATGCAGAAGCAACCTAAGTGTCCATCAACAGATGAATGTATAAACAAAATGTGGTCTATCCAACAATGGAATATCATTCAGCCTTAAAAAGGAATGAAATTCTGGCTCATGTTACAACATGGATGAACCTCAAGGACACTATGCTAAGTAAAATAAGCCAGTTACAAAATGACAATTAATGTATGATTTCACTTATATATGGTGTAGTCAAATTCATAGAGGCAGAAAGTAGAATGGTGGTTGCCAGGCGCTGGGGGAGGAGAAAATGGAGAGTTGTTCAATGGTTATAGTTTCAGTTCTGCAAGATGAATGGTTATAGTTTCAGTTCCTGGAGGTTTGGTTGCACAACAATGTGAATGTACTTAACATTATTGAACACTTACAAATAGTTACGATGATAAGTTTTGTTGTATGTTTTAAAAAGAAAATAAATTAAAAAGTTAAAACTCACCTCTACAGATGGGCTTAACAGCAGATTAGGTATAGCAAGATAAAGGAGTAGTGAGCTGAAAGCAAGGTCAATAGAAAATATACAGAATGAATCACAGAGAGAAATAAAGAGTGGAAAACACAGAAAAGAGAATAAGAGACATATGAGACACAGTCCCAAAATCTAACATTGGTGGATACTGAAGTCTCAAAAGAAGAGGAAAATGAAAATGGGGCAAAAGGTATATTTGAAGAGGCTTTAGACAATGATTTTTCTAAACTGATAAAAGACATTAAGCGATAAATTCAGGAAGCTCTATAATCCTTAAGTTGGACAATAAACAAAGAAACACACACATGAAAACATCATTAAGAATTTGCTGAAAATCACTGATCCTTTTACTGTCTACATAGGTTTGACTTTCCCAGAATATCACAGAGTTGGAATCACACAATACATAATCTTTTCAGACTGGTTTATCAGCAATTTCAGGTTCCTCAATGGCTTTTTGTGGCTTGATAGCTCATTTTCATATTGGGGAATAATGTTCCATTGTGTGGATGGGCCACATTTTCTTTATCTGTTCATCTCTTGAAGAACATTTGGGTTGTTTTCAATTTTTGGCAATTATGGATAAAGCCCTGTAAATATTTCCGTGTAGATTTTTGTGTAGACATTAAGTTTTCAACTCATTTAAGTAAATACCAAGAAATATGATTGCTGGATAGTAAAGTATGTTTAACTTGTAAAATCAAAAACAAACAGAAAAAAACCACTACCAAACTATTTTCCGAAGTGGCTGCACTATTTTGCTTTCCCACCAACAACGACTGAGAGTTCCTCTTGCTCCACATCCTCACCAGCATTGGTCTTCTTGGAGTTTTGGATTTAGCCATTCTAACAGGTGTGAGGTTGTTTTTCATTGTTAATGGTATCCTGTTTCTGAGTTCCACATATTTATGTTTTGTATATAAAAATGTGATTGATAATTATGTGTTTATCTTGTATCCCACAACATTTCTGAATTTACTACTCCCAGGAAATTTTAGTGTAGATTCATTGGGGTTTCCATGTAGTCAACTCTGTTATCTGCAAATAGGAACAGTTTTATTTCTTCCTTTTAAAACTGTATGCCTTTTATTTCTTTTTATAGCCTAACAGCAGTGATTAGAGTTTTAGTACAATGCTGAACAAGAGTAGTGAGAGTGGATATCCTTACCTTGCCCTTAATTGCAGGGGAAAATATTCAGCCTTTCGCCATTAAATACAATGTAGTTTGTAGATATTTGTAGGCATTCTTCATCAAGTTGGATTAGTTTCTCTCTATTTCTATCTTATTGAGAATTTTAATCACAAATGGGTATTGCTAAAGCAGTGGTTAGAGAAAAAAATAGGTAGTATTAAAGCTTCTATTAGAAAAGAAAGTTTCTTCCACCCTATTGAACTAGAAATATTAGAGCAAATTAAACCCAAAGCAAGCAAAAGGAAAGAAATAATAAGGGTAGGAGCAGAAATCAATGAAATGAAAAACAGAAAGAATAGAAAAAAATAAATACAGCAAAAGGCTGGTTTATTGAAAAAAATTAATATAATGTATAGACTTCTAGCAATACTGACCAAGAAAAAAAAAGAAAGAACACACAAATGATCAATATTAAGAAATAGTGGATATCACTAGAAACCTCACAGATATTAGAAGCATAATCAAGGAATTTTATAACCAAAATATGATCATACATTTGAAAACCTATTCAAATTTGGGTTTTTGAATTCAAAATTCAAAAAAACCAATTTTTTGAAAGACAAAAGCTACCAACATTCAAGAAGAAATATAACAACCTGAATGGTCCTATATCTACTAAAGAAATTGAACTTGTTGTTGAAAAATCTTTCCACAAACCAGAACAAAGACTAAGAAAAAAACTGTACAAAACTATACACCCAAACATTATAAATAGGTCAAGATCAAATTCTAAAAATAAACAAACATAAAAACAATGCTAAACATAATTCTACAATTCTAAACAATTTACAATTCTAAACAATTCTAAAAATAAACAAACATAAAAACTGTAAATCGCCCTCATGAAGACAAAAGAGAAACAGGAATGAGAAACAGAGGATACAAACAAAAAACAAGTAATAAAATGGCACACAATAGCTCTAATATAAATTACTACCTTAAGTATAAATAATCTAGTTTTACTATTAAAATATAGGGACTGGGGCCAGGTACGGGGCTCACACCTCTAATCTCAGCACTTTGAGAGGCCAAGGTGGGAGAATCACCTGAGGTCAGGAGTTTGAGACCAGCTTGGCCAACATAGTGAAACTCAGTCTCTACTAAAAATACAAAAACTTGCTGGTCATGCTGGTGGGCACCTGTAATCCCAGGTACTCGGGAGGCTGAGGCAGGAGAATCGCTTGAACCCAGGAGATGGAGGTGGCAGTGAGCCAAGATCACGCCACTGCACTTCAGCCTGGGTGAGTGACAGAGCTGGGGATTCATTTGTGACGTATATATATGGATTGGTAGATTGTATAAAAAACCATGACTCCACTGCAGTTTACCCTTGAACAACATGTGTTTGAACTGTGTGGGTCCATTTATAAGTGGGTTTTTCCAATACAAGTTACACCAAACGTGCTTTCCTCTCCTGCTTTCCCTCCTAACCTCTTCTACCTCCTCCACATCTGCCACCCCTGAGACAGCAAAACCAACTCCTCTTGTTCTTCCTCCCTGGCCTACTCAACATGAAGACAATACAGATGAAAATCTTTATGGTGATCCACTTAATAAATGGTAAACATGTTTTCTCTTCTGATTTTCTTAATAATATTTTCTTTTCTCTAGCTTACTTTACTGTAAGAATATAGTAGATAATACATATAACATACAAAATATGTGTTAATTGACTGTTTAGGTTATGGATAAGGCTTTAGTCAACAGTAGGCTATTAGTAAAGTTTTGAGGGAGAAAAGTCATATGCAGATTTTCAACTGTGAGAGTTACGTCGGCCCCTAACCCTCGCATTGTTCAAGGGTCAACTGTATATGTGTTTTTTAAAAACTCACTTCAAATGCAATGAAAATGGTAGGTGGAAAGTAAAAGGTAGACAAAGATATACATGCAAACATTAATCAAAATAAAGAAAGACTAGTTATGTTAGTATCAGATAAAGTAGGCTTTAGATCAAAGAAAGTTACTAAGGACAAGGATTAGGCACATTACATAATGATAAATGGATCAATCTGCCTAGAAGACAAAATGATCCTAAATGTGTATGCACGAAAAAACCATAGCCTCAAAATACTTCAAGCAAAAATTGATACAGCTGAGAACAATAGAGAAATAGACAAAGCCAAAATTATAGTTGGGGATTTCAACACCACCCCCCTCAGAAACTGGTATAACTAATATACAGAAAATCAAGCATATAGAACAACTAAACAATATTATCAATCAACAAGATCCAATCAGTCTGTACACAATACTCCAGCCAATAACAGCTGAATACACAATCTTATCAAAACCTGTGGAACACTCACCAAGATAGATCATATCCCGGGTTGTAAAATTCAATTCAATAATTCACTTCAACTCAATGATTTAAAATAATTGAAATCATAGAGAGTGTGTTTTTTTCACCATGTAAAAACAAACTAGAATCAATAACAGAAGATAATAGAAAAATCTCCAAACATTTGGGAATTAAACAACGTGCTTCTAAATAATCTGGTGGTCAAAAAGTCTCACAGAAATTTTTAAAAAATACGTTGAACAAAATAAAAATGAATATACAAAATATTGAATTATGTGGAACACGGTTAAAGCAGTGCTGGGAGAGACACTAATAGCAGTAAATATTTGCATTAAAAAAGGAAGTAAGATTTCAAATCAACAATCTAAGTTGCTAGAAACTTAGAAATAGAGAAACCAGAAATAGAGAGCAAAATAAACCCAAAGCAAGTGGAAGAATGAAAATAACAAAGACAAGAAATCAATTACATTCAAAACAGAAAAACAACCAAAAAAAGTCAATGAAACAAACTAGTTCTTTGAAAAGATCAATAACATTGACATACTTTTGGCAAGACTGACAGAGAAAAAGAGAGATAGCACAAATTGCCAATATCAGAAATAAATGGGATATTAGTACATATCCAGCAGTGAGTAACATGATAAGAGAATACTAAGAAAAACTCTACACTTAGTAATTCAGCATTTTGGAATAAAATAGACCAATTACTTGAATTGCACAAATTACTAAAACCTCATGGAATAGGAAATAGATTATTTAAATAGGCTTATAACTAATAAATAAATTGGATTAATTGTTAAAAATAAATGAGATCATCAAGGTCACAGGATATAAGATCAACACAGAAAAGTCAAATGTGATTCTTTATGCTAGCAAAGAACACATGAAAACCAAAATAAAAACACAATACCATCTACAATCTCAAAAAAGACAAGTACTTAGGTATAAATCTGGCAATTCATGTAGAGAACTCCTATGCTGAAAACTATAAAGTGCTAAGGAAAGAAATCAAAGATGATGTAAGTCACTGGAGAGGTGTACCATGTTCATGAGCTAGAGGGCATCAACATAGTAAAGATGCCCATTTCCCCTGAATTTGCACATAAGTTTAATGCAACTGTATCAAAATGCCAGGAAGATGTTTTTGTAGATATAGACAAGCTTATTATAAAATGAACATGGAAAGGCAAAGGAGCTGGAACTGCTAAAATAATTATAGAAAAAAGTATAAAGTACCAATTTATCTGATTTTAAGACTTTCCATATAGCTATAGTCATCAAGACAGTGTGTTGTTGACATAGAAATTGACACAGATCAATGGGACAGGATAGACAACCTAGAAATCAAGTCACACAATTATAACTGCCCAACCTATTTTTGACAAATGTACTAAAAACTGTGCAATAATGGAAACATACCCTTTTTCAACAAATGGTGCTAGAAAAACTGGACATCCATAGGCCAAGAAAAAAAAATTCTCAAACAACCACACTGCTTATACAAAGTTAACTCAAAATGTATTGTGAATGTGTACATAAAACATAATATAACAATACTTTTAGAAGAAAATATAGGAGAAAACCTTTGAGATCTGGGGCTAGATGAAGTGTTCTTAAACATGACACCAAAGCAGGATCCATGAAAGAAAAAATTGATAAACTGAACTTCATCAATATAAAAACTGCTCTTTGAGAGACCTTCTTAAGAAAGAGAATACAAACTTCAGAATGGGAGATAATATTTGTAAACCATATATTAGGCACAGAATGCATATCTAAAATACATAAAGAACTCTCAACAGTAAAAAACACCTAACATCCAGTTAGAAAATGGGCAAAAGACATGAAGAATCATTTAACCAAAGAAGATATACACATGGCAAATAAGCACATGAAATAAGGTTTAATATTATCAGCCACTAGGAGACAAATGAAAACCCACAATGAGATAGCACTACACATCTGTTAGAATTAAAATACAAAATAGCAACAATACCAAATGCTAGTGAGAAAAAGGAGAAACTGATCTCTCATATATTACTGGTAGGAATGTAAAATGGCTATAGCCACTCTGGAAAATAGTTTGGCCATTTCTTAAACACAAAAATCAAAGCACACATTTGCCATTATGACCCAACCCTTGAGCTTGTGGGCATTTCTTCCAAAGAAAAAAACCCTTATGTACACACACACACACAAAGTCATACACCAATGTTCATAGCAGCTTTATTGAAACAACCTGCCTGTCCTTGTTGAACTGTGATGTGTACATACCCCGAAATGCTATTCAGTAATAAAAAGGAAGACAAAGAAGACCCTATGGTTGCATACAACAACTTGTATGGGTCTCAAGGGCATTACACTGAGTGAAAAACAAAGCCGATCTCAAAAGATCGTACACTGTCTGATTCCATTTATTTGACAGTTTCCAAGTGACAAAATTCTGGAAATGGAGACCACAACAATGGATGCCAGGACTGAGGGGTGTGGGCGTAGGTGGGTGCGACCATAAAGAAACATGAGGGACACCTTTACAGAGCTGACACCATTCTTGTTTCTTGATTGTGGTGGGTGATTACATGAATCTACACATTTAACAAAATTCATAGAAGTATACACACACCCATACATGCAAATAAGTACATGTAAAACAGAAATCTGAATAAATTGTACCAATGTCAATCTCCCAGTTTTGATATTGTTATAATTAAATAAGGTCTTATGAATGGGAAAAACTGACTTGAAGGGTACAGAGGATCCCTCTACTATTTTCGCAACTTTCTGTGAATCTATAATTATTTTAACATAAAAAGTAGTTAAAAATCAATTATATTTCTATTCAGCAGCAAAGATTCCAAACTAAAAATAATTAAATATACTATTTATGACAGCTTAAAAAAACCCTATGGGTAATTCTAATGAAAAATGTGCACAACCTGTACACAGAAAACTTTTAAAGAATTTTAAAGAACTAAGCAAATAAAGGGATACACTATGTTTGCTATCCAAAAATGTAAAAGACATCAATTTTCTCCAAATTGATCTATGCAGATTTAATGCAATCTCAATCAAAATCCAAGCATGATTTTTTTGGAAGTGACAAACTGACTTTAAAATGTATATTGAGATGCAGATAGGAATATTCAAGATAATGATGAAGATGAAAAATTGGAGTATTTCCACTCCACGTATCAAAACTTATTTTAAAGTGACAGTGTGGTATTGATGCAAGAATAGACAATTGGACCAAAGAAGTAAAAGCAAATCCAGAAATAAACTCACACATATACGGACACTGAAATTTATGACAAAGTTCCAAAGCAACAGGGAAAGAGTGTTCTTTTCAGTAAATGGAACTGAGCCACTTTTATATCCACATGTGAAAAAATAAATATCCACCCTTACCTCACATGGTATGCAAAGTCAATGTTGTTCTATATGCGAAAGGTAAGACAATAACAATCCTAAAATACAAGACAAATGAATATACTTTGAGTTTGGGGAAGGTAAAGATTTCTTCAACACAATATGAAAAGCATTATGTATTATTTTCTTGAGCTCTTTATAGATGTGTATTCTTTTTACATAGCATCGTGTTCTTGTTTTATGCATGTATGTCTTCTCCATGGTGATATAAATTAAGACTTTTTAACTTATGTTTCTTGATTTTCCAGGTTCACTTTTTTGTTTACTTTTTCTCACTCTGGTGTCCACATATATCTGATGAGTGTAGGTTTTCCTAGGATTAGATTGCTTATAGGTGGTTGGTGTAAGTTTCCTCTGCTGTGGTGCAAGTAGGTTTGTTTCCTCATTAGATCTGAATGGGACAGCCAAAGAGGAGCTCTGGGTACATGGCTAGATGACAGCCCTTTGGCTGGGAATCTCTAAAATGGCAGGATTCCTATACCACCATCTCATTCCCACCCAACTGGGTCCATTTCTCTAGAGGTGAGCTCGTCGACTTCTTTGCCTGGTGATAAACACTGGATGGCCAGTCCCTTGGCACCTACCGCCTCTGGGTCGGAGCTCCTGAGTTTCTCCAGGAAGATCTCCCTGGCCCCCCATTGCCCCTTTTGCATACAACCTTGTCTCCAGCTACCTCCACTCAACTTCTTCCAACATCATTCTCTTAACCACTTTTCTCCTCCCGGAAGCATGTAAAGTCCTCTGAAGACCACTCCCTCTATTCATTCCATATATATATGTAATGGTAATGAGTGAAGAAAAACAGATGTTTTCAGTCTATCCTCTTGAAATCTTTGTTTCACTAGCCGAATCTAATGTTTGTCAAAATTATAGTGTCCTGTTAACATCCAAGTGGAAATATATTTAGAAACAGTATTACAAAGAGATTTGAGGAGATTATGGGAAGGATGATCAATCTGACTCTCTTTTATCTATTTTATTTTATTTTTTGAGACAGAGTCTCACTCTGTCACCTACGCTAGAGTGTCACCTAGGCGGGATTATCAGCTCACTGAAACCTCTGCCTCCCGGGTTCAAGCAATTCTCCTGCCTCAGCTTCCCAAGTAGCTGGGATACAGGCACCTGCCACCACAACCGGCTAATTTTTTTTATCTTTAGTAGACACAGGGTTTCGCCATGTTGACCAGGCCAGTCTTAAACTCCTGAACTCAGGTGATCCACCTGCCTCAGCCTCTCAAAGTGCTGGGATTGCAGGCATGAGCCACCGCGCCCAGACAACTCCATTCTCTTTAGGGCAAGAAGACTGGTTCGGCTTCAGAACTTCCACAAATGATTGCCAGCTCACCTATTTGCTTATCACCCCTCTACCCTGGAAGAGCAGGACACTTGGCCTCCTTAGAGAGTGTGATCTCAGCCTGCCAGCTGTGTAATCCGGACCAAAATCCAGGATGAAAAGAAACAGCCCAAAGGAAGAGCCTCTAATACAGTGTTTCCCAAACATCTTCTGTGAAACACCATTTCTGCTGGATGTTAATAGGTTTTCACCAGCAAAAGTCTTATGATTAACCAAATGCAGAGTTGCATGTCCAAATGTCTGAAAAGCAAAGCCTCATAGGCACCAGCCTGTTTCACCTGGATGAAACCAGCCTTTCCCCACAGTATTTGACACAGGAATATTTATGGAGGGGCTTTTACCAGACACACAAATAAAATGCAAGTCTCCATTTGTTACCCAATGCTGTTGGGAAAAAAAATCATCCCTTATGATCCTGACTGTCTGAAACACTCCACTTAGCAAGTGTCTCAGAATTGTGCGAAGGACTGGGTGGAACTTGCACCTTTTCCCTTCTGATGAAGACGGCCGTGTAACTTGTTCCCCTTTTTGCTCAAGGAAACTCTGAGTCAAAGCTGATCTTCAGTCACAGCACAGTTCTCTGTCTCTGCAATTAGTGTACTTGCTTCCTTCCCCTTTCCATACTCTTACTGTTTTGATTTTATTTAACCTTCCTTTACTATGACCTTTGGTAAATCACTTCGAAAATGTTTTAAGGGATTGGGTGTGGTAGCTCACACCTGTAAACCCAACACTTTGGGAGGCCAAGGCGGGAGGATCACTTGAGGCCAGGAGTTCAAGACCAGCCTAGGCAACAAAGTGAGCCGCCATCTCTACAAAAAATTAAAAAAATAAGTCAGGCCTGGTGGGCCACACCTATAGTCTCAGCTACTGAGAAGGCTGAGGTGAGAGGATTGCTTGAGTCCAGTAGACAGAGACTGCAGTGAGCTATGACTGTACCACTGCACTCCAACTTGGGAAACAAAGCAAGACCCCATCTCTTAAACAAAAAGTTTTAGGCCAGACAGGATGGTTCAAGCCTGTAATCCTAGTGCTTTGGGAGGCTGAGACAGGAGGATCACTTGAGGCCAGAAGTTCTGAGACCAGCCTGGGCAACATAGCCACACCCCTATCTCTACAAAAATAATTTTTAAAAAAGATGTTTTAGAAATAATCATAGTCTAAGTGTATTTCAAGGGGAAAATATGGTTAAGAAAACCTGTGACATTATGACAGTTAGTGTTGACCTATGGTGATGTAATATCTATGTCACCTGGTGTCAACAATACAGAGTCTAATCCCACATTGGGACAGGATCCCCAGACCTCAAAACATTGTTATATGGGCTTCCATTAAAAATATATATATTTGGCTTTAAAAAATAATCACTACTGCATTCCTTGTGTCCCGATGAAGCATTTGATGTCAAAAAGGAAAACCTCAGGGAAACAATTCATTTTATATTTCCATTTCATGGGAGAATGCAGACTACATTTAACTAAGAGAATAGGTTAGATAGGTTGTATTTCAAAATGCAAATTTGTCAGCAGGAAGCATGAATATTTCCTAGGGCGTCCTTTAAAACACGTTACCACACAGTATGCACTTTGTGCTGTTCTTAGGAAATACCTGTAGCTGGTCTTTTTAAGTGACAGTGGCACTGTCCTGGCTAATAGGGGAAGGGAAGCGAGGCATGAAGAGGAGAACTTGGGAGCTGAGGCCTTCATGGCAAACAGCCACAGTCCTTTCCCTTAGAAGATGGACTGAGTTACAAAGAAACCACTTTCCACAGGACAACTTAGATCATATGTGATATGGGAAAAAAAACAACGTAAACACTTGGTAATAAGACACTGGTTAAATAAATTATGATGGAATACTACAAAACTGATAAAATTGAAGTATAAAAAAATTAATAGTTTGTTTCATAACAATGTTTCAGTCAAGGATTGTTTCAATGCAGTTTAAACACTTGTGAATTTTGAATAATACATTTTAAATCTTTTGATTTTTTGGCCAATATTTGCCATCTTCAGTCGGAAGTGTTGAAACAAAAGAAATTAAAATGTATTATTCTGAATTTAAAAAAACTGAATAAGGGCAAAATAAGTCTGAATAATTTATCTTTCAAATGATCCCATTTTGTAAACTCATAACATTGATACTTCTCATATTATTAAAACCTTAAGCAGCATTAGGACTCTTGGGACATTCTGTCTTATTTATTGAAGGGTGGGTTACTCACAGTTGTACAGGACATTTCTGATTCTGTAAAGTGTAGTATATGTGTTCGTATATTCATAGAAAAAAGTCTGTAGAATTATAAACAAGCAGATTTACAAAGCTGTTTTTTTTGTTGTGGAATTGTTGCTTTCTTTCTTTTTTCTTTTTTGTGTTTTCCACATTTTCTACAGTCAATACACATGGAATTCATAATACAGAAGGAAAAACCATTCACATTTCCTCAGGATAGTAGATCTAGGGGAACTGATATGGTTTTTGTCTGTGTCCCCACCCAGATTTCATGTCAAATTGTAATTTCCAATGTTGGAGGTGGGGTCTGGTGGGAGGTAATTGGATAATGAGGGCAAGAGCTGGTGGTTTAAAAGTGAGTAGCATCTGCCCTACTTCCTCTTGCTCCAGCCATGTAAGCATGCCTACCTCCCCTTCACCTTCCAAAGTGATTTTAAGTTTTCTGAGGCCTTCCCAGCTGTGCTTCCTGGACAGCCTAAACCTCTTGTCTTTACAAATTACCCAGTTTCAGATATTTCTTTATAGCAGTGTGAGAATGGGCTAATACATAAAATTGGTACCTAGGAGTGGGGCATTGCTATATAGATACCTGACAGTGTGGAAGCAGCTTTGGAACTGGGCAACATCTAGAGGTTGGAAGACTGTGAAGGACTCAGCAAAAGACAGGAAAATGAGGAACAGTTTGGAACTTTCTAGAGACTTGTTAAATTGTTGTGACCAAAATGTTGGTAGTGATGTGGACAATGAAGTTCAGACTGAGGAGGTCTCAGATGAAAATGAGAAATTTATTGGGAACTGGAATAAAGGTCACTCTTGCTATGCTTTAGCAAAGAGACTGGTGGCATTGTGCCCCTGCTCTAGGGATCTGTGGAACTTTGAACTTGAGAGAGATGATTTAGGGTATCCAGTGGAAGAAATTTCTAAGCAGCAAAGCATTCAAGAAGTGACCTGACTGCTTCTTAGAAGCTAACTCATGTGCATGAGCAAAGAAATGATCTGAAACTGGAACTTATATTTAAAAGGGAAGCAGAACATAAATGTTTGGACAATTTGCAGCCTGGACATGTGGTAGAAAAAAAAGGCCATTTTAGGGGAGGAATTCAAGCAGGCTGCAGACATTTGAATAAGTAAAGAGGAGCCAAATGCTGATAGCCAAGACAATGGGAAAAAGGCCTCCAAGGCATTTCAGAGACCTTCACAGTAGCCCCTTTCATCATAGGCCCAGAGGCCTAGGAGGGAAGAATGATTTCCTGAGCCAAGCCCAGGGCCCTGCTGCCCTGCAGAGCCTTGGGGCACTGCTCCCTGCATCCCAGACACTTCAGCTCCAGCAGTGGCTCAAAGGGGCCCAGGTACTTGGACTGCAGCTTCAGAGGGTGCAAGCTTTGGTGGCTCCACATGATGTTAAGCCTGCAGGTGCCCAGAGTGCAAGAGTTGAGGCTTGGGAGCCTCCTCCTTGATTTCAGAGGATGTATGAAAATGCCTGGATATCCAGGCAGAAGCCTGCTATGGGGCGAAGCCTTCATGGAGAACCTCTACTAGGGCAGTCCAGAGGGTAAATGTGGGGTTGGAGCTTCCACACAGTCTCCACTGGGACACTGCCTAGTGGAGCTGTGAGAAGAGAGGGCCACTGTCCTCCAGAACCCCAGAATAGTAGATACACTGCCAGCACCATACTCCTGGAAAAGCCACAGGCACTCAGTGCCAGCCCTTGAGAGCAGCCATGGGGGCTGAGCCCTACAGGGCCATGGAGATGGAGTTGCCCAAGGCCTTCAGAGTCCACCCCTTGCATCAGTGCAGCCTGGATGTGAGACATGGAGTCAAAGGAGTTTATTTTGAAGCTTTAAGATTTAATGACAGCTCTGCTGGGTTTTCAACTTGACTTGCATGGGGCCTATAGCCCCTTTGTTTTGGCCAATTTCTCCTTTTTGGAATGGAAGCATTTACCCAATGCCTATATCTTAGAAGTAACTAACTTGTTTTTGATTTCACAGGCTCATAGGTAAAGGGGCTAGCCTTATCTCAGATGAGACTTTGGACTTTGAACTTTTGACTTAATGCTAAAATGACTTTTGAGTTATGAATTTGGGGGACTGTTGGGAAGGCATAATTCTATTTTGAAATGTGAGAAGGACATGATATTTGGGAAGGGCCAGGGTGGAATGATATGGTTTGGGTCTGTGTCTCCATCCAAATCTCATGTGAAATTGTAATCCCCAGTGTTGGAGGTGGAGCCTGGTGGAAGGTGACTGGCACATGGGGGCAGGTTTCTCCTTTGGTGCTGTTCTCCTGATGGTGAGTGAGTTATTGCAAGATATGGTTGTTTAAAAGAGTGTAACACCTCCCCAACACCCTTCCTCTTGCTCTGACCATGTAAGAAAATGCCTGCTTCCCCTTCACCTTCTGCCACAATTGTAAGTTTCCTGAGGCCTCCCCAGCCATGCTTCCCATACAGCCTGCAGAACTGGAGCCAATTAAACCTCTTTTCTTTATTAATTACCCAGTTCCAGGCACTTCTTTATAGCAGTGTGAGAATGGACTAATGTAGGACATTTCTGGTTGCCTGCCTTTTCTCCTTCCAAACTGAACTGATTTGATTCAGGTATGTGACCCCAGGCAGCCCATGGCTACAGAAGAAGCTGCTCCCAGTCACCTCTGGCTTGGTTTGGATGGGTGAGGTTGTCCCGTTTCTGCAGGTGGGTGATCAGAAATGGGCACAGGAACAACTCTGGGCAATGGAACTTCAGACAAGTTTATGAAACTTATGAGAAAAATGTCCTAATTTTTGAGCAACAGCTGTAGAAAGATGATATGGTTTGTCTCTGTGACCCCCACCCCCCAATCTCATCTTGAATTGTAATACCCATGTGTCAAGGAAGGGACCTGGTAGGAGGTGATTGGATCATGGAGGGCAGTTTCCCCCATGCTGTTCTTGTGATGATGAGTTCTCATGAAATCTGATGGTTTAAAAGTGGCACTTTCCCCTTAGCTCTTTCTCTCTCCTGCCACCTTGTGAAGAAAGTGCTTGCTTTCCTTCACCTTCTGCCATTATTGTAAGTTTCCTGAGCCATGCGGAACTGTGAGTCAGTTAAACTTCTTTTATTTATAAATTATCCAGTTTCAAGTATGTTTTTATAGCAGTGTGAAAACAGACTAATACAGAAAATTGGTACCAAGGTAGTGGGTCATTTCTATAAGACACCTGAGAATGTAGAAGCAACTCAGTAACTGGCAGAGCTTAGAACCATTTGGAGGGCTCAGAATAAGACAGGAAGATGAGGAAAAGTTTGAAACTTTCTAGAGACTTCTTGAATGGTTTTGACCAAAATGCTGATAGTGATATGGACAATGAAGTCCAGGCTGAGGTGGTCTCAGATGGAGATAAGGAACTTCTTGGGAACTGAAGTAAAAGTTACTCTTGCTATGCTTTATCAAAGAGACTGGTGGTGTTGTGCCCCTGCCCTAGAGATCTGTGGAACTTTGAACTTGAGAGAGATGACCTAGGGTATCTGGTGGAAGAAATTTCTAAGCTGCAAAGCGTTCACGATGTAACTTGGCTCTTTCTGAAAGCATATAGTCATATGCATTCACAAAGAGATGATCTGAAATTGAAACTTAAAAAGAAAAGCAGAGCATAAACGTTTGGAAAATTTGCAGCTTAAGCATGCGGTAGAAAATTTCTGGGAAGAAATTCAAGCCAGCTGCAGAAATTTGCATAAGTAATGAGGAGACAAATGTTAATCTCCAAGACAATGACAATGGGGGATATGTGTCCAGGGCATTTTGGAGATCTTCACAGCGGCTCCCCTAATCACAGGCCTGGAGGTCTAGGAGTGAAAAATGGTTTCATGGGTCAGGCCCATGACCCCACTGTTCTGTGCAGCCTGGTGACATGATGCCCTGCCTCCCAGCCACTGTAGCTCCAGTCGTGGCTTAAAGGGGCCAATGTACAGCTCAGGCCATTGTTTCAGAAGGTGCAAGACCCAAGCCTTGGTGGCTTCCACATGTTGGGCCTTTGGGTGTGCAGAAGACAAGAGTTGAACTTTGGGAGCCTCTGCCTAGATTTCAAAGGATGTATGGAAACACCTGGATGTCCAGGCAGAAGTCTGCTGCAGGGACAGAGCCCTCGTGGAGAACCTTTACCAGGGCAATGCAGAGGCAGAAATGTGGGTTTGGAGCCCCCACACAGAGACCCCACTGGGGCACTGCCTAGCATAGCTGTGAGAAGAAGGCCACCATCCTCCAGACCACAGAATGTTAGGTACACTGGCAGCTTGCACTCTGTGCTTGGAAAAGTCACAGGCATTCAACACCAGCCCATGAAAGCAGCCATAGGGGATTTACCCTGCAGAGCCACAGAGGCAGAGCTGCCTCAGGCCATGGGAGCCTACCCCTTGCATCAGTGTGTCCTGGATGTGAGATATAGATATGTTTTTGAGCTTTAAGAACTAATGACTGCACAGCCAGGCTTTGAACTTGCATAGAGCCTGTGGCCTCTTTGTTTTGGTCAATTTCTCCCATTTGGAGCAGGAACATTTACCCAATGCCTGTACCCTCATTGTATCTTAAAAGTAACTAACTTGTTTTCTATTTTACAGGCTCATAGGCAGAAGGGACTTGTCTTGTCTCACATGAGACTTTGGACTTGGACTTTTATGTTAATGCTGGAATGAGTTAAGACTTTGGGGGACTGTTGGGAAGGCATGATTGTGTTTTGAAATGTGAGAAGGACATAAGATTTGGGAGGGACCAGGGATGAAATGAAATGGTTTGGTTCTGTGACCCCACTCAAATCTTATCTCGAATTGTAATTCCCATGTGTCGAGAAAGGGACCCGGTGGGAGGAGATTGGATCATGGGGGCAGTTTTCCCCATGCTGTTCTCATGATAGTGACTGAGTTCTCATGAGAACTGATGGTTTAAGAGTGACACTCCCCCTTCACTCTCTTCCTCCTGCCATCTTGTGAAGAAAGTGCTTGCATCTCCTTTACCTTCTGCCATGATTGTAAGTTTCTTGAGTCATGAGGAACAGTGAGTCAATTAAACTTCTTTTATTTATAAATGACCCAGGCTCAGGCATGTCTTTATAATAGTGTGAAAATGAACTAATACAGAAGACATGGCCACTTTCTGTTCCTCTGAAGTCTTTGTGGAGGGTGGAGAGGTCTAGACCCTGCTGCTGCTGTGGGATAAATCCAGCACATAGGGTGGTCCCCAAGAGGATCTCAGGAAGCTGGTCCAGAGCCTCAGGATTACATGGCGCTGGCCATTCAGGCCCAAGACCCACCACACGCACTTCAGGTTTAAGTTAGCTTGAATTGTGATATCTGTTTCTTCTTTCCTAAAGGCATCTCAATAGATATTGGCTCCTTCCAAAATCCTTGCTGCTATTGGCTGCTGGACAAAGCTTTCCTTTTTCAATCCAATCTGTTACCTCTAGTGAGTGACTGAAGCTCACTGATTTGAGGCCAGTAAGCAGATGGCAGCTCCCAATTTTCCTTCCTGGAAAATGTATTCATTACCCTGGAGCTAAAGGTTTTCCAAGTGTTTTCATTTCTGGAGAAGGTATTTACTTTTAATGCACTGAGGGGAAGAAGTAAGAAGGCCCAGAATCGCCTTCCTCAAGTGAAATGGCACTCTCTGAGATTTTTTTTTCTTTACTAAAACCAGGTAGTCTGATTTCATCCATCAGGGGCCCTAAATAAAATTCTGAGGAAGCTGAGTGTTGGTATGTGTGCTGGGGATCAGGAAGTACAAATGCCTGTTTCCCCAGAGGCCAGCCAGGAAAGCACTGGGGTGAGGATCAGCAATGTGGATGTGTGGGGACGGTGGCATGCCGGAAGGGTGCCCGATCTCCAGGAGGCAGCTCTCCTCCCTGATTGCAGCTCAGGGCTCCACATAATGTGTGTGCCCGGCCTGCTGCTCTGGGTTGCCCTGGCCTGCTCTGATGGGGACACTCCACCCTAGACGTGTTCCAAAGAGTGAAGGGCACAGCTAACCAGTCCCTTCCTTCCTTCAACCTGAACGATGTGTTAATAATGCAACCTGAACTTATCTCTTGTTGGGTCAGTCAAAATCCCCAAGTCTTTTTCCCTCCAGCTCCCTTCAAGCTGGCCTCTCCGATCCTTTCTGCAAACAAGTGGAGAAAAAAAAAATTGCCCCTATAATCTTTAGATATATGTAGACCTATTTCATAGTAGAATTATTTACTAATTATACAAATGATCAATTATGTTTATGTATATATTTTATTGTTTTGGATTTGTTCTAGATAAATGTTCAAGGAGACCATGTGGTTAACAGTGTCAATGCTTTGTAACTCTCACTATAGATACAATTATGAGGATTTTGTTTGCTTGTTGAATCTTAAATGCAGGATTTGTTGAATTCCATTTTGTTAGCTTGGGAATCCTAATTTATACAAAAGTTCCTGCCTTTGAGCCAGTCATCCAACAGTTATTACTTTTTGCATGTTTGAGAAATAAATATGTTCTTTTGTTTTTGAGGTAGACCCCAAAACAAGACTGCATGATACAGGAGAGGATAAAGGACAGAGCCCCGTGACACACCGGCAGAGGCCCCTTACTTACTGTTTGGTTGATAAAAATCCAGCCAATGGGCTGATCATCAAGTCCACATCAACCAACCTGTCTAAAAGTAGCAAGTAAGAGATGTTATCTAATACCTGGCTGAGGGGACAAGACACACTTGGCCAGTCCTGGAACCCAGCCATAAAGTGAGGAGATTGGCGAGAGTCCAGGCAAGGGTGCCAGTAGCTCAATGATCTGTCACAATGTGCTGTCACAAGCTGACAGTGTAGAAGGAAGGTGTTCTTACCTAAGGGGATCTCCTAAACACCCAGGATATAAAGACAATTTCCTAGATTTTCTTTTTGGACTGATATTTAAAACATATATATATATTTCAGTTTTAATTCATCAGGAGCCTATTTTTGTATATGGTGTAGTTAGGAGATCCATGTTTTATCCCCTTAGTTAATGTGTGATTGTGCTAGCGCCTTCCATTACTAATAGTTTATCATTTATTTATTTTTAACTTTTACTTTAGGTTCAGGGGTACACGTGCAGTTTGTTATATAGGCAAATTGTATATCATGAGGGTAACCAATAGTTTAAATCATATCTTTAGTATTTTAAAATATTTCTACCTATATTTATAAGATATATTGATTTATCCTTTTTATCATTTTATTGTTATAAAACTTTACATTAAAGTGACATTAGCTTTGTAAAATAAATTAAGGATACTGTCACATTTCCATCATTTGGAATAAATCAAATGACATTGGAATTAACTGAGAGCTGGGACTTGGTTATGAAACCATCTGATCCCAGGGGCCCTTTTCAATGGTATAAATGATCTTTTCAGATTCATCTGTGGTAATTGGTGTATTCAAGGTTTCTACTTCTTGGTTTAATTCTGGTAATAGGTATTTGCAAGGAAACTATCTGTTTCTGAGTATGTTGCAGTAGAGTTATGAGTGTTAGTTTTTTTTGTTTGTTAGTTTGTTTTTTGAGACGGAGTCTTGCTCTGTCACCCAGGCCGGAGTGCAATGGCATGATTGACTCACTGCAACCTCCACCCCCGGGTTCAAACAACTCTCCTGACTTAGCCTCCCGAGTAGCTGGGATTACAGGCATGTGCTACCATGTTCAGCTAATTTTTGTCTTTTTAGCAGAGGCAGGATTTCACCATGTTGGCCAGACTGGTCTCAAACTCCTGACCTCAGGTTATCCACCTGCCTCAGCCAAAGTGCTGGGATTACAGACATGAGCCACTGTGTCCAGCCATGAACGTTAATCTTTTGCAATAGTCTTACCTCTCTCTGTGTCTGGAATTATCCGACTTTCTCATTCTACTCATGCAGACTTTTACTGTTTCTTTTTCCCTTTATCAGTCTCTTAAGAAGTTTATATCGTTGGTCTTTTCAATGAAATGCTTTTGGATTTGTTTATCCTTTCTACTATGTTTTGGTTTTCATTTTATTAGTTTCAGCCTTGATCTTTATTGACTTCCTCTCCCAACTCTTTGTGGTTTAGTTTGTCTTTACTCATTTTTCAAAATGAGAACTGTTAGGGGTTGAATCGTGTCCTCCCAAAAGGATATGTTGGAACCCTAACCACCGGGGCCACAGAATGTGACTTCATTTGGAAATAGGGCTATTGCAGATGTAATTAGTTAAGATGAGGTCATACTAGTGTAGGATGGTGCCTTTAATCCAATGTGATGGGTGTTCTTAGACAAACACAGCTCTGTGAAGACACAGAGAGACAGGGAGAATGCTGCAGAATGGAGGCAGAACTTAGAATATTCATGCTACCATGTGCCAAGGAATGCTTGGTCTATCAGAAGCTGGGAGAGGCAAGGATCTTTCCCTGGAAGCTTTGAGGGAGCATGGCCTGGCTACCACCTTGATTTCAGTCTCTCAGCCTCCAGAACTGTGAAGCAATACATTCTGTTGTTTGAAGCCACCCAGTTTGTGGTACTTGTTGTGGCAACCAATAAGCTAATAAAATTACTAAATTCCTTTATTTTTTCAGTTTTTTATGTCAATAATGAATGTGTTTAAATTTTCTTTTGAGTATGCTTGGCTTTTAGGGAGAATTGTTGATCTTTTCACTTTCCATATGAATTATAATTTTAGTTTGATTTTGTTTGGTCCAAAGTTTATCTAGCTCTTTGTTTCATAATTGCCATGTAAAGAAATTAATTTATCCTTTTATTATTGATTTATTTTATTAAATTATTATTAGAATACATGACTTGTCAAGTTCCTAAGTTTTAAATTTTTTAAGCTTTTCTTTGTGCCTAAAAAATCATCAATTTTTTTTCAGTGTTATATGGGCAAATGGAAAAATGCATGTTCTCTTTTGAGGAATGTAATGTTCCAGTACATCTACTGACTGATTTTCTTGATCATTGATCAGTTTATTATATTTTTCTATATTGCTACTGGTGTTAACATGGTTCAATTTTGTAAGTGGCATTTTAGGATTTCCCTCTACGGCAGTATTTTAATTAATTTTTAAAATTCTAAATTAAACTTTTAATTTTGATTTAATTATGCATACACACACAGTCGTAAGAAAAAATATTGCAGCGTGATATCACCAGAAACAGTGGAATAGGGACTTCCAGGCTCTATCCTACCACAAAAACAACTAATAAGCTGGCAAAAACTGTCAGATTCAACTTTTGCAGAACTCTGGAATCTAGTTCAAAACCTGCATTAACCAGAGAAAAGCTTAATAAAGAAAGACATTGCTTCATTGCTATTAGAAGGCATGGTGGCTCTCTTTAAATTGCCCACCTATCATCTCTCAGTACCAGATCAGAGGCCACTGTGCGTGAAGATGGCAGTCTGCACTTCCAGTACAGGTTGCTAGTGTTAGAGGGAGCAATTCAGAGCTTATTCTTAAGAGCTGTGGTTGTGTGCTTTGACCTGTTTGGCAGCTCCCTGAAGGGCTGGTGTAGAGGCTTGTCTTTATTTCACTCAGCTTTGAGCATTCCCAGTGTTGGGTGCCATCTTGGGCAGCATTTGCCAAAAGCACTTAAATTCAAAAGTATTGACTGCTGCAGCCTGGGGCAAGGATAGCAGTTGGAACAGACAGCCTGGGAAAAAGAGTTTGGGAATGAAGATTTGTGGGAGAAAAAGAACTTTTAACATGTGCTGTATACACTGGGAAACCAAGAAGGCCACATGCAAGCCAGGGCTAACCTCATGCTCAGAAAAAGCCTGAGCAGACGCTAAGCTTTTACCTCTGGTTCACCTTCAGGCTTCATGCAAGCAAGAAAGGAAGGCTAAGGAAGAGTTGTAAAAGGCCTGGCCAAGTGTTAAACTATGTCCTCAACACAGAATTAATCTGTAAAGACTGGGAGTTTTTTTTTTCTTTTTAATTGTTCTTTTTAGGGACTTCAGGAATTTAAGGAAACTCTGTCAAAACACTAATTGACCAGTAAGCTAACAGAACCCAGACATAAGTGGCCACACACCATGGGGAATATAGACTGTACAAAAATTGTTTAGAAGCCACTAAACTAACAAAAAACAATGGCCAAAACAAGAAACATCAAATCCTAGGGAGTAGGGAGAATCTGATTTCCAGAGTTGCCAAGTAATAATCCCACTAGTTTCAACAAAAAATTACAAGACATGCCAAGAAAAAGAAAGAAAGAGAAAAAGAAATAAAGAAAGAGAAAAAGAAAAAAAAAGAAGGTATGGTCCATTAAAAAGAGTAATAGAAATTAATACAAACTGTCCTTGAGGAAGCCCAGGTATTGGAGTTACCAGAGAACGATCCCAAATCAGGTCTGTCAAATGTGGCAAAAAGCTAAAGGAAGTCATAGATAAGAATGAAAGGAAACCAGGAACATAAAGTATAAACATATGGAGAATGTAAATAAGAGATAGAAACTATAAATAGGAACCACATAAAATTCTGGTATTGAAAAATATAATAATTGAAATGAGTATTAACTATAGAGGTTCAAGGGGAGATTTGAGCAGAAGAAAAGACAAGCAAATTTAGGCCCTGCATGGTGGCTCATGCCTGTAATCCCAGCACTTTGGGAGGCCAAGGGGAGAGGATTGCTTGAGCCCAAGAGTTGAAGACCAACCTGGGCAACATAGCAAGGCACTGTCTCTAAAAATAATAATAATAATAATAAATTAAAATTAAAAAATTAGAAAAGATAAGCAAACTTAAAGATATGTCAATTAAGATAATTAAGTCTGAGGAGCAGAAATGTAAAAGCATGGCCCAAGAGACCTGTGGGAATTTATAAAGTATACCAATATATGCATAATGAGACTCTTAGAAGGAAAGGAGAGAGGGAAATGAACAAAAAGTTTATTTTTTAAAATAACGGCCCACAACTCTCCAAATTTGATGAAAGATGTGAATTTACACATCCAACGTGGTCAATGAACTCCATAGGATAAAATTAAAGCGACACAAATTGAGTCACATTATAATCAAACTGTCTTAAGACTAAGACAACAAAAGAACCTTGAAAGCAGCAAGAGAGACATGACTTATCATGTACAAGGGAGCCTCAATGAAATTAATAGTCAGTATCGCTTCAGAAACCATGGAGGCCAGAAAACAGTAAGCAGTAGGATAACATATTTAAAGTGCTGGAAGCCCGTCAAACAAATATTCTATATCCAGCAAAACTATTCTTCAAAAGTAGAGGAGAAATTAGATATTGCAAGATAGCAAAAACTGAGGTAGTTCATCACTAGTTGATCTGTCCTTAAGAAATGTGAATCTTTCTCAAAATCTTCCAAAACTAGAAGATTGAGAAGCACTTCCTAACACACTCTGTGTGGCCACCATTACTCTAATACCAAGGCCATATAAAGATATGACAAGAAAGAAAACTATAGCTCTATCTTCCTCATAAATACAGACACAAAAATCCTCAACAAGATACCAGCAAATTAATTCCAGCATCATATTAAGAAAATTATATATTATGACCAAGTGGTATTTATCCCAGGAATGCTAAGGTGGTTCAACATACAAAATTTACTCAATGTAATAAATGACATTAATAGAATGAAAAGGAAAAAAAAAACACATGATCATCTCAATTGACGCAGAAAAAGAATTTGACAAATTCCAATACCTTTTTGTGATTAAAATACACTCAACAAACTAGGAATAGAAGGGAAATATTTCAACATCATAAAAGGCATTTATGAAAAACCCACAGGTAACCTTTTACTCAATAGTGAAAGATTGAAATAGTTTCCCTTAAAATTATAAATATGACAAGAATGCCCACTTTTGCCACTTCTACTCAACATCCTGCTGGAAGTTCTAGCCAGAGCGATTAAACAAAATAACATTTAAAAACATAAATAAAAATAGGCTGGAAGGTGGATGGCAAGATGGCCAAATAGAAACAGCTCCGGTGTGCAGCTCCCAGCGAGATCAATGCAGAGGCATTTCCAACTGAGGTACCTGGCTCATCTCATTAGGACTGGTTAGACAGTGGGTGCAACCCATGGAGGGCGAGCTGAAGCAGGGTGGGGTGTCACCTCACCTGGGAAGTGCAAGGGGTCAGGGAACTCCCTCCCCTAGCCAAGGGAGGGTGTGAGGGACTGTGCTGTGAGGAATGGTGCACTCCAGCCCAGACACTAAGCTTTTCCCATGGTCTTCACAACCCACAGACCAGGAGATTCCTTGGGTGCCTGCACCACCAGGGCCCTGGATTTCAAGCACAAAACTGAGCAGTCATTTGGGCAGACACCGAGCTAGGTGCAGGAGTTCTTTTTCATACCCCAGTGGTGCCTGGAACGCCAGTGAGCGAGAACAGTTCACTCCCCTGGAAAGGAGGCTGAAGCCAGGGAGCCAGGTAGTCTAGCTCAGCAGATTCCAGCCCCAGGGAGCCCAGCAAGCTAAGATTCACTGGCTTGAAATTCTTGCTGCCAGCACAGCAGTCTGAAGTTGACCTGGGATGCTGGAGCTTGGTGGGGGGAGGGGCATCCATTATTACTGAGGCTTGGGTAGGCAGTTTTCCCCTCACAGTGTAAACAATGCCGCAGGGAAGTTCAAACTGGGCGGAGCCCACCACAGAGAGCTGTAGCCAGACTGCCTCTCTAGATTTCTCCTCTCTGGGCAGGGCATCTCTGAAAGAAAAAGCAGCAGCCCCAGTCAGGGGTTTAGAGATAAAACTCCCATCTCCCTGGGACAGAGCACCTGAGGGAAGGGGTGACTGTGGGCACAGCTTCAGCAGACTTAAATGTTCCTGCCTGCCAGCTCTGAAGAGAGCAGCTAATCTTCCAGCACAGCACTTGAACTCTGCTAAGGGACAGACTGTCTCCTCAAGTGGGTCCCTGACCCCCATGTCTCCTGACTGGGAGACACCTCCCAGCAGGGGTCAAAAGACGCCTTATAAAGGAGAGCTCTGGCTGGCATCTGGTGAGTGCCCGTCTGGGACAAAACTTTTAGAGGAAGGAACAGGCAGCAATCTTTGCTGTTCTGTAGCCTCTGCTGGTGATACACAGACAAACAGGGTCTGGAGAGGACCTCCAACAAACTCCAGCAGACCTGCAGCAGAGGGACCTGTTAGAAAGAAAACTAACAAACAGAAACGAATAGCATCAGCATCAACAAAAACGACATCCACTCAAAAACCCCACCCAAATGTCACCATCATCAAAGACCAAAGATATATAAATCCACGAAGGTGAGGAAAAACCAGCACAAAAAGGCTAAACATTCCAAAAACCAGAAAATCTCGTCTCCTTCAAAGGATCACAACTGCTCGCCAGCCAGGGAACAAAACTGGATGGAGAATGAGTTTGACGAATTGATAGAATTAGGCTTCAGAAGGTGGGTAATAACAAACTCCTTTGAGCTAAAGAAGCATGTTCTAACCCAATGCAAGGAAGCTAAGAACCTTGAAAAAAGGTTAGAGGAATTGCTAACTAGAATAACCAATTTGGACAAGAACATAAATGACCTAATGGAGCTGAAAAACACAGCACAAGTACTTGGTGAAGCACATACAAGTATCAATAGTTGAATTGATCAAGTGGAAGAAAGGATATCAGAAATTGAAGATCAACTTAATGAAAGAAAGCATGAAGACAAGATTAGAGAAAAAAGAATAAAAAGGAACTAACAAAGCCTCCAAGAAATATGGGACTATGTGAAAAGACCAAACGTACCTTTGATTGGTATACCCTGAAAGTGACAGGGAGAATGGAACCAAGTTGGAAAGCACTTTTCAGGATAGTATCCAAGAGAACTTCCCCAGCCTAGCAAGACAGGCCAACATTCAAATTCAGGAAATACAGAGAACAACACAAAGATACTGCTCAAGAAGGGCAATCCCAAGACACATAATCGTCAGATTCACCAAGGTTGAAATGAAGGAAAAAATGTTAAGGGCAGCCAGAGAGAAAGGTTGGGTTACCCACAAAGGGAAGCCCATCAGACTAACAGTGGATTTCTGCAGAAACCCCATAAGCCAGAAGAGAGTGGAGGCCAATCTTAAACATTCTTAAGGAAAAGAATTTTCAACCCAGAATTTCATATCCAGCCAAACTAAGCTTCATAAGCAAAGGAGAAATAAAATCCTTTACAGACAAGCAAATGCTGAGAGATTTTGTCACCACCAGGCCTGCCTTACAAGAGCTCCTGAAGGAAGCACTAAATATGTAAAGGAAAAACCGGTTACCAGCCACTGCAGAAACATACCAAATTATAAAGACCATAGACACTATGAAGAAACTGCAGCAACTAATGGGCAAAATAACCAGTAGCATCATAATGATAGGACCGAATTCACACATAACAATATTAACCTTAAATGTAAATGGACTAAATGCCCCAATTAAAAGACACAGACTGGCAAATTGGATAAAGAGTCAAGACCCATCAGTGTGCTGTATTCAGGAGACCCATCTCAAAGACACACATCGGCTCAAAGTAAAGGGATGGGGGAATATTTACCAAGCAAATGGAAAGCAAAAAAAAGCAGGGGTTGCAATCCTAGTGTCTCATAAAACACACTTTAAACCAACAAAGATCAAAAAAGACAAAGAAGGCCATTACATAATGGTAAAGGGATCAATGCAACAAGAAGAGCTGACTATCCTAAATTTGCACCCAATACAGGAGCACCCAGATTCATAAATCAAGTTCTTAGAGACCTACAAAGAGACTTAGACTCCCACACAATAATAGTGGGAGACTTTTAACACCCCACTGTCAATATTAGACAAATCATCGAGATAGAAAATTAACAAGGATATTCAGGACTTGAACTCAGCTCTGGACCAAGCAGACCTAATAGACATTTACAGAACTCTCCAACCCAAATCAACAAAATATACATTCTTCTCAGCACCACATCACACTTATTCTAAAATTGATCACATAATTGGAAGTAAAATACTCCTCAGCAAATGCAAAATAATGGAAATCATAACAAACAGTCTCTCAGTCCACAGTACAATCAAATTAGAACTCGGAATTAAGAAACTCACTGAAAACTGCACAACTACATGGAAACTGAACAACCTGCTCCTGAATGACTGCTGGGTAAATACCGAAACTAAGGCAGAAATAAAGATGTTCTTTGAAACCAATGAGAACAAAGACACAAGGTACAAGAATCTCTGGGACACAGCTAAAGCAGTGTTTAGAGGAAAATTTATAGCACTAAATGCCCACAGGAAAAGCAGGAAAGATCTAAAACTGACACCCTAACATCACAATTAAAAGAACTAGAGAAGCCAGAGAAAACAAATTCAAAAGCTAGCAGAAGACAAGAAATAACTAAGATCAGAGCAGAACTGAAGGAGATAGGGACACGAAAAACCCTTCAAAAAATCAATAAATGCGGAAGCTGGTTTTTTGAAAAGATTAACAAAATAGATAGATCACTAGCTAGACTAATAAAGAAGAAAAGAGAGAAGAATCAAATAGACACAATAAAAAATGATGAAGCAGATATCACCACTGATCCCATGGAAATACAAACTACCAACAGAGAATACTATAAACACCTTTATGCAAATAAACTAGAAAATCTAGAAGAAATGGATAAATTCCTGGACACATACACCCTCCCAAGACTAAACCAGGAAGAAGTTGAATCCCTGAATAGACCAATAACAAGTTCTGAAATTGAGGCAGTAATTAATAGCTTACTAACCAAAATAAGTCCAGGACTAGATGGATTCACAGCCGAATTCTACCAGAGGTACAAAGAGGAGCTGGTACTGTTTCTTCTGAAACTATTCCAAACAATAGAAAAAGATGGACTCCTCCCTAACTCATTTTATGAGGCCAGCATCATCCTGATACCAAAACCTGGCAGACACAACAAAAAAAGAAAATTTCAGGCCAATATCCCTGATGAACATAGATGCGAAAATCCTCAATAAAATACTGGCAAACTGAATCCAGCAGCACATCAAAAAGCTTATCCACCATGATCAAGTTGGCTGCATCCCTGGGATGCAAGGCTAGTTCAACATATGCAAATCAATAAATGTAGTACATCACATAAACAGAACCAATGACAAGAACCACATGATTATCTCAATAGATGCAGAAAAGACCTTCAATAAAATTCAACACCCCTTCATGCTAAAAACTCTCAATAAACTAGGTATTGATGGAACGTATCTCAAAATAATAAGAGCTATTTATGACAAACCCACAGCCAATATCATAATGAATGGGTAAAAACTGGAAGCATTCCCTTTGAAAACTGGCACAAGATAAGGATGCCCTCTCTCACCACTCCTATTAAACATAGTATTAGAAGTTCTGGCTAGGGCAATCAGGCAAGAGAAAGAAATAAAGCATATTCAAATAGGAAGAGAGGAAGTCAAATTGTCTCTGTTTGGAGATGACATAATTGTATATTTAGAAAACTCCATTGTCTCAGCCCCAAATCTCCTTAAGCTGATAAGCAACTTCAGCGAAGTCTCAGGATACAAAATCAATGTGCAAAAATCACAAGCATTCCTATACACCAATAATAGACAAACAGAGAGCCAAATCATGAGTGAACTCCCATTCACAATTGCTACTAAGAGAATAAAATACCTAGGAATACAACTTACAAGGGATATGAAGAACCTCTTCAAGGAGACCTACAAACTACTGCTTAAGGAAATAAGAGAGGACAGAAACAAATGGAAAAACGTTCCATGCTTATGGATAGGAAGAATCAACATTATGAAAATAGCCATACTGCCCAGTAGTTTATAGATTCAATGCTATCCCCATCAAGCTACCATTGACTTTCTTGACAGAATTAGAAAAAACTACTTTAAATTTCATATGGAACCAAAAAAGAGCCTGTATGGCCAAGACAGTCCTAAGCAAAAAGAACAAAGCTGGAGGCATCACACTACCTGATTTCAAACTACACTACAAGGTTACAGTAACCAAACAACATGGTACTGGTACCAAAACAGATATATAGACCAATGAACAGAACAGAGATGCCACACATCTACAACACACATCTACAACCATCTTTGACAAACCTGACAAAAACAAGCAATGGGGAAAGGATTCCCTATTTAATAAATGGTGTTGGGAAAACTGGCTAACCATATGTAGAAAGCTGACACTGGATTCCTTCACTATCATGGGAAAGACTGGCCCCCATTCTTCAATTACCTCCCTCTGGGTCCCTCCCACAACATGTGGAAATTCTGAGAGATACAATTCAAGTTGAGATTTTGGTGGGGACACAACGAAATCATATCAAACATTTTCATTTTTAAAATTATTTCTATTTTATTTTGCTGATATTTTATATTTTTAAGTTTGTTTCAAATGAGTTTGTAGTTACTTGAAGCAATTCCAGTTATGGTGGCAGCTTTACATCTTTGCCAGGTAAGTCCACTGCCTGATTTATCTCAGTATTGCTATCAGTTGATTTTCTTTATTCACTTGAGTTACGGCTTACCTGGTTTTTGGAGTGATGAATGATTTTTTGAGAGTCTTAATCTTACTTAAATTTTCTATTTTAGCAGGCAATTGCCATATTTTGGTTTAGCGTTTAGATTGTCGTGTACTTTTGCGGGCTATAATTCCAATGACAACTTAGTTTATGGAGACCCTGCAATATTATTCTGGTCTGTTTCATTTTCTGGCTCCATTTGAGCTCCTGTTAACTTCCTAATGTCCTGCTCAAGAGGAAAAAAGGTGCTTCCCTGGTCCTTCTGGTGTTATTAGGTGTGGGATGGGGGATGCTGGACCTGCGGGATGGAGCACATTTTCCTTGGCCTAAAGCCACCTGGTGCTGGTGGGCTTCCCACTCTCCTCTCCAGGTACTGCTAGGGTGGGAAGTGTCTCTTGGACTGCCTTCTGCCACGGGGTGGAGGGCAGGAGCCACGGAGTCTAGGAAGCTCTCTGGCCTTAGTTGGAGGTTTGGAAGACACTGGGCCTGCTGGTCCCACTGGTGAGCTGGAGGGGCTCTCCTACTGCCATCTCATGTGGGGCAGGGCCCGAGTCCCTCTGCTGCAGGCAGTCAGGTGTCACACCATTATGATTGAGTGCTTCCTCGAAGTCTCTGCTGAGCTTTTCCTTTCCTGGTCCTTTGGCCAGACGGCACAGGATTTTCTTGTATTTATTATTTTTGTGCCTATGCCTATTGGTAGTTCTGAGTTATAGGCCTCTTCAGCGCCCAGTTCAGGGGTACAGGGAAGATTTAAAAAAAAAAGAAAACTCAGGGAGTGCTCAGTGATGTTCTTTAAGACCTTAGGTCCCTGTTCAGTCCACCCTCTTTCCACATTTCAGAATCCTTGTATGATTGTTTGTTGAATTATTTCCAGAGTACTTAGTTGTACTTACATGGGAGGAGCAGGAAAAGTGGCACTGTACTATCTTGTCCCAGAAGTAGAATATAATAGTAATCTTATTAAGTTCTCCTGTACTTCTTAATATAATCATCTTTTTGAAGTATAACACACATGCAGAAAAAGGCCAGATCTTGTGGATACAGCTTGGTAAATTTTCCCAAACTAAACACAGCCATGTAACCTGCACTCAGACCAAGAAATCAGAATTTGCTAGTGCCTCAAAAGTTCCCTTCTATCTCTACCAATTACTATTCCTGTTCTTCACAGGTAACTACTTACCCCCTTGCCAACCCTACAGATTAGTTTTGTCTTTTTTTCAACTGTATATAAATGGAATTATTTGATATGTAACAATTTCTCCTGCCTTCTTTTATTCAACATTATTTGTGAGATGCCTCCATTTAGAGCAGAGTTCCGTTCATCCTTATTTTTGTATAATATTCCATCATATGAATAAAATACAATTTGTTTAATCACTTTATTTTGTTTATTTTTTTTAGATGGAGTTTTGCTCTTGTTGCCCAGGCTGGAGAGCAGTGGCACGATCTCAGCTCACTGCAAGCTCCACCTGCTGGGTTCACGCAATTCTCCTGCCTCAGCCTCCCGAGTAGCTGGGACTACAGGCGCCCGCCACCACGCCCGGCTAATTTTTTGTATTTTTAGTTGAGACGGAGTTTCACTGTGTTAGCCAGGATGGTCTTGATCTCCTGAACTCGTGATCCGCTCCCCTCGGCCTCCCAAAGTGCTGGGATTACAGGAGTGAGCCATTGCACCCGGCCATCATTTTACTTTTAATAGACATCTAGGTTGTTTTTCTCCTACATTTTAAATATTTTTGCCTCACGTGTTTATCTCGCGTATGTTTAGAATACACTGATAAAATCCTACTGTATCTTCATGATAAAGTGACTCATCGTTCTCTAAAGATGTTTATGTCCAGATCGTTGGAAGCTGTGAATATATTCCCTTATGTAATGAAAAGGACTTTGCGGATGTTACCAAGTCAAGGATCTTGGGACGGGGAGATTATCCTGAATTATCTGGGTAAACCCAATGCAATCACAAGGATCTTCAAAAAAGAGGCAAGAGAACCAGAAGGGAAAAGGGTGATGTGATGATGAAGGCAGATGAGAGAGCTGGAGATGATTTGTTGCTGGCTTTGAAGATGTAGGAAAAGCCCAGAGCCAGGGAATGCAGGCAGCCTCTGGAAGGTCGAAAAGGGCAGGGAAACCAATTCCCTCCAGACTCTCTGGAGGGAGCACAGCCCTGCCAACACCTTGTTTTGATTTTTTAACAAATATCAAACTGCTGACCTCCAAAACTGTAAGATAATATATTTGTGTTACTTTCAGCCACTAAGTTTGTGATAATTTGTTACAGCAGCGTAGGAAAGTAGTAGAATCTACTTAATACGTTTTGCCTTCATCATTCAATCACGTTCACTTTGCCCTCTTTCTCCTTCTAAGTACTTGTAACCTTAAATCCAACCATCTCTAGTGTTATTATTGTGCTCAGGGGTTTCCAAGCCCACCTCAGTCCTGAAGATTTGCCAGAAGGACTCATAGGACTGAGGAAATACGTCCTCCTCATGACTGTGGCCTGGTGAAAGGAGACAGATTAAAATCAACAAAGGGAAAAGGAGCATGGCGTGGAGTCCAGGAGAAACCAGGTGCAAGCGTCCAGGTGTCTTCTGCCAATGGAGGCATTTAGATGCACCAAATTCTCCCAGGAATGAGGTAAGACAACTCGTGGGAAGTGTTTTAGAGATATGTAAGGAGGAGGAGAATCCTACATCCAGCCAAGATGCCAGCCACTCTTCGGAGTGGTCTATGGAGACAACCAAGGAGGAAGATGTGTTATTGCCCGCATGCCCCATCTGAGGAGGAGACATCACACTAATAATGACCTCTAAAGATAGGGGAAACAGTGGTGATCAATAAACCTCGGGAGGGAGTGTGCATGTGTGTCTGACTGGCAATTTTTTTTTTTTTTTTTTTTTGAGACAGAGTCTTGCTCTGTCATCCAGGCTGGAAGGCAGTGGCATGATCTCAGCTCACTGCAACCTCTGCCTCCCGGGTTCAAGCGATTCTCCTGCTCCAGCCCCCCGAGTAGCTGGGATTACAGTTGCCCGCCACCAAACCACACTAGTTTTTGTATTTTTAGTAGAGACGGGGTTTCATCATGTTGGCGAGACTGGTCTTGAACTCCTGACCTCAAGTGATCTGCCTGCCTCAGCCTCCCAAAGTGCTGGGATTATAGGCGTGAGCCACCGCGCCCGGCTTCTGATCGGGAATTTATAATATAGGGTCTACACACAAGAATTCTTAAAATAGAAAACATGTATTCCTGGGAAATTACAATCATATTCTGAAATGATAATTACTAAATGCTTTCAGAAAAATCTAGCGGTGAGGGATTGGAGAAGCAGAGGGGAAAGTAAGTCACTTTAAACATGTAGCCTAGGCTGACGGGGAGAGAGTAGGGGCATGGTGTGTTCCACAGGTCATGCTGGGGGCTGACAGTAGAAAGGGAATGGAGTTCCTGGAGAGGGAATAGTTGTAAATTATTTTCGTATACAATAAAGAAATAGAGTTGATTCTGAATGCCGGAAGAGATAAAGGGAACACTGATAGAATGGAAATATACAACCAAATGCCCACATTAACAAAGTGGGGAAAGAAAATGTATATCCAAGAGATCACACTAGCAAACACTAGGAAGAGGGAAAAATAATAAACAACAGAATAAAATAAGTCATAAGCATAAGGTTACATTAAGACATTAAAATAGAATACGTAAGCTTCTCCTTCCTCACACTCAGTGTTTTCTTGGCTCAGGGAAGTGACTCTCTGTTGTCTGTTGATCGTCTCTCTCCCATCTGCGGCTTTCAAACTCCTTCAAGAACTCCTATTATTTGCATGTTAGTTGCCTAGATCTGTCCTCCAGGTCTCTCTGCTTCCCTCCTGATTTCCATCACTCTGTGCTGCATCTCCATAGTTGCACCTGTTTCTTCTTCCATTTGGTGTTGATCAGCTGGTGGTGACCAGCTCGCTTGCTCCAGGCCTCAACAGCAATTTTAACAGACTATTTGGAGTCATCTACCGAATTTTTGACTTGAAAATATTTTTTAGTTCTAGGGTACCTTTTTTGCACTTGGAAATCTTCAAGTGTTCTTATGTCTTTTTGGTTCAAGAGGTAGCATACTGTAGTGGTTCACAGAGTGGGTTCTGGAGCCAGACTTAAAGTGCCTGGGTTCAAATCCTAGCTGGGCCTCTTCCCCACCATGAGATCATTGACAAGTTACTTAATCTCTCTGTACTTCCATTTTCCTATCTGTAAAATAGGGGAGAATAGGAGTGGAGTAGTTATATGAAAAACTAGAACTTCTTCATAATCTCCATTTTCTGTGTCCTACTCTGTGACCACAATTTTCATCTTCCTAGCTGACTTCTTCAACTATCACAACTCTGATTATCCTTGGGCCCTACTTGGCTTTCTGTCATTCTACCCAAGCTTCAAGACTACTGTAAGTAACTATATAATAAGTAACTTTACCCACTCCTTGCATGCATCATCAAGTCCCTGCCCCATCTCACTTTTTTTTTTTTTTCAGACGGAGTCTCTCTGTAGCCCAGGTTGGAGTGCAGTGGCACGATCTCGGCTAACTGCAAGCTCCACCTCCTGGGTTCATGCCATTCTCCTGCCTCAGCCTCCTGAGTAGCTGGGACTACAGGCGCCCACCACTACGCCCGGCTAATTTTTTGTATTTTTAGTAGAGATGGAGTTTCACCGTGTTATCCAGGATAGTCTTGATCTCCTGAACTCCTGATCCATCCCCCTCAGCCTCCCAAAGTGCTGGGATTACAGACGTGAGCCACAGCACCCAGCCTCACTTTTTTACTTTACACAATTACAACTCTGGTTATACAAAACCCTTCTCCCATGCACCTGTGCATTGGACCATGGGTGCAGAAGAAACCATATCTGAGCTGATTGGTGTCTCTTCAAATTTTGTCCACAGGCTTCTGTGGACCCTTCCTGCCTCCTGGCCTTGGTGCTACATTTTCCTTCACTCCCAGCTCCCCACCCTACCCCCATTTTCACTTCCCACTTCTGGCCAATCATTCACAGTGGAAAAGCTTCCACTTTGGTTGAAACTGGGTGAATTGAGTCCCTTGGTTTGTAACAGAGTTCACTTTTGGAGCTCCTCTAGCATCTGATACAATTTGTTTTTGCTACTGCTACAGTCTGAATGTTTATGTCTCCCCCAAATTCCTCTGTTGAAATCCTCACACGTTAGATGATGGTATTAGGAGGTGGGGTCTTTGGAAGGTGATTAGGTCATGTGGGCAGAACCATCTCTGAAGCAGGAAGTGGGACCTCAGCAGACACCCAATATGACGGTGCCTTGATCTTGGGCTTCCACCCTCCAGAACTGTGAGAAATACCTCTCTGTTGCCTATGCAGTACCAGTCTATAGCCTTTTGTTGTAGCAGCCCGAGTGGGCCAAGGCAGCCACACTGAGAGGGCCTGAGATGAGCAAAGGGCTTAACCCATCTATGTGCTTGATGTTTTAATTTGAACAAGAAGACTTGTTTTGAAAATTTCTATGTGAGACAACATCTTGACAACATCATGACAACATCACTTCTGAGCATCTGCTCTATGCTTCAGGGTGATTGATGGCAGTGCCTGTCTCTGGGTTGCATTTGCATAGTTTTCAGGAATAGGTTTCAAATTACCAGTGTGGGGATCAAAATTGACAAGTGGTGAAATGCCCTGCCCTACCATGAAGGACTAGGAGCGCAAGATAAATTAGCTCCTGCACACACATGCTCCAGTGAGAGGAATGTACTTTGTGAATCCAGGAAATATAGTCTGGGGATAAAATATTTCTCCCATTTTCTTTCCAGGAAAGGAACATCATATCTGACTTCAGGGAACTGCTGGTCATGCTCATTGACAATTGCATGTTACAATGGGATGTTTTTCTTTGGACTATTTGCTGTTTCCCAGAATTTCTCCACAGCAGACCACTCCCATTGGGAAGGGGATTCCCTGTGGATTAACAGGCTCCAGTGTCTGGGAAATCGTGCCTGAGGAGTGAACAGCCAGACCATTGTGGGCAAAAAGTTTTAGGAACTTATGAAAGGCAGGTTTCAAAGGGTAGTCCCAGGGAGCCCGGGACTCACTCACTGGGCTGTGACTGGACCTTGGAGCTGCGCTGCTGAATGACCCCTCAGGAGGGAGCAAAGCCCCTCGCTTCAAATCAACAGAGCATAGGGAGAAGCCAGGGTGGTGAGCAGAGGTGGGGACACTGTTATGGGTGGGGCCCTCTCCCATTTTAGTTGTTGCTACCAGTGGGACAGTTTGCACCTCCCAAGGAATTGCTTACCTGGGCTGTTCGGAAGGCAGAATGGTGTGTGTGTCTATGGGCTGTAGCAGACAGAGGTGTTCATTCTCTCCGGACTCTTGCCAGGATCTCTCAGTCTTGAGCCCAAACTAAGTGACCAGGAAGCATATGTGGAGAGGATGCATGGGCCGTGCATCTCCTGGCAGCTCCCAGCATCCTAACTCCAATGTGCCCAGGCAGGGTGTCAGGAGGGGAGTGGAAGGAGCTCCTTTTCCTTCTTGGGACCTTTGTTAGAAGAGAGGAATGCCACTCTGCTGTTTGAGCACTGAAAGCCAGTTGAACTCATGCTTTCTCAACTCTGGTTGCCTTTAAAACAAATACACTTGCCTGAGTTGGACGCTGTCATTAGGTAATTCCAGTGTGCAGTCAGAGACGAGCTGGGAGCAGGGGTGGGGGACATAATCTCAGTCCCCAGGTGCCCTTCCATTTTCCTTCTTACAATGCCTTCTTTCTCTTGTGTCCCTGGGCTGGAGAAGACTTTAATGTCAGAGACAAATTACTTCCAAACCTTTTCAACCTTCTCCTTAGTTGTCAGAAGAAAGGTGCCCAGCACCAGGGCACCATGAGTGGGAAATCTGGGTGGAGCTGGGACCATGTGCCAGGCCCCTTCCTTTCTGATGCTCATTTATCCCCCAGCTCTGCATGGACAACATGACTTTATAGCCAAGAAGACTTAAGAATAGTAGCACCATACCCTGATCTCTGTCTTCCTGCTCTAGATACCTGAGGAAAAGGTCAGCAGAATAGACATAATTACCCAGTGTATTAGTTTGTTCTCACACTGCTATAAAGAAATATCCAAGACTGGGTAATTTATAAAGAAAGGAGGTTTAATTGACTCATGGTTCTGCATGGATGGGGAGGCCTCAGGAAATTAGCAATCATGGCAGAAGGGGAAGCAGGCATGTTTTACATGGTGGCAGGCAAGAGAGAAGAGTGAAGAGAAGTCAGATAAGCCCCTTTTAAAACCGTCAGATCTCAGGAGAACTCACTCACTATCACGAGAACATGTGGGGGAAACCACCCCCATGATCCAGTCACTTCCCACCAGGTTCCTCCCTCAACATGTGGGGATTATGGGGATTGCGATTCAAGATGAGATTTGGGTGGGGACAAAGAGCCAAACCATATCACCCAGGATAACTTTCTGGCACCAAACTAGGGTGAAAAGGTAAAAACATAGAGAGCTCTCCAGTGATGGCAGCCATTTCTCAGGTTCTAGCTACTCAATGAGACCTGTGCACCAATGGATCCCTGTCCCACCACACCCCTTTGCTTATTCCCCACCTCTGTGGAGGTGGAGAGTGGATGGCAGGGTGGTTTCTAGAGCAGAAGTTCCTTACCTGCGAATCTGAGGTCAGGGAAAGGACATCCTGTGTCACTGTGCACTCACCTCCACTCTGGGGAATTACTGTTTTATTTCAGTGAATACATGAATATTTATAAGGACTGTATTTTGTTCATTCCTGACCTTAGCCCTTAAACTAATCTTTTCATAAGATACAAAGAGCCTCATAGAACTGTTCAGAGGTTTATTGTGCAAACAGTCTCATAAACTCACACTACAAAGACAGGGGCCAGGTTTTGAGTTCTTGGATGACTCACCCACCCTGCCCATCCCCTGGCCACTTGGCTTTGGGTCCAGGAAGAGCTGAGGGGGTTTGGAGGGAAGGAGAAGTTTGGGAGATGACCCCAATGCCCTTCCCACCCACTCCCACCAACAACCTACTTCCTCTTTTGAGCCAAGCAGCAATAGCAGGCTTGGCTGGCAGGTGGGTGGGGATGGGACAGGTCTTGGTCCTGTGGGACTCTCCACTGGGCAGGATGAAAGTCTGGGGAGTAGAGCCTAGAGCCATGGGGGAGGGAGAGAGTTTGTTGATGGAGATCCTGGACCTCTCAGAGTGGTGTCAGCAATGGCTGAGTGAGTCCTGGGGAGGACCTGCTGGTCTTTCTCCCTTGAGTGCCGCTCGTGAGTGGACTAGGAATTTGAGACCTCTCTACCCCGAGACTTGTAAAGTAAGAGGCTTAGCAGCTGAAAAATAGCAATACTAAATCTCACTCCAACCGTGCTCTAGGAACTGTTATAAGCACTTTTATAAACTCATTGAATTGTCCTAACAATCCTGAAGTAGGTTCTATTATGACCCCATTTTACAAATGAGAGAAGTAAGGCACAGAGAAGATAAGTGGCTTGCATCAGGTCACACAGCTAGCAAGTGGCAGAGCTGGGATCACCAATCAGGCTGCTTAGCTCTAACCACTACTCACACTGTGTCTCTGGGTTGGTTTGTGACTCATTTATTGCTTGCTGCTGGTATCCTTTGCACTCATCAAAGGAAAATAAACATCTTCCTTATTCCATATTCAAAAACAAAGTCTAGCTAAATTAAACACAAATATAAAAATAATTAAATAAAAATTATAGAAGAAAACAATGCAGTTATGTTTTACCCTTACAATAGGAGAGACTTTTAAAAGCCAAAACAACACATCTAGAATGTATATTAGAAAAGACAGATGTGTTTGATTACACAAAATTTTCTGGAGGTCAAATTATACTATAAGTAGAATTTAACTGGATAATGATAAAATGAGGGGAGGAGATTTTTTATTGAAAGATTGCTAAGAGAAACATAAAATTTGAGAAAAAATTAGTAACAAGTAGAAAAATGGGCAAAATACATGAATGGACAGTTCATATTCACAAAAGCAAATTGAAAGGCTGTTAAAGATATAAAAAGATATAGAACTTCATAAGTAGCAGGGAAATACAAATTAGAATAATGTAATTTATAAAAATTAGAAGAGTGACACCCATCATTGATAAAAATTGGGTTAAGTTTTCATATACCACTGGAAAAATAAATTGTGTAGACTTTTTGGAAAGCAATATAGCAGTGACTATTAAAACTAAAAATATGAATATATGGAATCAACTTAAGTGTCCCTCTGTTGATAAATGGCTGAAGAAAATATGGTGTATACATACACAATGGAATATTACTTAGCCATAGAAAAGGAAATCCCATCATTTGTGACAACACAGATAAACCTTAAGGACATTGTGGTGAGTGAAATAAGCCAGACGAATACGGCATGATCCCATTTATTTTTAGAATCTAAAAAAGTTGAATTCATAGAAGCAGAAAGAGTGTCAAAGGATGGTTCCAGAGGCTGAGTTAGGGGGCACAAATGAAGACATGTTTGTCAAAGGATGCAAAATTTCAGATAGACAGGAGGAGTAAATTCAAGAGACCTAGGACAGAGTCTTACTCTGTCCCCCAGGCTAGAGTGCAGTGGTGCCATCTTGGCTCACTGCAACCTCTGCTTTGCAGGTTCAAGTGATTCTCCTGCCTCAGCCTCCCGAGTAGCTGGGAATACAGGCACCCACCGCCATGCCCTGCTAATTTTTGTATTTTTAGTAGTGATAGGGTTTCACCATGTTGGCCAGGCTGGTCTCGAACTCCTGACCTTAGGCAATCCACTTGCTTTGGCCTCCCAAACTGCTGGGATTACAGGTGTGAGCCACCACACCCGGTCTCAAGTGACCCATTTTTTATAACATGGAGATTACAGTTAATAACAATGTATTATATTCTTAAAAATTGCAGGAGTTTGAGACCAGCCTGGCCAACATGGTGAAACTCTGCCTCTACTACCAATAAAAAATTAGCCGGGCGTGGTGGCGCATGCCTGTAATCCCAGCTACTCAGGAGACTGAGGCAGCAGAATTGCTGGAACCCGGGAGGTGGAGGTTACAGTGAGCCGAGATCGCGCCACTGCACTCCAGCCTGGGCGATAGAGGGAGACTCTGGCTCCAAAAAAAAAAAAAAAAAAAAAAAAAATTGCTAAGAGGTTAGATTTTGTGTTCTCACTGCGAAAACGACAAGTATGTGAGGCAAGGCACATGTTAATTAGATCAATTTAGCCATTCCACAATGTATACATATTTCAAAACATCACATTGGGCACTATAAATATATACAACTTAAAACAAATAATTTATTTAAAAGATAAATAAAAATATGACATAACTTTCTTTCCAGCAATCTTACTTCTGGCACTATATCCTATGAAAATAGAAGCACCAACATGTAAGGATTTATGTACCTAAATTTTGTGTCAAGAACTGGATGCAAGACCAAAGTCCATCAGTGGAAAAATGTTTGAAAAACCTTCATTCATCCAGATAGTGGAATATCATGCAGCCACTGGAAACATGAGTCAGACTGATACCAGTGACTAGGAAAGATTGTCACGATATGTTCCTTTTTATTTTGAAATAATTGAAGACCTTCTGGAAAGTTACAAAAGAGATGCAAACAATTTCTTTATTCCTCTTCTCTCAGATGCTCCAGTTCTTAAGATTTTACCATATTTGTAGGCTAGCTCTGTCTCTCTGGGTATAAATAACTTTTTATTATTCTTTTTGCCTAAATAGTTCAGTATATATTTCTTCAAAATGAGGACATTTTTAAACATAATAATAGTATAAGTAGCAAAGTCAGGAAATGAGCATTGGTATAATACTGTTATTTAGTCCACAGCAAATTATCCCACTGATGTCCTTTATAGAAAAAAATGATAGGTCTCTGGGATTGAATCCAGGATCTGCATTGGATTTACTTGTCATGTCTCTTTGATCTTCTTCAACCTGGGACATTTCCTCAGTCCTTTGTTGTCTCTCTAGACCTTGACTTTTTTGAAGTGTGCAGGCCAGCTATTCTGTAGGATCCCTCTCAGTTTTGGCTTATCTGATGTTTCCTCATGGTTAGGTGCTGATCATGTGTTTTTGGTAGGAATATCACGAAAGGGGTGTTAGCCTTTCTCAGTGGCATGATACATTAAAAAAAAATTCAATTGTTTTCAGTTTATTTACAAAATTGTGCAACCATCACCACCACCTAATTTTAGAACATTTTCTTCATCCCAATAAGAAACCCCTTACCCCATACTCTAGCCACACATCCTGCCCCCAATTTTGCTTTTTTCTTATTTGCACCCCTCAAGCTCTAGACAATCACTAACCAACTTGCTGTTGTTACTATAGATTTGCCTATTCTGGTCATTTCATATGAATTAAATCATACAAATTGTGGTCCTTTGTCTGGCTTCTTTCACTTAGCATAATATTTTCAAGGTTCATCCACATTGTACCATGTATCAATACTTTCTGTTTTTTCTGAAAAATATTGCGTTGCATGGATATGTCGTGTTTTATTTATCCATCCATCCATTGATGGACATTTGGGTTATTTCCACTCTTTGGCTATTATGAATAATGTTGCTGTGAACATTTGTGTATGGGTTTTTGTGTGGACATATGTTTTCATTTCTCTTGGGTATATACATAGAAGTGGAATTTCTGAGTCATAAGGTAATTCTGTGTTTAACATGATTGTGTTAGTAAGGATCCTGTAGAGAGACAGAATCAATAGGATATGTATATGTATAGAAAGGGATTTATTGTAAAGAATTGGCTTGCATGGCTATGGGAACTGGCAAGTCCAAACCTGCAGTGTGGGCCATGCAGGAGAGCCAATGGTGCAGATGAAGTCTGAAGGTAAACAGCTGGGGAATTCTCTCTTGCTTAGGGAGGCTTGTCTTATTGTTCTATCTAAGCCTTCAACTAATTGGATGAGGCCCGCCACATCATGGAAGTGCTTTACTCAAGTCCATGGATTTTAAATACTATTTTAATCCAAAAACACACTCACAGAAACATCCAGAATGATGTTTCACCAACTATCTGGGCACCCTGTGGCCCAGTCAAGTAGACACATAAAATTGAACATTGCTGCCACTGTACTCCAGCCTGAGTGACAGAGTGAGACTCCGTCTCAAAAAAAAAAACAACAAAACAAAACACAAAAAATAAACATTGCAATGATGTATTATTCAGTGATAAAAGCAAGATGTAGAGAAAGATATAGAATATAAATCTACTTTTATCATACAATGACCCCAAAACCCTACTTATATTTATGTGTAGATAAATGAGCTCCAAGAAGGATGTGCAGGGATGCATATCAGCTTACTAGCTTTTGTTAGTAGAGAGGGGTGCAAATAAGAAAAAAGTAAGAGGACTATTTATAAAAGACATTTATAGAATAAAAAGCATGGATGTATTCCATGTATGTAAAAGGTGATATCTGTGTATGTGAGTGTGCACGTTCATATACAGAAACATGAAGAGACTATCATTAATAAGTTAATGTCTATATGCAAATGTTGAATTTTTACTTTCTCCCTTTTGGTTTTATATAGTTTTAAATTTTTGTCAGTGTATATTGTCTACATAATTATAATAATTAATGAAACTCTTTATTGTAAAAGTAAAGAGGCATTGAGGCCATGTCTCAGGCCCCTCACCTATTAGATGTTTTCATCTCAGTGCCCCTATATTGACCCAATTGTCCAATGCCTTGTCTTCTTGTCTTGCCAGCACAGCTGAAGTTCCATGTGTATCCGATGCCTCAAATGCAATAAGTGACTTACAGCGCAGCTCCTTCTTGCTTGCTAGAAGTTAGGAATTCATGCCATTATTTCACATAAGAAGTAGCGGGGGAAGCTGTCTTTGACTAGGTGATTTTGAAAGTCTGTTCCAACTCAAAGATATTAAGACTCAATTTAATTATAGAAATTGGAGGTACTTCTACTCTATGGTTAACCCCAGGTATAAAAGCCCGGATAAGTCCCCATAATAGCCAGCTAGGAGCTGCCTATAATACTCAGGGCAGCTTGGCAGAGGAAAGAGGTAGGGATGGGGCCCAGGCATGGACACAGAACGTGCTTCAGGAGGACAGTCAGGAGTCTTGCAGTCCCTGCTGCCCTGGAAGTGCAGTGCAAGGTTGCATCCCCCTCACTGTGCCTCCATGTAATCAGGTGTGCTGGGGAGCCTCAGTGGGCCACAGTCTTGGCTGTCCTGGATTCCGACACTAAACCCATATTAACAGCAGGCTGCTCTACATTTACCACGGCACAGCGCTTGGTCCACGTGCTTCTTCTTTGGCCATGACTAGTTTGGATTCAGATGTCAAGAGTTTGCAGGAAGCCAGGTGGCCCTGCTGGCCCTGATGGCAGGAAGTGTTTGTGGGTCATCTTCTTTCTTCCTCCCTTATTCTCCTTCCTTCCACTCTCTGGCTGCTATTCTTCTTCACTCCCTTTCCTTTCTCCAAGGTCATCATCAATGAATATGTAATTTTCATAATTTACATTTAATTGCAATCTGGTCCCTTACATTTTCTTTCTGTAACCAGAATGCCTTACAATGCTAGTAGATTAGTGCTTGCCTAACACTGGGGACGGGGGTATAATTTGGTGTTGGATGTTAAAGAATATGGCATTTCTTATAGGGGTGATGGAAATGTTCATTTTCCTCTTCTTCTGCAAGGCCTCCCTTCCTTCCAATTTGCTTTCTCTCTTTTTCAGCATGGTTGTACTCTCTGCAAAGGGCCTCACCCAGTTTGTCTCTCCAAGCACACAGCAATATGTCATTGAAACAATGGCTAAACCAAATAGTATGATATTCTGGTTTATTTCATGCATAATGTTTGATTTCCTGAAGTGAATTATTATCTCATATTTTCATTTGCTTAGATTTTTATGGGCTTACCACTAGTATTTCTTTCTTTTGTTACAAAATACATTTTAGGGCTATCTGTATTCCAGATGGTAAAACATACAAAATAACTTTCCGAATCTATCTATCTTTTCAGAGGCCCTCCCTCCTAGGATTCTGAGCTAGTTGCTTTCTAGGTCTCCTGCCTGGGCATCCGACCAAGGCAAGAGGGGCCCTTGCCCCAAGTCCTGTGCTTTTCACAGCCCTCCTCTGGGCATTTCTTTCCTCATAGGCTGAGAAATCTGTGAGGTGAAGTGGTCACGCCAACCAGAGTCTGGGTTTCCCCTTCCAGACTGCAACCTGGGTGCCTTGGATCCTGAAATTCCTGGGTGCTATTGTCTGAGTCTGCTTCTGCCTGTGGGGTTTCTTCTCTGGGTTTGTTTCTCTGAATGTGGACCTTGCTCTCTCTCTCTCTGTGTGTGTGTATGTGTGTGCATGCTCATGCATGCATGCATGTACATGTAAGAGACCTGCCACCCCAGCCTGAGGGATGGCCAGGGGCATCTATTTGGGCTAGGCTAGAGAGTAGATAGAGGTTTTTGACTAGTAAGCTAGGGTGTTTACCCCTGCATGTGAGTTCCCCTGTGGTGTTGGACAGAGCCCAGGGTGAAAGAAGAAGGGGATGGGGGTACTAGTCAGGGTTCTTCAGAGAAACAGAACCAATACTACATCTGTCTCCATCTCTATCTCTAGCTCTAGCTCTATCTCTATCTCTATCTCTATCTCTATCTCTATCTCTATCTCTATCTCTGTCTCTGCCTCTATGTCTGTCTCTGTCTCTGTCTCTATATCTATCTATCTATCTATCTATCTATCTATCTATCTATCTATCTATCATCTATCTTTCTATGTATAAAGAGATTGATTATAAGGAGTTGACGCATGTGATTATGGAGGCTGAGAAATCCATGATCTGCCATCTGCAAGCTGGAGACCCAGGAAACCCAGGTGGTGTAGTGAGAAGGCCTGAGAGCCAGAGGGCTGATGGGGTAGATTCCAGAGCAAGTCTGAAGGCCTGAGAACCAGGAGCATGGAGGGTAGGAGAAGATCAGTGTCTCAGCTCATCAGTCAGGCAGAGTTAATTCAACATTTCCTCCACCTTTTGGTTCAACTTGGGCCCTCAACAGACAGGATGATGGGTGCCATCTGCTTTACTCAGCCCACCAATTCAAATGTGAATCTCTTCCAGAAACACCCTCATAGACACATCCAGAAATAATGTTTAACCAGCTCTCTGGGCATCTCATAGCCCAATCAGGTTGACAGATAGAAGCAACCACCACAATGGGCTAGGGGCTGGCTCTCCCCAAGTCTCCACAATCTCACCTAGAACTCCAAGTGGGAGTCCAAGATGCCTCCTGCTTTCAGGTTGTTACCCTGGTGTATTTGCTCAAGTAGGAGTGTGCATATTCATTGAACTGTGTGTTACTTGATTTGTGTCTTATAAATACTTAGATATAAAGTATGTAGGTCTTCATTTGTAATCTTGCCCTGGGCCCTGCAATGTTAAGGGTAGGCCCAGCTGTCATTGTGGGAGTTCTTTCTTTGCAACTTTCTTGAGATAAGCCCCCTATTTGCTGGATCACATGTTTATCCACTAGCTTTTGCTGGGTAACAAACCACCTCAAAACTAAGTGTCTCAAACAACAAAGATTTTGATTTTTTCTTATGGTTTTATGGGTCAGCTGAGTGGTTCTTCTGGTCTGGGCTGGCTCAGCTGAGGCTCCCGTGTCTGGAGCTTCTGTTGAGCTGCAATGGCCATGGTGGCTGGGGACTTTCTCTACATGGCCTCTCAGCCTGCAGCAGGCCAGCTTGGGCTTGTTCACATGGTGATAGGAAAATTCCCAGCAGGAGAGCAGAGGCTGCGAAGGTCTCTTGAGACCTAGGTTTGGATTGCTTGTCACTTCTGCCACATTCTATTGGTCAAAATTAGATGGTGGTGATGGTTGCACAATTTTTTAAGTATACTGAAAACCACTGACTTTTTCTTTAAAGGATATACTATGACACTGAGAAAAGCTCACATTCTTTTTGTGATATTCCTGCCAAAGATTCATGACTAGATCTAATCATGAGGAAAAGTCAGACAAATCCAAATTGCAGCCCATTCTGTAGAATAGCTGGCCTGCATTCTTCAGAAACATCAAGGCCTAGAGAGACAGTAAGTCATGATGCAAGTCTTTAAGAAGTAAGAGAAGATATTGCACCTGTTCTACATGTATACATTATAAGAATAATGTACTGTGTGAAAACAATAATCAGACAATAAGGAAGATTTCTCGAGAAATTACAAGAATTTAGCCAACGGCCAAGTTAGCAGACACAGTCCACAAAAGACTCCTCCCTCACTTCTGAGATCAATTGCAAGTTCATGAGGTTAAACTTGCAATTCCCCACCCAGATTCAAGGGTGGGGATAAAGATAGAAAGAGCTGTAAAGAATTTGTGGTCTTTTTTTTTTCAGCATGTTAAAACATGTGTTTTTTCTTTGGTTTATTTCCTAGTTCTACAAAAGTACAAATTCCTGTACTTTCTTCAAAAGGGTACATGGGAAGCAAATGGTCTGAGTCTTTTCGTATTTAACATGGGGATGGGCCACACCAGAAAGACCAACAATGTAATTTAGGGTAGGCTTCAGGTCATGCCTGGAGGGGTTAGGGACTGGAGACCGAGATCAGCCACATGGACTGATTATGTCTACACAGCAGTGCCCCAGTAAAAACTCTGGACCCTGAGGCTCAAGTGAGCTTCCTTGGTTAGCTCCATACATATTGTGATCTATTGATGCTGGGAAAGTAATGCCTCCTGACTCCACGGTGCATTTACAAAAACCAGAAACTCAGTGTTTTGTACTTTTCCTGGACCCTGCCTTATGAGCTTTTCTCCTAGCTGATGTGAATCTACATCACATCAAAGGCTACAGCCTTTGCCTGTAATAAACTGTATCTGTGTATATGACAACTTTCAGTGAGTTCTGTGAATCCTTCTAACAAATTATCAAACCTGAGGGTGGTTGTGGGAACCTCATGATCTTGCAATTGATCTCAGAAGTGAGAGAGGGGTCTTTTGTGAACTGTGTCTGCTAACTTGGCCATTGGCTAAATTCTTGTAATTTCTGAATAAATCTTTCATATTCTCTGATTATTGCTTTCATTATTTTTATAATGTATACATGTAAGACAGGGGCAGTACCTTCTTTTATTTCTTGAAGAACATTCTAAATGTTTTTATCATTCTTGTTCCCTATTTCTTCTCTCTTCAATTTTTTGTGTATTTGTCTCTTTTGGTTCCTCTCTTTAATTTTCTGTGTAATTGTTTGTCTCTTTTGGTTCCTGTCTTTCACATTGGGTACTTTCTTGAAATGCCTGATGATTCATCACCGTCCATTCATGTTTAAGAATGAGGCATGAGATGGCAAGTTAGAAGCTCAGGGCTTGTTGACTGGGCTTTTCCATTGAGAGATCTCTAAAACTGGACGCAATTTTTTCCCTGTGGATTGCAGACATGCCAAATTTTTCCCACATCCTGAATTCTTTTGGTAAAGGTGACATAGACCTAGCTAAGGGAATTCTGGAAACAGAACTTTGACATAGACCTAGCTAAGGGAATTCTGGAAACAGAACTTTGTCTCAATCAGATAAAAATTCATTTTGCTCCCTGTCTTTGGCCTTAGATTTTCACTGCTTTTAGTAACCAGAAGCCCAGCACCTCTATAGTTTGATTTGCTCAGAGATTTTACCTCTGACCATTGTGGCTTGGGTTGGGATGGGGACAGGAGTTGCTGGGGTGCTGAAGTAGAGGAGGAGGCTGCCATTCTTTGTTGGTAGCACCTAACTCAGCTTTTACATATACTGCCATGTGCTGCTCCCTGTTGGTTTTTGCCCATGTCTTTTGTCTTCACTGAGAATCATTCAGTCATTAAACCAACAAATATGGTGTTCACTGGGATTGGGATGCTTCCAAGCATCAAACATTAGGGCAAGTATTGGGAAAGACAAAAAAATAAGAGAAGACAGGGTCTCTGCTCTGCAAAGGGGTTACCATCTTAATAGAAAGAATAATTCACATATAAATAGCTACAATACCAGGTGTATGTCTATGGAGGTAGTAACAAGGGCTTCCTGCAGGGCTGAATCTTGAAGGACGAGCAGGGTTTCACTAGGCAGAGATGGGCATGGGGCAGGGAAATGAGTGGAGAGAGGCCTATCAGTCATTTTTCCGTGTGTTTTCCCACCTGAATTATACGCCTCTATTTTTGTGGCCATGGTGTACAGATCAGGCCTTGGCATGTGGTGGATGGTTATATTAGAAGGAATGGAGCAGGCTCTAGGAAAGGCCTTCTGGAATGACTCCTAGAACAATGATGCAGAACTGGCCCACCAGGGGAGCTGCTGTCTCTACCACCAACAGTCATGAGAAAAATCAGGAGACCAATCCTAGAATGGCTGAGGTGATGGGCTCATCACATAGCTTGATCTGGACATTGGGAAGCTGCCACTGCCCCACTGCAGTGAGCCCTGAACACCCACAAAGCTGGCAAAGAGTGGCCCTCAGAATCCCAATAGCCATGCTTGCCAGTGGCAACGGCAGAAGCTATGGAAAATGGTGGCCCAAACCATGAGGAAATGCATCTGCTTGATGAGACCTCGTTTGCATCTAAAAGCCTAGCAGCCAGGGTTTTGGATCTGCCGTACAGGAAGGCTGAATTGGGCACCAAGTGCCATCCTACCATATCACCCACATATCTTAAAAATAGCACGATTGGTACTGGGCCTCAGGGATTCCATTAACAGCTTTTCTTGCAAAACCCACTTCAGCATATTCATTATGATAACCTAGACAGTGATAGTTCATTGATCTGGGCTGATCTTTAAGCAGAGTGCCAAGGCTTTCCATCCCGCCTCTTCAATTGCCTTTGGGATTACAGGGTTTGGAACAACTGATTATTGTCTTGTTTATAGAGGGTAAAAAGTCCTGTCTGGAAGTTTTGTTTTGCAGGGAGATGGTGCCTCTAGGATTTGTGGCCACTGCATTGGGTGCCAACTTTGGGCATGGGGGTTGGGCAGTACCTGCTGGTAACGCACCCGGTCCAGCCTTGGGGCATTTGTTCAGGAGAATGAACCAACCATTTGCCAGGGCTTCTTCCAGCAGGCCATCCTGTTCTTTCTACCTAGCACAGCGGCTCCTCCCCTTTGCCCTGACTCCTCACTCTTTCAAGCTCAACTTCCCAAGAAAGGCCAAGCATCCACTGGGAGTGTGAGCCTTGGCAAACCTAGCAGACTGGGGTTTGCTTGATCCAGTCACCGCTTGCTTCGTGGTGATTTTTCCTCCTTGCCTACCTTGAAGGGCTAGAGTATGATATTCTCAGGGGCCAAGGTGGGTTTCCATGGAGAGGACATTCTGTTCTGAGATGATCTCCAGTTGATGGATAACTGGGGCGTTCAGCCTGAGCCTTCCACCATCCATCTAAGCTGAGCCAGAGGTAGGCGCAGAGCTCAAGAGAGGCAGGCAGATTAGCAGGATGGCTGTGGCTTCCCAGAGCCCCCACTGAGGTAATCTCCAAGGTGATCTCACCCATGCCCCTCACTTGACAGAGAGAGAAACTGAGGCATAGTAACTGTGACTTATGTCTAAAGTCCTCCAAGGCTTCTGACTTATCATATTCCCCTCCCTGTCATTGCAAGGACTGAAAGCATCCTGCTTCTGGCTGATGAAGTTGGAAGGGAGAGGGACTTTTAAAAAAGTCAGTTTGTAGGCTGGGCGTGGTGGCTCATGCCTATAATCCCAGCACTTTGGGAGGCCGAGGCAGGTGGATCACCTGAGGTCAGGAGTTCGAGACCAGCCTGGCAAACATGGTGAACCCCTGTCTCTACTAAAAATACAAAAATCAGCCGGGCATGGTGGCGGACACCTGTAATACCAGCTACTCTCCTCCTGAGGCTGAGGCAGGAGAATTGTTTGAACCCAGGAGGTGGAGGTTGAAGTGAGCCGAGATTGTGCCACTGCCCTCCAGCCTGACAGAGTGAGACTTTGTCTCAAAACAAACAAAAACAAACACGTCAGTTTGTAAAAGCAGACGCCGTGACATGACCACTGGCCTTGTATATCTGGAGGTTATGCATATCCACCTGGGTGCTCCCAAGGGTCCTGGCACCTTCATATCTGGGAGGGCAGGAATTGCTGGCTGTGCTGCGGTAGGTGGGGACCTGGAGAAGCTAAATGAGTGCCCCAGGACACATAGTAGCAGAAGTAGCAGGTCTGGGCAGTTCACAGTCCCTGAACTTCTGCCTCCTCTCCTGCCATGTGCCTATTGGCTCAGCCTCTGCACTTAGAGTCTTCTGAAAGACAGCCGGTGTTTTCTTTGGAAGTCTCGGGCTCTGGACCCTTCTCTCCATGTCCTGGTGGGACCTGTGAGCTTACCTCAGAATCTAAGGAATTTAGGGGCCTCTGGGCCAACAGTCATGCAGTGGCTTGGCCTAAAGCAACATTTCCCAGGGTCCCCTGCCACAACCTCTCCCTGGGAGCTGGGAATTGAGCGCAGCCAGCTGGACTCTGGTTAGTGGGTTTCATAACGTGTTTCTGTTTTGCATAGCGTAAACAGCATGCTGTTTCTCAACCAGGCAGAGAAGTTCTGGCATTGCTTCTCTGCAAGCAAATGACTCTTAGGCAACCCCTGTGTTGAAACACGGAGCAGCTTCTAGAACAAACCTGGGGTTCTGGCTTTTGTCCTGGACTCAGCCCTTCACACACAGACAGTGCTGCCCCTCCTGGTGTTGAAGGCTGAAAGGAGTCAGCGTGGAGAAAACACGGGCTGTGCCATTTGCTGGTGCTGGGCCTTGGTCAAATCCACTCACACCCTCTGGGCCTCAGTTTCCAAACCTTTAACACGGGACTCAAAGCATATGACATGATGAATGTTAGAAAATGGAATGAAATAATGTCGGAGAAGCACCTATCTCAGTGCCTGCTTCCTTTCCAATTCCCCACCCTAGTGGGTCCCCAGGTTCCTACCCCATGGGACCCCCTGTGGGGTTGAGGACAGTAACTCATTGGCAGTTTAGCAATAGCCAAGCAGAATTAGCCAAGGTCTCTGCGGGGTTGGGGAGGGAGGAGACGGGAGTCAGGGACTGGGATGGGGGTGGGGATTGCATCACACAAACCAAAGTCCCTTGTGAGGCAGTTGAGATTAATCTACAGGAGGAGGAGAAGAATCATCCACACCACTCTTCGCCACCCGGCTGGGAGCAATTCCAGAAGGCAGGGTCTGCTTGGGCAGTTGAGAGGCCTTGGGGTGAGCTGCCAAAAGCTGGGTCTGGGAGTCAGAGGCAGCATTGCTTCTGGTTGTGTGGCTTGGCCAGAGCCCTCATATCCACCAGGGATGTGGCAGAAAGCAGGGTCACCCCAGGAGTTTCTAAGGAGGGCCTCTTTCCCAAGGTGGGGGTGGGTTAGGGGATGACAGGGCTGCTGGGGCAGCCACAGACAGCAACTGCAGGAGCTCTTCCACCCCTGCGGAGGGCGAGGAGGGCACAGGGCGCTTCCCAGCCTTGCGAGAACAGAGCAATGAAGAGGGCTGCGGTGATAGCATTACGTGTGCAGAAACACTCTCCTTGCCTCCTCTCACCTCCCGGTCTTCTGCAGGGGCCTCCTGAAAGCTGAATGGAGGGGTGCAGAGTGAGGGGTCAGCCTGCTTGCCCGGAGCAGGGCAGTATGTGAGTGTGTGTGTATGTGTGCGCACATGGACGTGCATATGTGTATGCATGCACGTGTGTGTGTGTGTGTGTGTGTGTGTGTGTGATGGAAAGCACCAAGCTCATTGCCAAGCTGCACTGAGCCTCACCTATAAAAAATAAAAGACACCCCTTGCCCTGCATTCCTCACAGGGTGGTCCTGTCTGCACATGAGTGGAGCTTTGCAAACCTGCCAGTTAAGGCGTCTCTGCCAGGGATGGGGTGGGGAGCCTAGGGGTAGAAAACACAGCCCTAAGGGTGGAACATGACTGTATCTGTCCTTTCCTGCATTCACTTAGAAATTAGTGTGACATCTCGAGTCCAACTGCATAATATAATCCCTATTTATTTTCTTTACAAATCATACTGTAATTGATCATTTGAGTACATTTCGCACCCTGGGAAGAGAGAGCATGTTCAGCTTGTGGCTTCCTGTCACCCTCCTCCCTGTCCCTGCCTCACCCTTGACTGTCTCTAGATGTGGGAGGCCAACCCGGGAGAAACCACATTCCCAAAATCTGTTAGAGTGAACTGGGAGCTGGGAGTCCCCTTTGTGGGACTCTGAGCAGCTGGGGGCTGTGGGTCCTGCCCCCTATAACCCACTTAGAAGCTAAGAGATATCAATATGGCAAAAAGAAGACTGGGTGAACCATACTGGGGAGGAAAAGTTTCAGAAGGGAGACAGCCGACAGCCTCAGAGGCCATGCTGCACTGACCCTACAAGGGCTTCTCATCCATCTCCCCAGTCCTGGCTCCCGGGGGCCTCTCCTCCCACTCTGGTTGGCCTTGGGTTACTTTACACGTTAGTTGGAGACCAGGAATTCAACACTTGTTCAGCCACCTGCATGCTGCACTGGGCCACAGCGGTGAGCAGGACAACAAGACCTAGGGCAGGGTAGCTGCAAATCAAGCTTAGAGGGGTGCAAGGGCTTCCATAGGCCTACAGCTGTCAACTTTGAGAACTTTCCAGAGGCATGAAGCTGTGAGGGAGCACTGGCTAGACTCACAGCATGGGCTCAGAGTTTGAGTGTACCTCATGCCTCTGGGAGAAGAGAGACATGAAGTTGTTCGCCCTATGTAGAGGGGAGGATATCATTAAACATAAAATCTTCCCTCAACTCAGAAAAGCTCTCCACAAAGGTAGAACAGAAAGGAAACAATTTTATCATTAAATAAGCATTAAACCACAATGTGATATGCATTACAGGCAATTTGCAAGGAGACGCAAAGACAGAAACAAATCTTACCCTTGTTATACAGCCATCAGATAGAACCCATTACATATATGTTCTCAAGATATACGATAATCAGTCCTCAAGAAAGAGGGCTTGACAGCACTGTTTCTTACACATAGTTCATCCTAAATTTACCTGGTAAGTGGGGCCACCATCTGTGTTAGTTAACTGATTTTAAAGGGAAGATAAAGTCCTATCTTTATGACAACAGGGAGTTTTGCAACTTGGAGCCAGGTACCCTCTCAAGTTAAGCTCGGAGATAGGGGTGCATCTCCCTTAATGCTCACATTTCAAAGAGCTGACTGCCAGCTCCTGGAGAAAGGCATGCCCCAGTCATAAAGCTGGCAAGAGGCTTATTTAGGTTCTAAAAAGATTTACATCCATTTCGAAGAGACAGAGAAAAGAACTTACAAGTTTTCGAAAGTAAATGCTGTAAGAAAAAAAAGAGGAGAGAAGTCTTTTCTCTTATTTTCAGCAAGGAGAATTCAACCTCTTATTTTTACTTTGTATTTGTCCTTCCAGCCTCTAAGCAGGGAAATGAGTAGCGGTAACAGAGAGACCTCAGCAAGTTCGAAAGGAGTGAGGGCACCAGGGTGCAGCTAACTGGTCTTTTCTTTTGCACACTGGGTGTGATTTAGACTTCAGGTAGGACAGTGCAGGTGGGTGCTGGGAGCGGACTCAGTTCTTTCGTGGGGATCTTTGGGCTAATGAAGTGATTAAGGCTTGGGAGAAGTAGGCTACGCTACAGTAAACTGGATAGCCAAATCCGGTTTCTGTAAATCTAGTGTTCACATTGCTACAGTCAGAGAACAGACTTGGTGGAGCTCAGACAACCCCTGCTTTCCATTTTAAACCCACAGTCATGCCGCTTATTGAAACCATCAGCAGGAGGAGTTTGGATAAAGCTGAAGTTCCACTTAGGCGCTCGGTGATCCATCTGGGAAGACAGTGGCCACAGCCCAACAGGAGGCCGGGGAACCTGGACCCCACCAGCCAAGGTATTTCATGGAAGGACACCACCATGCACTGGGCCTGTCTCTGCCCCCGGTCAGGGCCTCATGCTCTCCTCTCCAACCATTTGGTTTCCTCCTACTTCTGAATGCAGGCTCTGAATTCAGAAGAGGCACCATGGGCCTCGCTGGACCCTGGGAGCCGCAGAGGAGGGAAGCCTGCCTTCAGTTTCAAAGCCTTCTTTCTTGCCTTCTCTTCCTATGACCTCAAGGCAGCACTTCTTTGTGGTTCCTAGAAAAGACACACCTTTCATTAACATTGCTTTTCCAGCTCCCATTCCATTTCATGTGGTTTTCTTTGTTCCTACTTCTTCTTCTTTAAAGAGAGTGAGAGAGAGAGAGAGAGAGAGAGAGAGAGAGAGAGAGACCCATTCAGTGTTTTTCCTTGGGATCCAGGACATAGTCTTATTAGTCTCATATTTTTTCTCATGTGGGATCTGAGGAACTATATCTGCCTCACCAGGGTAGGTTGTTAAAATGCAGATTCTTGGGCCCTGTGCACTTCCAGAACTGGAAACTCTGGAGGTGGGTGGGTCAGGAATCTGCATTTGTAATTAGCCTCTCCATGCTTCCTACACTGGCGGGAGCTTGAGAAAGGGGTTCCTCCAGAGACGATCTGTGTAGGGAAAGGTCACTGTCCTCCAAGTTAGAAAAATGGGGTTGCACTTTTTACATGGGTGATCTCCCTGTGTCAAAGGGAGAGAACTCGTCACAGCAGTTTGGAGAGGATTACAAGAGGAAATGTACGTATAAAAGGTCTTAAACTGCAATGGTCCAACAATACAAGTAGCATGGTACTCTTACTCTTTGGGAATCTTCTGAGCCTTTAAACGTACTATGTTCGGAAAATATCAAGTCCTCCAAATCATCTAACTCTCTTGTTCCCTTGTCTGATTCCACTGCCAAGTCTTCCTTTTACTGATGTTTAAGGCTGGGTGTGGTGGCTCATGCCTGTCATCCCAGCACTTTGGGAGGGCGAGGTGGGCCGATCACCTGAGGTCAGGAGCTCGAGATCAGCCTGGCCAACATGGTGAAACCCCATCTCTACTAAAAGTACAAAAATTAGCGGGGCATGGTGGTGCGTGGCTGTAATCCCAGCTACTCAGGAGGCTGAAGCAGGGGAATCACTTCAATCCAGGAGGCAGAGGTTGCAGTGAGCCGAGATCACATCACTGCACTCCAGCCTGAATGACAGAGGGAGACTCAGTCTCAAAATAAATAAATAAATAAACAAATAAATAAATATGTTTAGAGGAGACACCAAAGGGAATTCCACAGCCAAATCTGCCTGCTCCAGGAAATGCATAAGGTCCCCTAGTCTTGTGCTGCCTGGTGACATCCTCTACCCTTTGTCTGGGCCTGAGGGACCTTGTGGCCGTGCATCCACTAGAGGTGCCATCGTGGTCTTAGGAGTGTCTGTGCCTGGGCTCCTCCTGTGCCCAGTTTCCTCTGGGGTCTCATTTAATGTCCAAATGACCAACTTACACTACACATAGAAGTAAAATACATATCCAGAGCTCATGGATCCTGTCTTCGTGGATGTGCTGGTCTTTCCTGTGGGATTCTAGACGTGTGAAGGACAGTGGGCTGGATTGATTATTTTATGTCTATAGAATGCTTGGCACAGTGCTGAATTGACACAATTAATTCTGGTTGAATTGAAAAGATTTTGGTCCCTGGTCTTCTCAGATCTGGCCTTGTGGGGATATAATAAATGGGTTTTCAATCATTATCATAAATCATTAAGAACTTACTATGAGTACTATAGTCAGACACTGAACTTAAGTGTGTTATCTATGAATTGTCTCCTTTAATCCTCTCAACGATTTATAATTTAGGAACTATCACCTCTTAATCTGTCGATGAGGAAACTGTGGCTCATAGCAGCTAATTCAAGTGACCCAAATCATATACCTGCAGATAGTGGCTCTGGGTCAATCCAAGTAAATCCCTTCCACTGACTCCTTTTACCTTGAACTAAAAATAACTCCTTATAAAATGCAGATTCAGTGGTAATGGCTGCTACCGTCACTCCCAACCTCTTCCAGAATTATGGTGAGAAGGAAGAAGACATTTTGTAGGCAACAGTGTCTTACCTGTGTATGGCTTTGATTTTATTTATTTGTTTGTGTGTTTGGGGGGTTATCTTTTAAACCATTTTCAAAGAAACTTCACAAACTCCATGTAATTTGATTTCCACACCAGCCTGCCGAGCTGGTCAGGAAAGGTACTGCTGCATTTTTGTTGAGGAAGCAGACTCAGAGAGGCTGTGATTTGCTTAAGACTGTGGTGTGGGAGGCTGGACCCAGAGCAGGAGATAGTTCACTCCTGTTCCTGCAAAGGCAGTGGAACCAGGTGTCTGCCATGGTTGCCCGTGTTAGCTGCTCTCTTCCACCTGTCCTTGCAGGGGTGGAAGTCAGGCTTAGCTGGATCTGGGGTCTCCACATCACATCTTGTTTCTGGGGCTCAGAAGCTAGTGATAGCTAGTAGTGAGTAAAGAAAACCCTTTGATCTCCTGTTTGATAACAGTAATGGTGTTTGGAATATTTTAAAAAATTTATAGCACACAGAAACACAGAAAGCCACAATGGATTCACCAATGCTTTTAATAAATTTATGTTTTATGGAGCAAGAAAAGCACTTCTATAACCTTGGTAGATGGTAACTTTTGCATGTGAGAATATAGTGAATTCACTCTCCTGATAACTCCTGGTGTGGCTACAGATCACAGCACCTCTTGCAATTATTGTTTTTCCCATTTTCTATTCCTGCTCATCTCTGCTCCCACCCTCACCCCAGGTTTGCAGGGAAAACTTTGAAGGAAGGCTCATTCCAGGGGCACCTGCCAAGATATTTGGAATGAGGGCCCTTTGGAGTCTAAGGTGAGAGGCAGGCCACCCTGAAAGAGGATGTCTCAGAATACAGCCTCAGTGGCTGGCTTCCCAAAGGGGAAGTTCAGCAACAGAGTCAGCATCAGGTAGAGCAGCCACAGTGCCCCTGAGCAGGGATGGGATGGAGTTTGGTTAGGTGGCCTTGTGCTCACAATGACACCAGGAAGAAAGGCTGAGCCAAAGGGATTTTGTGTGAGATTTTCACAGGTTTAGGAAAGAGTGAGGTATTCAAATTCTTTTTACAAACAATGCAGTTTGGTTCTTCCCTTTCCTGGTCTTCAGTGGCCTGGAAGCGGGTGGGGACTCACAGTCTGATGGCCTGTGCACCATGCACCTTACCTATGCAACAGCCTGATGGCTAATGTGTAAATTTATCTTGCGCTTACCACTGTAAGAGAATGAACAAGGTAAGGTTTCTATTCTTTTCAATATGGGTAAGCAGGCTGAGCTTTTTGATTTTGGATTCCGGCCTCCTTTGTTGCAGGGGTTAGCAAAATTTTTATAGCCAGTTGCGCAACTCATGCCTTTGTGGAAATAATTGAATGCCACCCAAATGAGAACAAGCAAAAGCTATTCAGAGCTTTCCATAGCAAGGAAGTTGGCCACCAGCACTTGTGTTTGGCAGAGACTCAAAGGCAGGCAGAGGGGTAAAAACGCTTCATGATGGAAAGCACATAAGGCTCCAGGTGTTCCGATTGGAGGCTGTTGGTGTTGGGGAGCTACAGGTGGCTAACTAGAAATGGGGCCTCCGGTATGATTGGTTAGGGGGTCTGTGTTAGTCTGTTTGCATTACTATAAAGGAATACCTGAGGCTGGGTAATTTATAAAGGAAAGAGGTTCATTTTGGCTCGCAGTTCTGCAGGCTGTATAGGAACCGTGATGCCAGCATCAGCTTTGGAGAGGGCTTCAGGAAGCTTACAATGATGGCAGAAAGTGAAGGGGAGCCAGCAAGTCACATGACAAAAGAGGGAGCAAGAAAGAGGAGGGGGAGGTACCAGGCTCTTTTAAACAATCAGATCTCACATTAACTGAGTGAGAACTCTCTCATCACCAAGGGGATAGTGTCAAGCCATTCATGAGGGATCTGCCTCTAAGATCAAATCACCTCCTACCAGGCCCCACCTCCAACATAGGGGATTACATTTCAACATGAGATCTGGAAGGGACAAACACCCAAACTGTATCATTCCATCACTGCCCCCAAATCTCACGTCCTCACTTTGCAAAATTCAATAATCTCTTTCCAATGGTCTCCCAAAGTCTTAACTTATTCTAGCCCCAACTCAAAAGTCCAAAGTCTCATTTGAGACTCGAAGTTTCTTTCACCAATGAACCTGTAAAATCAAAACCAAGTCATTTACTTCCAAAATACAATGGGGGTATAGGCATTGGGTAAACATTCTCATTCCAAAAGGGAGAAATCAACCAAAAGGAAGGGGCAACAGGCCCCACACAAGTCCAAAACCCATCAAGGCATGCATTAAAACTTAGAGTTCCAAAATAATCTCTTTTGACTCCATGCCCCACATCCTTGGCCCACTGGTGCATGGGGTGGGCTCCCAAGGCCTAGGGCAGCTCGCCCCTGTAGCTCTTTGGGGCAAAGTCCCCAAGGCTGCTGTCACAAATTAAAATTGAATGCCTGCAGCTTTTCCAGGCAGAGGGTGCAAGCTTCAGGTGGTTCTACCATTCTTGGATTTGGGGAATGGCAGCCCAGTCCTACAGCTCCACTTTGCAGTGCCCTCGTAGTAGGGACTCTGTTTGTGGTCTCCAACCCCACATTTCTTTTTAGCACTGCCCTGGTAGAGTATCTTGTTGGGGTTCCACCTCTGGGGGAAGCTTCTGCTAGGGCACCCAGCCTTTCCCATACATCGTCTGGAATCTAGAGGGAAGCTGCCAAGCCTCCTTCACTGTTACATTCTGCAAGCCTGCAGGCTTAACACCACATAGAAGCCACCAGGGCTTACAGCTTGCAACCTCCAGAGTGGTGGCCCAAGCTGTACCTGTGGCCTTTGATCCACAGCTGGAGCTAGAGCAGCCAGGATGCTGGGACGTGTGTTCCAAGGCTATATGAGGCAGCAGCACCCTGGGCCTGACACCCCAAATTATTCTTTTCTCTTACACACCTGGGCCTGTCATGGGAGGGGTCGCCTCACAGACTTCTGAAATGCCTTTGAGGCCTTTATTTCGTTGTCTTGGATATTAGCACTTGGCTCACTTTTAGTCATGCTAATCTCTAGCAAATGGTTGCTCCACAGGCCACTTGAATTCCTCTCCTGAAAATGCTGAGGCCAGACTGCAAATTTTTTATACTCAGTTTCTCTTTTAAATATAAGTTCCAACTTTAAGTAATTCTTTGTTCCCACATCTGATCATAAGCAGTCAGAAGCAGCCACACCACTTCTTGAATGCTTTTCTGCTTAGGAGTTTCTTTTGCCAGATACCCTAGGTCATCGCTCTTAAAGTTAAACCCTCCACAAATCCCTAGGCCATGGGCACAATGAAGCCAGTTTCTTTGCTGGTGCCTAACATGGGTGACCTTTACACCAGTTCCCAATAAGTTCCTCATCTCCATTTGAGACCTTCTCAGCCTGGCCTTCACTGCCCATATTTCTATCTGCATTTTGGTCAAAACCACTTAATAAGTCTTTAAGAAGTTCCAAACTCTCCCTTCTCTTTCTATTTTCTTCTAAGACTTCTTCTAAGACTCTTTCAACATCTGCCCATTGCTTAGTTTCAAAGCTTCAGGTATCTTTATAGCAATGTCCCACTCCTTGGTACCAATTTGCTGTGTTAGTCTGTTTATGCTGCTATAAAAGAATACCTGAAGCTGTGTAATTTATGAAGAAAAGAGGTTTATTTTGGCTCAAGTTTCTGTAGGCTGTACAGGAAGCATAGTGCCAGCATCTGCTTCTGGTGAGGGCCTCAGGAAGCTTACAATCATGGTGGAAGGTGAGCAGGGAGCAGGCATGTCTCATGGAGAGAGAGGGAGCAAGAGAGAGAAGGGAGAGGTCTCAGACTCTTTTAAATAACCAGATCTTATGTGAACTAACTGAACAAGAACTCACTTGTCACCAAGGGGATGACAGCAAGCCATTCATGAGAGATCCACCCCCATGATCCAATACCTCCCACCAGGCCCTACCTCCAGCATTGGGGATCACATTTCAACATGAGATTTGGAGGGGACACACATCCAACCTATATCAGAGGGATATTTAACTTTCTCTGGTGGGCCCTATGCTGGAAGTCCATGAGTGTGTATGGGGGATGGCAAAAATTGGAGCAGCTATCAGTTACTCATCAAGTCTTGGCTGTTCTGGGCTAATTGTTACAGGGGTTATTGTTTAGCTTCCTGGAATCATGGCTAGAGATGATACTGTGGCTTCCTGAGCTGCTTACTGTAGATATTGTGTTGATGTCACACTACGTTGGTTGCTGCAGTTTGTAGATCAGAGTTCTATTTTTATGTATGGTCTGGCCATTGTCTTTTTGTATATCCACTATCTCACTCCATTTTTCCTCCAGGGAGTCTGGGCTCATTGTAGGGGATTAGCTTTGATTGACCCAGATGTGGGAGAAATGGGAGAGCAATGGTGGAACCCAGTTTTGTATTGAAGAAAATACATATATATTTCATCAGAAAACTATGCATCATCTACATTGTGACCTTCCAGGCTGGGATATCAGAGTCCAGCTCTGTTCCTTATCTCAGAGTGATTCTGCAACTCTTAGTAAGTTGTAGCTGATATGAATATGAATTGGGTCTTGTCTAGTAGTGATTTGATTTAATTGACTTCCCCTACCTCCCTGGGAAAACAAGTTTTGTCTCCACTTGCAATTCATCCCAACACTGCTTTTCCCACATAAATGTGTGTGTTTTGACCTTTTCTTTGACCTGGTTATGACATTGTTTGCGTCCTTCATATCATATGAGTAACATAAAACCTTTAGTACATGTTTGTTTTTATGTTTTTATGAGTCATGATTTTATTTTTCCCAAAAATATCTTTTAACGTGTGTGTGTGTGTGTGTGTGTGTGTGTGTGTGTGTGTGTTTGGGAGAGCAGGGTAGCCAGATGGCTACAGGTATACCCGGAGACAACCTACAAAGCAGACTGGGCTTGAGAGTGATGATGCAGGGATTTGGGGCTGGCTTGTCCTTGGAGAGGGATGATTACAGCAGTGAGGCCCATTCTATGAGTTCTTGTTTGACCCTGGGGGACAGGGAGTCCTTCTGAAGATTTGACTGAGTTTGAATTTCTCATCAGCTCTGACTAAGTTATGTGTGTCTGTGATTGGGAAGGTTGGGCAGGGGAGGGCTCAGAGCTAGATTCAATTTGATGTGGAAATATGAAGAAATGTGAACTTTCTTGTATCTAAGATTTATGGAATGTTAGACATGTTTGTTCTCCAGTGCTGCAAAGAAATAGCACTTGAATATAAATTTAATTTTCTCAGCAAGGCCATTTTTTTTACTTTCTGCAGAAAGGTTATACTTGCCAGCAGTTTTGCCACAAGAATACACTGAACAAAGGAGACAGGATCATTTATAACCTGACACGTCCACCTTACTGCTGTGTCTGGTTTCCATTGGCTGGTGGGACCTCACATTCTGTATTTGTCCCGATTGGCTAGCAACTTAGAACTTTCTAAATGAGGCAAAGGCAGAGGAGAACAAATGAAGGAGGAAGTAACTTGTGGAATGCTGAGAAAGGTAAAAACACCTCCCAATAAGGAATAGGAACAGGCTATGACCCAATGCTGGCTTGGACCAGTATAAGTATGCCAGGGCAAATATTTAGGCTAAATCGTGGGAGCTAAGAACACAAAGTACATTGATTTCTTTATTACAGCTAGCAGATATCTAAGAATGTTAGTCCAGTCCTTAGAATCAACTTTGCTTCTAAGAGAAGTTACTATTTGTTCCTAATTACACGGGGAGGAAAGTCTCTTTGAAGAGGAACCTCTACTTTTTACATGGAGCAAATACCATGGCTGCTCGATTTTAGAGTTTTGTCTGGACTTGTAGAGTACATTTGTATAGCATGTATCTGCAAATGCTCACTACAACCCCAGTTGATTTGAAGGCAAGGCAGGCTTCAAAGAATTGGTGTGCAAAATACTGCTAAGAAAGGGAAGGGCATGGAACGTGGAAGATGATTTTAGGGGTCTAATTTCAGACTCTGAATGACTAAAAACAGCAGTGAGAACCATTGCAACACAAAAACTTCCTGAAATGAAACTGAATCTAACTCTGCAAACCAGAAGCCCTTCCAGGAGAAAGAAGGGTATGCAGGGGTTGTGTCATGAGTGGGAATGTGGGAGGACTTCCTGGCCCAAGGCTGAGTCTGGCTTCTGAGACGTGTGGGCTAGCATGATGGGCAGGCACTGGGGTGGGTTGTGCTGACAATTAGGAAAATAGTGAACTACATTGAGGGCATTTTTGGAGGATGACATGGCGCCCTTGAGGAGGAGGGCTGGAACTTTGGTCTGTTGGCTCATCTGAGATGCTGACATGATAGTAACTCCGGGTGGCCAGGAAGTAATATTGCTAAAGAAATGCCCAGGGTTCACAATGCACATGCTTCAGGGAGTTTGGTGGGATGACTAAGGACTTAAAAACACACCAAAACATGCCTTTGGGCACCTATCAGATAACTGGCTGTCCTAGCTCCTTAAAAATCTACCGGGTGTGGCCTGAGGTATGGGACTTGAGTTCCCTGGATACTGGCGGAAGGTCTTTGGTCTTGGAAAGTGAGAGACTGAATATGTAAGTGGATAATGGCCAGAATACATACAAAAATAGAACTCTGACCCATGATCTGCAGCAACCAGCCCAGGAAACCAACCTGTTATCCACAGCAACCAGCCCAGGAAACCAACCTATTATCCACAGCAACCAACCTAGGAAACCTACCTATTATCCACAGCAACCAACCTAGGAAACCAACCTGTTATCCACGGCAACCAGTCCAGGAAGCCAGCCTGCTCTAAGTCAGACTTGTAGGAAGTCAGAGTATTTCTCTAGCAATGGGTCCAGGAAACCAAAGAACAACCCCTGTAGCAGCTGGCCCCAAATGGCCAGCACTTGATGAGCACTGCCAGCTGCCCTGATTTTTGACCCTGCTTCCAATTTACAACCAATCGGAGAAAGGCAAGTATGCTCTCCAACCAATCATACAGGATGCCCCTGTAGGGGCGAGGAGGGAGCGCTTCCTTTCCACCTTCTGAGGGTTCACTGAAAATGAATTGACAACGAGCAGATTAATAGGAGAAAAAGGCACACACTTGTGCAGAAGCACAGTGGAGTCGCAGGAGAGTGATAACCCAATAACACAATGAAGTCCAGGTGCTTGCAGATTCTTCTTCATAGGGGAGGGAGTGATGGGGGAAACGGGGCCCTCTAGAGGGGTAGTCGATGACTTCTAGGAGGGATGAATGGGCCCATTGATCAGACAATGGTCAATAAGTGTTTTCTTTGGGAATTGAATGGGACTGGACTACAGACAGACAATCATTTGGCACGAAGTTAGTCTGGGCTCCAGGTATGGTGTTTAATTTTCAGTCTCTTCCTCTGTGATATGAATTTCAATTTTCTCTAGTTAAATTTCAGGGAAGGCATCTGTATTCCTCTTTGATGAGTCCAGTTTCTAGGTAGAGAAGGGAACTTCAGAGAACAGTTTCATCCTGTGCTTTGGAAAAGACAGAGGATTGGGGGAAGACAGGGGAAGGTCAGAGTGACCTTGAGCCTTGAGGCTGCTTCTTTAATTCACCATGTCAAAGTGCATGTCAAAGATACTTTGGGGTATCGTTTTCTGGGCCCCAACACCCCATTAGCCTGCCTGCAGCTCCTACAGGCCATCACTCTCCAATCAGGGCAAGCCTGAAGCCTTCTCTTCTTTCTACTATGATGCTTTCCCACTCCCTGCCTGCCTTTGAGTCTCTGCTAAAATGCGAGAGATGGTGGCCGATTCCCTTGCTAGAGCAGCTCTGAACAAATAGCCTTTGCTCTTTCTCACTGGGGTGGTCTTTATTTTCTTTCCACAAAAGCATGGATCTGACTCATGGAGAAACTGAAAACAAAGTGGGCCAGGCCAGTCCCAAGGGCGACGACTCAGGGCTCCTCTCAATTTCCCTCCTGCCTGGAGTCAGGGGAGGGGGGCGGGGTCGGGGGAGCAAGGCTTGGGGCTGAAGCCAGTGGCTCCTCCCTAGGCCTCTGATAGCAGGGAGAGATGAGGAATTCCCACAGGAGGAGAATCCTGACTGCTGCTTAGGCTCCTGGGGAGTTTCAGAAAGCGAGGGCCCCCTGACAGCCAACGGCTGAGCCAAGGAATTCTGGAACCCGGCAAACAGTCCTGCGTGGCTGTCCTGAGTGGCCACAGACATGGGTAGAGGGGCTGGGACTGGGACGAGGAGACCAGACCCGAGAGCACACCTGGGAACACCAGCCAGGTGTGGACGGTGTCATGAGGCTGGTGACAGAAGTTTTTCTAACTTAAAAATTAATTTGACAACATTTTAAACCTAAACAAGAGCTGCAAGAATAATAAACAGAATTCCACATTATTCTTCCAGATTCCCCAAATGTTTACATTTTTTAATATTTACTTTATCCTTCACCTTCTGCCCTCCTTATATCCGTGTGCGCGTGTGTGTGTGTGTGTGTGTGTGTGTGTGGTGTGTCTTTGTATTATTTTTTCCTGAATCATTTAAAGGTATGGTTAGGCACATCCCTTTACTGCTAAATACTTTAGGGCAGGGGTCCCCAACCCCTGGGCCGAGAACCAGTACAGTTTGTGGCCTGTTGGGAACCAGGCCACACAGGAGGAGGTGAGCAGCCCGCGAGCCTTCCCTCCTGAGCTCCGCCTCCTGTCAGATCAGCAGCAGCATTAGATTCTCAGAGGAGTGCGAACCCTGTTGCGAACTGCGCATGCGAGGCATCTGGGTTGCACGCTTTTTATGAGAATCGAACTCATGCCTGATGATCTGAAGTGGAACAGTTTCATCTTGAAACCATTCCTTCCTCCCCAGTCCGTGCAAAAATGATCTCCCACGAAGCCCACCCCTGGTGCCAGAAAGGTTGGGGACCGCTGCTTTAGGGTGTATTTCCTGAAGAAAAGGAATTTTCATATAACCACAGCACAATGATCGAAATCAGGTAATGAACATGATACTATTATCTAATACACAGACCTTGTGTAGATTTTCCCATTTGTCTCAATAATGCCCTTTACAGCAAAAGAGAATCCAAGATCATGTGTGGCATTTGGTTGTCATCTCTCTTCAGTCTCCTGTAATTTGGAATAAGTTATAGCTTTTCTTTGTATTTCATGATATTGACACTTTCGAAGAATGCCAGCTGGTGATTCTGTACAAGTCCCTGTCTTTCTGCCTGGCATTTGCTCATGATCAGATTAAGGTTGGCACCTTTGGTAGGCATCTCAGGGGTAGGGCTGAGCTCTACTCACTGCATCAGGTAATTGGCTTTTTAATCGTGTCAGCATCTAGGTGTGTGATGTCATGCGTGGCACTGAGATTCAGCTATACCCACGTGCTACAAGCATTCAGTCAAGGCAGCTCAGGCCAAAAGCATCAGCTGGCCTTCCAGTAAACAGTATGCATCCCAGAGGAGACTTCTGTTACCTATATCTCAATCAGCAACCAACGGAATGTCAGTCACCTTTTATTGGTGAAAACAGTGACCTATTCATGTTCATAATTCAAGTCAGAAACGGGCCGTCATTGCTGAGATGAAAGGTACTTGAGATGTGTGGGTTGGCTAAATGATTCTAGAAAGCACTCTCATGCTTGCATAAATAGGACACAAGAACCCTCCTTAGGGATGATGCCCTGTTCATTCTGTATCCAGCCACGGTCACTGGCAGATTCCGGTTCTCTAATGCTGGCTTGGTTTTTGGCTGAAATGAACATTTCATGTCAGGTGGAGTTTGCAGTAATGACCAGGATGGAGAACTGGAACTTTCTCGAGCCTACAGAACAGAATGTACGAACACTTTTTTTGTCCCTGCTTGGTAATAAAGGTTTAGTGTAAAAATGTCTGTGTATACATGGGGTCAAGGCTGGTCTTCGGTTTGCCTTCATGGCAATCTAGTGGCAAAGTTGCAGTAGAGAGCCCTCGCCATCTTCAGGCTTCTTCCAGGGCCAGAGTTCTCTATCAGGTCAGTTTGCAGCAGAGGGGAATTTCTTGGTGCTGTCATGAAACATTTAAGAAAGCCCAAGAGCCCTTCTTTCAACTGTGCTTGAGGGGATTTGGCTGTCTCATGCCATCCTGCATTAACAGACAGAACACACAGCTGGTAATACAGAGCTAAGTCCTGCTCAGAGCACAGCATTGTTATTTTTCAGCTCAGCTGAGCACTGGAATTCCCCTGGGCATCTTTTAAAAATCTCGATGGTTGACATTTTTCAAAAGAAGGCATACAAATGGTCAAGAAGCATAAGAAAAAATGCTCAACATCACTAATCATCAGAGAAATGCAACTTGAAACTACAATGAGATACCATCTCACACCAGAATGGCTATTATTAAAAAGTGAAAAAACAGCAGATATTGGTGAGGGTGTAGAGAAAAGGGACACACACACTGTGTGTGGGAATGTAAATTTGTATGCCCTCTATGGAATACAGCATATACATTTCTCAAAGAACTAAAAATAGAACTACTATTCATCTCGGAAATCCTACTGCTGGGTATCTAAGAAAAGGAAAATAAATAATTCTATAAAAAAGAGGCCAGGTGCAGTGGCTCATGCCTATAATTCCAGCACTTGGGAGGCTGAGGCGGGAGGATCGCCTGAGCTCCGGAATTTGAGACCAGACCGGGCAACATGGGGATATCCTGTCTCTACAAAAAGTGAAAAAAAAAATACTGGCATTTGCATGTTTATCACAGCACTATTCACAGTAGTGAATATTCAACCTAAGTGTTCACTGATGGATGATTTGATAAAGAAAATGTGATATATATATATATATATATATATATATATATATATATATATATATATCTGTGTGTATTCCACACAGTGGAATACTACTCAGTTTTAAGAAAGAATGAAATCATGAAAGAATGAAATCATGTCTTTTGCCGCCACATGGATGGAATTGGAGGCCATTATCTTAAGTGAAATAATTCAGACACAGGCAGTCAAATACTGCATGTTCTCTAAGTGGCACCTAAATAATGTGTACACATGGATAAAGAGAGAGGAATAATGGACAGTGGAGACTCTGAAGGGTGGTAGGGCAGGAGGGGGATGAAGGATGAGAAATTACTTAATGGGCACAACGTATACTATTCAGGTGATGGCTACACTAAAAGCCCAGAATTCACCACTAGGCAATGTATCCACGTAACAAAACTGCACTTGTACTGTTAAATCTATTTAAAAAATCTGGATGCGCAGGCCAGCTTCAGAACTCTGAAATTAGAATGTATATGGTGGGGCCTGGACATCAGGATTCTTAAATGCTCCCTAGTTGATGAGCAGGTGCAGCCAGGTTAAGAACCCCTGGAGGAAGAACCCTGGTCCCCCTGGGGATTGGACAGCTGAGACCTGCCCTCCTGCCACCTAGGAGATCAGAGCCCATGAAGGGGGCAGGAAGAGAAGGGAAAGTCCTTTCAAGGGTGGGTGCCAGGGAGGCCAGAGAGCTGTCTGTGCCTTCTCTGCCCCATCACTTTTGGGGGCCTCATTCTTTCAACATCTTGGAAGGGCCCAGATGTAAACAGTGGAGGGAGGCAGCTCTGAACAAAGAAGGCCCGATTGGAGATTTGGGGTAGGATTTGATCCCCAGTACTGACCAAATCCAGTCCTGACTCACCTGCCCTTAAGGCCAAGATGACTGCTTGCCGCCCATCACTGGAGGAAGGCACGGTGGGGATCCACATTCAGGGGTCTCCAGAAACTCCCTTCTGGAAGATGAGGCTTTAGTCTCCTGTCCAGGTGCACTGCTTCCCCTCTTTCTGCTGTGGGCACTGGCTGTGGCGGGGCTGTGCAGGCCCAGCATCTCCACCCTGCTGGCCGCCTCCCCTTGAGGCCCGGGAGCTAAAGTCCCCATGCCAGCCCAACTGTTTTCTGCAGGAAAATCTATTGAGATACCACTTTCCATCTGATTCTCAGGGCACTAGGAAGATCCTGAAAGAATAAACACAAGAATGTCCCCTTTCCCTCTGAAGAGGAGGACAGCAGGCCTTTGGGTTCAAGTCCTGGCTGCCTTGCTCCAAGGCCAATAGCATTTGCATTTCAAGGCCAATGTTTCCAGGTGGCTTGGTTTGGGAGTGCAGGCCCCCTGAGGGGTTAACCTGGATGGGGCGTCATCTGAAGAGGAAGGGGCCCTCCTGAGAGAGGGAGACAGTGGGACCAGCCTGTGTGGGGGCTGGCAGCTGGAGCGAAGCGGGTTGGGCATGTGCAGGATGAGGGCTTGGACTGAAGGTCTGGCCTGTGGTCAGTGGACAGGCCAGATGGTGGACAGGGACAGCCCTGGGTCCTGTAGCCACAAGAGCGATGCCCTGACTTTGACTAAGAAGACGACCACCAGTGATCCCTCTCCCTACTGGACTGGACAAGTTCTGGTGTGACCCTGCTCACACTGCCCGGTGAGTCACTGGGCTCATTCAGGGAAGCTTCTGTGGCCAAGAGCTTCACTGGGAAGATGTGAAGTGCTGTCAACTCAAAAGGGGCTGTTTTGAATTCCTGACCTCGTATAGAGCACACTTGGTCTTGCTGGTGTGGGCTAGAGCCTACCGCCCTGTGTTGACAACCCTGTTGCCCAGCCGCCACCTGCAGCCCACGGATTCTCAGGAGCCCATCACTTAGACTTCTCTGCTCCATCTGCCTAGCCTGAGCAACCAGTTCCCAATGTTCACCCTTGCAAGAACCAGGGCGCCAAGGAACACAGAACTGGCCGAGCTGGGGAAGAGGTGTCACTCAGAGATGAGCCCACAGCCCCCCCAGCTACTGGAGGAGGTCCTGAAGAAGGTCGGGAGGCAGAGGCTCTGCCAGCTGCGGGCAGCAGGGAGTCTGGAGGTGGACTGAGGGCCTGCCTGGCAGGATAGGGGAGCAGAACTGTGAGCAGGGAACAGGGCTGACCCAGTCTGACCCAGGGCTCCTGGATCAGACTCCTGGCTCTGTCTTTTACCGGCTGCGTGACTTAGTCTTTCTGACTCTCGGTTTCCTTGTCACCTTGGTAAATGAGCTAATATTGCTCACTGCATGGAGGGCCGGGGCATTAAATGGGATGATGCAGGTCCAGTGCTTGGAGCATAGAGCGAGCTTCGTAAACATCAGCCCCTTATCTCTCCTTTCATGGGAACTGGGGTGCACGGGGAGCTGATCATGAAGAAGACATCAAGAGCTCAGTCATCAGAACCCGGGGTCTGCAGGGTCAGTCTGCTTCCTTAGGGGTCTGTCCTCTATGGCCAGGTCAGGCACCAGCCCCACAAGAGCAGGCACCCAGGGATGTCTCTGGAAGGGAGGATGGGGCCCACTTCACCAACTGCCACATCCCTCCTGCTCCCACCAGCCCACTGCCGCCTCCCTCAGCCCCTCACATCAATTCCATGGACGTCTCTACCTTCCAGGCACCAGGACCAGTTTCCTGGCCTCTGACTTGCCTCCCCTGGGTGCCTGGCCCTGGATGTCTATGCAGAGCCAGGAAGGCAGCCCCTGCAGGTCTCAGCCTGACTGGGGAGTGGGGCTTGGCAGGAACAAGGTCAGCACGGCCTGGTCAGGCTGACGAGACCCTGAGCCAGTTGCCTGGGGCTCCCTAAATTCCCTCTGACCAAAATAGGCTGGGACCAGCACCTCGGGTGGGGCTGTGCACATGGGTGGGAGCCAATAGCTGTGCAGCCAAGACTGGGAGCAGGGCCAGTCCTTACTGTCTCCAGGTGGAATCCACCTTATACTAAGTATTTCTCGGTACCTCGAGTCATTATGCTTCAGACCGTGTCTTCCTGTCTAGCGCACTCATCAGTCCACATGTTGGTTTTGTCACAGTTGCTGACACTTAATGAGTGCCTTCCTCTGTGCCCAGCCTTTATTAAGTGCTGCTTTAATCCTAAAACAATACTAGATAGATAGTATTCCTGTCTCCCTTGTACAGAGGAGAAAACTGAGGCGCAGAGAGGTGAAGCCTGTGCCCAGCGACCAACCAGTACAGAGTCGTATTCTCGTTGCACTTGAAATCCACGAACAAAGACGGAACAAAGAACTAAGAAATGGTTTTTAGGCTGGACTGAATTAGTGACCGATATCACTTCGTGCAGTTTGTTCCCACTCTTGCTCACTGGGGCCCCTATTTTTAGGGTGTAGATCAGCAATGCACTCTACTCCTGAAGCAGGTGAGGGGCTGTACTTTCATCTAGCACCCAGCACCCCGAGATGGGGGGGGGGTCTGCCAGATCTGGGCCCCTGCGTCGACTCTGTGCTGACCAAGCTCAGGGAGGGGCCTGTTTGCAAGAGGCCTCTCACCTGCCTCACCTGGGAGGCGTTTGGCTCTGGCCTCATTCCGCCTGGCAGGAGCAGCCAAAATCATTCACTTCTTGATGGAAGGGAACAGGCTCCACCCCTCAGAGTGAAATATTGGCTGTAAAAAGAAAGTGATAAACAAAGCCATCCCCTCTCTCCAGGGTACATGACATTCTTTTCTGAACTGTCCTGTTGCTACTTGCTGGGGAGTTAGGGGATGTTTCAGTCTTGTTAGAGATGTTTGCCATCTTTTTTGGTCTATTTTAATCTTCCAAGAATGTGGATGGTGCCTATTCCATCTTTGCAGGGTTCTTAGCTCACTGCCATCACCACTGCCATTGCTACCATCACATGGGAACATGTGTGGCAGCCCCTCCTCGCAGCCACCCTGCACAGGAAGCCTGAGCTCCAACACGAGCTGCTTGTGTGTATTGGTTTTCTAGGGTCGTCATGACAAAGTACCACCAAGTCAGTGGTTTAGAACCACAGAAATGTATTGTCTCACAGTTCTTGAGGCTACAAGTCTGACATCAAGGTGCTGGCAGGGCCAGGCTCTCTCTGACAGCTCTAGGGGGAGATCCTTCATTATTTCTTCATAGTTTCTGTTGCTGCTGGCAACCCCTGGCGTCCCCTGGCTTGTGGACACCACATCACTCCAGGCATGCAGCTATCTCCTCCCTGTGTGTCTTTGCATCATCGTCCCTCCCTGCATGTCTGCCTCTGTGCCCCCATTTTTCCTTTTTATAAGGACACCAGTCATGTTGGATTAGGGCCTAGGCTAATAACTTTATTTTGACTTGATTATCCCCATAGAGACCCCATCTCCAACTAAGGTCACATTCTGAGATACTGGGGGTTAGGACTCCAGCATGCCTGTTTTGAAGGGACAAAATTCAACCCGTCATAACACGGTATCACCTTTGAGAAGTTATTTAATGTCTGAATACCTCAGTCTCTTTACCTGTAAAGTAGGACTGTTAATACACCATAACACTTGCCTCTTTGGGTTGCTGGGATGATCCAATCAGCCGATATGTGAGTAAAGTGTTTGGGACAGAGTCAGGCGCTCCATCAATGCTGTGTGCATGGGCACTGCTGCTCACACAGCCCTCTTATCACAGTAGCAGAAATGCAGGTTTGGGGAGGTTAAGGTACTTGCTAAAGGTTTCAAAGCTGGATTGAGAACCTGAGTCAACGTGGACCCCAGACACAGCTCCAAGATAGGCCTCCCCTGAGACCAGCGTCACACAGCATGGCCTGGCCCTGTGCAGCTGGAGGACACCAGGTGCAGCCAGAAGGCAGGGACCCTGTGCTGGAAAACGATTTTTCCATCTGTTCTGTCAAAGATTTGCCATTGAAGTTCAAATACATATTCAGCCCTCAATATTTAACATGGATGAAGCCCCACCAGTGGCTTCCTCATCTACAAATGCAGATGGTGCACTGGAGTGGCCCCGAGGCTCTTTCTATGCAGATGATCTGTGGGTCTGTGGATTTACAAGCACGAGAACGAAACACGACCATCTAACTAGACACTCCCAAGCCCCAGCTAATATTATGCTTAGTTCCAGCAGTAGTTGGCCCAAGACAGCCAAAAAACTTGGACAGCTCCTCTGGGCTGGTGAGGGTGGGCCTGGCAGGCTTCTTCTGCCTAAAGAGCCGGAGCAGCCAGGGCACCGGGCAGGGAAGCTCATGGAGCTCTCAGATCCCCCTGAGAATTAACGGCTAGGTCCACAGAATCCTGGAGAGCCTGGTGGCTTCCTCCCCAGTCCCCAGCCAGGACCGTAAGAAAGTCTGGGGGGTGAAATTCTTCACCACCATTTCCTGGGGCTGACTTCTCTGAGACCAGGCCCAGGAGTGATCTGAACATTGTCTTCTTGGTGACTTTGGCTGTTGGGAGTGTGGTCAGGATGGTTGGCCATTCATTCCCCCTCCTGAGGGCTTTGATGGGTGGTGTTGGGGCTGTTTCCTTGGAGGCTCAGGGGATGGACTTGCTCTTCCTCATTCAGTGGCTGGAAGGCAAGGCATGAACCCATGATTCAGGTAAGACACCATTTACCACCTGCTGTGAACTGAATGTCGGTTTCCCCCAAGAGTCAAAATTCAGTTGTTGAAATCCTCACCTCCAAGGTTCTTCTGCTAGAAGGTGGAGTCTTTGGGAGGTAATTAGGTCATGAGGGGGAGGCCTTCATGAATGGGATTAGTGAACTTATAAAAGAGACCCCAGAGAGCTCCCTCACCTTTTCATCCAGTGAGGACACAGGGAGAAGATGGTCATTAGCGACCAGGAAGAGGGTCCCCCCACCAGAACCCCATGCTGGCACCTGATCTCGACTTCCGGCCTCCAGAAATGTGAGAAATAAGTTCCAGATTCCTGTTGTTTCTAAGCCATCCCGCCCTAAGGTACTTTGTTAGACGCAGCCTGTGCTGACTCACACGCTGCCTTATTTGATTTTCATTCACAGCTTTGAGAAGCAGATAGGCTTGAATGAGCATGGAATGTATCTATTTAAAAAGCAGCTGGAAGTCTGTCAAGTGCATTCTGGAAATGGATTCAGGCTAACAGAGTGTTCTGAATAGAGACGCCTAAAACAAGTAAGTATGATCTGTTATCAATGCATTATCACTTTATGGTATACGATTGATTTTCTTAAGTATGTGATTGTAGTGTCTATAATTTTGTGTTTTTGTACTTAGCAACCCTTTTTCATATAGATGGAATCAGAATAAATTTCATCCTAGTTCTATTTCCAAAATATTATTGGTGCCCCTAGTTGTACTGCCTGAGTGTTGTCAGATCAAGGCTTACAAACTCACGGGCGATGCTGCAGAATGAGTGACAACAGATAATGCCAATTGCCCAGATTGAATCCAGCAAGAAATGACATTGGAATGGCTCTACCTTGTGGAGGGAACTGTCCAGTGCAGAGGACCTGCCTGAGTATTGCTTACAATACATCTTTCTGGTTATAATGAAGCCATTTATTTGTTTACATCTTTATTATTGCCACTTTCCTCCACTGGCTTGGAAATCCTTAGAGCCTAGAACAATGCTGGGCTTGGAGCAGGTGCTTGAAAGCATATTACCAAAATGAATGAATAAATGAATGAATGAAAGAATAGGCGAAGATGCTGGTGCAGACCTCGGTCTTTTGTGAGCTTGGTGAGTGTGAACCAGAGTCTGAGATCCCCGGTTTCCCTGATTAGACACTGAGGATCAGACGTTGGAAGCACCACTGTCCTGTAAGGCCCCTTCTCACCCAGCTCGGCAGCCTTTGCTACACCCCTGTCTTTATTAACTGTCCTCTGTGAGTCCACCTTGAAAGGTTCTCACTTACTTGCTTTTTCTCTCTGCAGGAGCCAAAGACATAGCAATGGAGAACGTGGGTGGTACAGCCCTCCACCCTGGCGAGCAGCACATTAGAATCACGTAGGAGCTTAAAAAGTACTGACTGGCCTGGTCTTTTTCGGTGTGAAGGTGGGATGCAGGCTTCCTGGGGTTATCCTCTCGTACAGCCAGAGTTGAGAACCATCTGAGTAGCGCTTGTCACACTTCTGGCCACATCAGAATCGTCTGAGGGACTTGTTCACTGCAGGTTGCTGGGTCCCATCTCTAGCCTCTGATCCAGTAGCCTGGGGTGGGGCACAGGATGTCCTGCTGCTGGGGTCTGGGCAGCGCTATGAGAACTGCTGACGTTGGAGCTCGATCAGGTGGTCCCTCACTCCCTGACCCAGGGCATTTGCTGCTTCCTGTCTCTGCCATTCTTTTCTCAACCTGGGGCACTTGCTTTTCTCGCTATGCTGCCCTGCCCTTTGCTGAGGCCTGGGCTATCCCTGGCAGGGTGCAGAAAAAAAATTTTTAAGTTACTTTTCTCAGCCCAAAGGAGACTGGAATGCTTCACAAGGGATTCTACTTGACAGGCAATTGGACCACCCAAATGGCAAACTAAAAGCATAGAAGCGGACACCAGAGGCTCCTGGACCTGAGATGTGGCCCTGGAAGTGACCAGATGTGGTCTCAAGAGATGGGGGCCCAGGGCTAGGAATGCCGCCATCCGGGGAGGCCCTAGAGCAGAGCAGAGCAGCTGTGGGCTGGTGCCAAGCTCACTCCTGCTTCTCTCTGCACGTCTCCCTCATTCTTTTCTCTCTGAACTGTGACCCTTTTGGCCCCTCTGAGTACCAGGTGGGACAAGGTGACCCCTCAGCACTTGAGTTTACACCTTAGATGTGTAGGTCCTCACAGAGGCCAACTTATCTCCTTCTGGGACCAAATTCCAAATTCCTAAAGAAAAAACAAACCAAAAACGGATATGATAAACCTATCTCAGTGGTCAGCCCCTGGGGCGCAAACATTCCCCTGAGTCAGGGAAGGGTGACTGTAACACAGGTATCATTATGATTTAGGTGTGGCAAGACTAGCAGGTCAGGGGTGCCTGCCATTGAAAAGACTGTCATACAGTTCCCAGGTGGAAGGGGTGTGCCAGGAGGGGCAGCCAGAAGGCAGATGGAGGGAAGCTGCCTTTATGGTGTTTCTGCTGGGAGGCACAGGTGCGGTGGAGGAAGCAGGCTTAGGATTGGTTCGTGTGAATGTCTTCAGTGGGCTCTGGTTATCTGGTACCTGGCCCGGGGTGATGAGGGTAGATAGAGGCCCAGAAGGTGAGAGCCTAATACCCAGAGCGGTCGGGGGGGTGGGTAGGCTCAGGGCTGGTTGGTTTGGGAAGCATGTTTGTGGGCCCGTTGGTTACCGTCTCAAGGAATGGGCTAGGCCTGGGTGTGGCTGTCCTTCTAGGATCAGCAAGGCAGCAAATATCAAAGCACCAGAATACACAAAGTAAAAGACTGCATTAATACAGGGTAGTTTACAAAGAAATGGGAAATTGTTGGTTCTGAGCTGGGTGGGGATTGAAACGGTGTTCCCTGCAGATCCATTTAAAGTCTCTCTGTAAATACGCGTTGGTGTGTAACTGTTCCTTGTCTCTAACCTCAGCCAGCCCCTCCCATGCCAGGTGAGGGGTCTTCCCACCTCCCTTTTCCTCTCTGGGTGTCCCTCCATTATGATCTGGGGACCAAGGCTGGCTGTAGCAGTGTGCCTCCATGGCCTAGGGCGGTTGGCAAATGCAATTTCTTCGGCAGTGCTGGATAAAGTGGGATGATGCAGTGACCACACAGAATGTCATTTCTGATGAAAGCTGGCATGCCAGCCCGTGACAGGACACAGAGGAGCGTGGATTCCCCTTCATGGTTGACTTCAGCCAAGGCCATCATCCCCGCTGCCAAAGCCTGCCCTGATTGCCTGCCCTGGGGGAGAGAAGTGTTTTGAAGATGACAAATCAAAGTCAGGTCCTGCATGGAGTTTGCGTGCCTGACAGCCTGGCTAGCACAGGAGGACATGCAGGTGGAATTTGTGCAAGCCTGTTATTTTCTGTAACACAATACACACTGAGAAGGCAATGGGTACCTTGGACCCTGCAGGCCAATTCAAGCACCATCACTACTTTTCAGAAGTGTGGGGCATAGATGTCAACTGAGCCTAGCAAGATGTCCTATGTTACCAAGAGACTATTAGAAAGCAGAGCAGGTCTCAAGATTCAATGAAACAATTGCCTGGAAGCTGGAAGATAATATGGAAGCTAGGGATATAATAGAGTATGTTGCTGGGAACGGTGGCTCCTGCCTGTAATCGCAGCACTTTGGGAGGCTGAGGTAGGGGGGATCACTTGAGCCCAGGAGTTGGAGGCCAGCCTGGGCAACACAGCAAGACCCCATTTCTATAAATAATTAAAAAAAAAATTAGCTGGGTGTTGTGGTGCATGCCTGTATTCTTAACTACTCCAGAGGCTGAGGTGGGAGGATGGCTTGAGTCCAGAAGTTCAAGGTTACAGTGAACTACGATTGAGCCACACTGCATTCCAGCTGGGTAACAGAGGGAGACTCTGTCTCTAAAAAAAAAAATTAAAAAAAAAGTAGGGTGGGTGGTTGAGGGTTGTGCAGTGTGAGTGAGGGTGGCCAGAAAAACCATTTCCGTGACAGTTACAAAGGCTGTGTGTGGATGGTGACGCTGAGGTTTTATCTTCAAGTGAGTTGTGCATATGAGGTTTGTTTGATTCTAAAGCATTTATTTTCTAAATGCAAACTTTTAGAATAAAGTCTAGTTCCTGTTGCTCTATTTTGGCATAGGTTTTTAATGTTTCATATACTTAGAACTTCAAAATGGTGGTGGTTGGGGTCTGTCTTCTTACCTGCTGGAGGCCCTGCCAGGTGCTAGCCAGAAGCAGTCATTATTGCTTAGGCAGTCGTTGTGGGAGGCTGGGTGTGGCTCTCGCGGAGCCAGAATGAAGGATAGCAACTCATTAACACACACACACCCACCCCTAAACACACACGTGCACCTACACACAGCTGGGAGTCCTAAGGAAGAGACCACACCTTTTTTGTTTTTTGCTTTTTTACCACCTTCATTATGAGTCTAAAGTCAATTCAATTAACCAGCTATTTGAAATTTTTACATCTAACAGGAGCTGAGAAGATCCAGTGGGTTATTGGTTAGAATAGCTGGTGGGGCTGGTGGGTCGGGGTAGGTGAGAGGAGGGAAGGGTGATGTGGAGGATGGACTGGGGTGTTTGCTGCAAGGTGGGTAGCTGAGGGTTGGTTCAGGTGTTTGGCATTGGTTGGGATCCAATAGCTGTTGTCTGAGAGTCTGCTCGTCATCTCTTCCTGCTGAGGCTGGTGGGACTGAACTGACCTTCATATCTCAGCGATGAGTCCTGTAGACTGCAGGCTCCACGGCAGTTGCAGCTCCCAGGGCTTCAGATTGGAGCTGCCTGTGACATGCAGAGGTGGAAGCACAGCCTCAGCTGTGGTGGACGGCAGCCTCTTTCAGCCCCCAGGTGCATAACAAAGGCTGTCTTGATTGTATCTGTGAGAGTGCCATGATTTGGGGTTTTCTCTGTCGGTTTGGACCAGATCAGAAAGCAATTGGGACTATTGGTAAGAAAAGCCAATCTGTCTATTCTTGGTGTGGGGACACTTGAGCTGGTTCTCAGCAGTGCAAATAATAGCTAGATGAATAAGCATTGAGCTGCTGTCTGATGCAGAATGAAAATCAGATTTCCATCATGAGGAACAGGAATTTTTTTCATTTCTCCCCCAGAGCAGAGAGTGTAGGTCCACCTCAGTGAGTGGCTAATCCATGTCCTGGGAGGCCGACTTCCAGGGTTTCTCTCTCAGATAGAGAGAGACAGGTTTTAGGTCTCTAGAGTCTAAAGAATGAAGAATCATTGCTTCAGTCCTTGCAATAAACTTCCTGGGCCCACGGGGCAGAAGGGCAAGGCCGGGGAGCAGGGGCTTCCACCTCATGCAAGGGAGACAGCGCGCCTCAGGTCAGAGCAGGAGGGGCCTGCTTGGAGCCTCCTGAGCCACCGGCAGGCAGAGGGTTTGGTTGTGTGGATGGTAGAGCAGGAGGGTGGAATGCTCGGGGCCAGGTACTGCATGGGGCCTGGGTGCCTGTGGAGGGAGAGCAGGCTCTGGAGGGGGCCAGGTTCCAGCTGCCCTCTCATGCATGCTCTGGGTCTCGTGGGAGGGGGGTTGGAGGGAAAGTGGGCAGGGGCTGTTCGTGTTATGGGTGGTGTCCTGGAATTCTCACCTTTCCCAGTGTCTCTCATGGAAACCCAAGGTGGGAGAAAGAAGCAGAAGGAGATCCTGGAACCAAAAACACTTCAGCAATGAAGACTGGATTTTCTCTGAAATGAACAACAAAATAAAATCTCTCCTGTAGATCTCTAAAGCTCTGTGCATACTTTGTCTATGCTTTCTAGACAATCTTAGCCTTAGGTATGAAAGGAATTGAGGTGAATAGTGGAGCCGTTCATTAGATGTCCACATTCTAATCCCTGGAAGCCGTGAACAACATGTTACCTTACATGGGAAAAGGGATTAAGACACAGAGTTTTTTTTTTCCTGTTATTGTCCAGTTGACCAGGACAGCCTTTAGATTTTTTTTTTTTTGAGCCAGTGTCTTGCTCTGTCATCCAGGCTGAAATGCAGTGGTGCAATCATAGCTCACTGCAGCCTCAAACTCCTGGGCTCAAGCCATTCTCCTGCCCCAGCTTTCCAAGTAGCTGGGACTACAGGCATGCCCCACCCCACCTGGGTAATTAAAAAAATTTTTTTTGTAGAGATGGGGGATTTGGCTTTGTTGCCCAGGCTGGTCTGGAACTCGTGGCCAATCTTCCTGTCTCAGCCTCCTGAAGTGCTAGGACCGTGCTTGCCCAGAATTTTTAATTTTATGGGTTCTGATTGCTAAATTTATCCTATGGTTTTGATGACCATATTTTCTTGAATCCAAATTAAGGCTCTCTGATCTGACAATGAGTGAGTTTCTGGGGATAATATGACAGAGTATTTGGAATTGAGGGTGTCCCATAAAAACTGGGGACACATATTTCCTGTCACAATACATGACGTAGCCTCTCTCTCCCTTCTCACCTTCCCCACCCTGTGGCTTGTACATTACAAGGAAGAGAGAGGGGTTGGAACCTTGCCACAAGGGTTTTCAGAGGATTCTGCTAATCTCTGAACCAGACCAGACTTTGGAAAGGCCTCCTGGGTCTAAAAAATGAGGAATCATTGCTTCAATCTTTGCAATAAACATCCTGGGTGACTTTCACCTCAAACCTCAGAGGATTTCACGATGGTACAGAACATTCTGTGCTTGTGGGTTTCCCATCAGTTGGTGGAGAAATCGAGCCATTCAAATGTGCTATTGGTGGTGGACACAGTGCAGCATGGGCCATGAAGCGGGGCGGAGGGGTAAAGTAGCCATGGCTCCATGAGGCTCCGGCAGGCCTGGGGACTTACTCTTGGGTGTCTGTTGGGTCTGAGCATTAGTTCTTGAAAAGACTATGTAAGCAATTCTTGTGACTCTATGATCAAGTTTTCCCATAGAAAGAAGTGAGGTTATGTAAATTCCTCCTTATAGATCACAAGATCAGCAGTTAACTCCAGCATGGCCAAGAGCAGATGGCATGGTTTTGCTTCCTCTCTTTGGCTGAATTAAGCTGTGGGCTTCCTGTGTTATTTAATGAACCGAATCCTAATTGAGGCAGGTCAGCTGGGGGTGATGTGTTTAGTTGAGCACAGAGCGAGGGTGGAGACAGGGGCTCAATTATTGGCGTGTTCTGTATCCTGGGATGATGATGGTATTTGGTGAGATTTTCCTACTGGGATGAATTCCCACCCTTGAAACTTACTAGGCTTGACTCAAAATTTGTGCTTTGTTCTTCAATCTTGCCTCATCAAAATAATGGGAAAAGCCCCAAATATTTCACCTTCTAATGGTCCTTAAAAAGAATAAACATGATATAATGTAACATTTACCCTTTGCTCAACAAACTCCATTTTGGGGCATTCACAGTTTCCAAACAGTTTCCATAAGAATCCATCCATTGTGAAGTTATACACACCATTAAATCAATACAGCTTACTCACCTTGCTCCCCATCCTCAAATGTCTGGACTTCAGTTTTCTCTTCTTTTTAAACTGGAAGACAAATTTGACCATCTCTAAGTTTCTACCTAGCTCTAACATTGTATTTTTCTAAGATTTTATTTAACCAGTTGAGATTTGACTTTCGAGAGTTACCATCCTTTGTTAGCAAAAGGATAAAACTAGGGCCCATGGGCCCTTCTGACTTAGCCATTTGTTCTGGGTATGAATTCCCTAAGATTTCTCTAAAGGAGTTTCTATACCTGCCTCTTTACTTGTAAGAAAATGAAGATCTGCATAAACCAGGCAGACAGTGTTATGAAGGTTAATGCCATGGGTTTTAAAGTACATTTTGAAAAGCATTCTTCCTTTCCAACCACCAACAAAGGGATTCCAAATTACACCTCTTCCTAAACGATGCAACATGAGTGAGCACATAGGCGAGAGGTCGCAGGGGATGATAAGAGGGTTCTAGCCCTGGAGCCTGGCTTTCCAGAGAGGCTGTGGCCAAGGTTTTACGCTCCCATTTGGCCTCCTGTTCATATGAAGGAAGGCCCAGGACCATGAGTTCTCAGATCCGCGGGCTCTGAGCAAACCGGGTGCACCCTGACTCGGCTTCATCCTCTCTAACTCCACGGTGGCGACTTGCATGGGAGAGAGGAGCAACCAACAACACCTTCGGGCTGGTTAGGGGGTTTAGGAGACATTGGTTTTGTACAGACATGACTTGATGCTGGATTCCCACTTTCAGAAGACAAACTATTCAGTTCTGCAAACTCCACAATCTAGAATAAGGAATTAGATAACCAACCCCCTCCTTCACTTAACAGTTAAAAATCATACAGGACTCTGAAAACAAAACAAAACAAAAACTTAACCTTTCTTAGATCCTAAAAGCGTTCCTTGGATGGAAAACCAACTCTTCCACTGGCTAAAGATCAAAAGCATCTTTTTCTCTTTAATGGGGCCACAGTTGGGCAAAACGCCCATCACTTTAAAACCACCTCTCGGCTGGAAGTACGTAATTTTTAGCGAGTCACAGAAAAATAGGGAAACTTATGCGGCGTTTCCTTGGCCACTTCCCCATCTGGGTGATCATGTACTCAGACCCAGCACTGCAGCCTGGGGGTGCTCCCCGTGAGGAGGAAAAGGTGTGTCCGCTGCCACCCAGTGTGAGCGGGTGACACCACCCGGTTAGGAAATCCCAGCTCCCAAGAGGGTATAAATCCCTGCTTTACTGCTGAGCTCCTGCTGGAGGTGAAAGTCTGGCCTGGCAGCCTTCCCCAGGTGAGCAGCAACAAGGTGAGAGAATGCAGAGCTGCAGGTAAGAGGCTTTGGAGAGAGAGAGAGAAAGAGAGAGAGGGAGAGAGAGAGAGAAAGAGAGAGAGAGAGAGAGAGAGGGAGGCAGAGAGAGAGGGAAAGGCAAAGAGAGGCAGAGAGAGAGGCAGGGGGGAAGGCAGAGAGAAGAGAGAGAGATGGAGAGACAGGCAGAGAGACAGAAAGAGGCAGAGAAACAGAGACAGAAAGAGGCAGAGAGACAGGCAGAGGCAGAGAGACAGAGAGAGACAGAGGCAGAGAGACAGAGACAGAGAGAGACAGAGAAAGACAGAGACAGAGAGAGGCAGGGAGACAGAGAGAGACAGAGAAAGACAGAGACAGAGGCAGAGAGACAGAGACAGAGAGACAAAGAAAGACAGAGACAGAGAGAGGCAGAGAGACACAGAGACACAGAGAGAGGTAGAGAGACGGAGACAGACAGAGAGACAGAGAGAGGCAGAGAGACAGAGATGGAGAGAGACAGAGAGAGGCAGAGAGACAGAGATGGAGAGAGACAGAGAGAGGCAGAGAGACAGAGATGGAGAGAGACAGAGAGGCAGAGAAACAGACAGAGATAGAGGGAGACAGAGAGAGGCAGAGAGACAGAGAGAGGCAGAGAGACAGAGATGGGGAGAGACAGAGAAAGGCAGACAGAGACAGAGACCAAGACAGAGGGAGAGACATAGAGACAGAGAGAGAAAGACAGAGAGAAACACAGAGACAGAGAGAGAGAGACGGAGACAGAAGAGAGAAATCTGGGAGTCGGGACACCTGAGTCCATTTCTGGTGGAGGCTCAGGCGACTCTCCGGATTTCTCCAGACCTCAGGAACCTGATCCGGGTGACCTTCCTTGCCCATGACCTTCTTCACCTGTGTGAAGGTGGCTGGAAGCATTACTTGATATTTCTGGGCCTCAGTTTTTCTATCTGTCAAAAGAGGGGCTGGATCAGGGGGTTTCTAAGGACCTTCCATGATTCTAGGCCACAAGTAAAATCGCAGTGGAATCTAACACAAGATAGCGGACCACTGAGACCCGTTTCTACCGCATGAGGCTGCACGTGGGATGTGCACTGAATGGAGGGCTTTCTTCCTTAGAAGCCTCATGAGATTTTCTGGTGTGAAAAGCTTGATATTCTAAAGTCACTGTGGATTCTCTAATGCCTGGCTCTCGGGTGGTTTTCTGGGAGAGGTAGTAGAGTGTGGTTAGGGCTGCGGTGTGTCCCCAGAGGCGAACTGGCCTGGGTTCTGAGTCCAGCTTGCCTGGGATGAGCTGCGTGACAGCTCACCTGCTCAGGGTCTCCATTTCCACCTGCAAATAGTAAGGTCAAGGGTGATGAGGAGTACAGTCGATGAATCCAAGTAGTATCAAGCACTCAGGACTTAAGGTCACCCTCACACAGGGGAAGAAGGTCATGAGTGAGGAAGGTGGCCCAGATCAGACACCTGAGTTCTGGAGAAATCAGGAAAGTTGCCTGAGGCTCCAACAGAAACAGACTCAGGTGTCCTGACTCCCAGATCTCTCTGTCTGTCTTTGTTTCTCTCTGTCTGCCTGTTTCTCTCTCTCTCTCTGTCTCTGTTTCTCTCTTTCTGTCTCTACTTCTCTCTATGTCTCTGTTTCTCCCTATCTCTGTTCCTCTCTCTGTCTCTCTTAAATCATGGCACACAGTTTGCTCTTGCTGTTTGAAGCTCCTTCTCTTTAATTGCATTCCCTTTTGGGGGCCTTTGCTCTTCTTAGAGCCCTTCAGGACTCCTCTACCCCCACCCACAACTCTGCTGTAAGATCTTTGTCAAGACCCTACATTGCCCTGAGTTCTCTCTTGTGTGAGCAGAGGCAGCCAAATGTCCAGACCTTCCTGGAACCTCCCAGCGCCGCATGGCTGCAGTGGGAGCTGCCGGCCCCCTTTCTGCACTCCATCCCACCTCCTGCACACTCACCTCTTCCATGCCCATTTCATCAGCTCTGCCCTCCCAAGGCCAGTGGGCTTCCCGCCCAGCTGATCATTTGGTATTACCACATGCACAGACACGGGAGAGTGCCTTTCTTCTAACCTCATTTAGAAGTTTGTCCATTTGGATTGTATTTTGGTACTTGGTTACCCTAAAAGGCAAGAAGGAAGCTCGGCTGAATGTTTCAGGGCAGCTATCCTCTCTCCCGGGGTCTTCAGTTGGCCTGGGAGCCTCCTACCCGGCCCTGCTAGTAGGGGTTCCCTTCTACATCCCCACTCCCACCCCGACCTCCAAAGCCTGTTTGACAATTAGAGCTGAGGGATCCAGAACATCCACGGACCCCGAGCCCCCCTCCCCTCCCCCTGGAGAGCAGAGTTGGCCTCTAGCAGCAACAGGACTGAAGCAGAGCAGACTCGGGTTGCTTTTTCATGTTTTCATTACGGCTTTCCATAGGGGAGACACTCGATCATGACAGTGTCTTTGCCCAGTGGTTCTCAAACTTGAGCCCGCATCAGAATCACTGGTGGGCTTATGAAAATGCAGAGGGCTGAATGTCTGATTCAGTAAGTCCTGGTTGGCGACCTGAGAATCTGCATTTCTAATAAGTGTCCAGGTGATGCTGACACCAGTGCTAGGGGACCACACTTTGAGAACCCTTTCCTTAGGAGACGTGTCCAGGGCCAAGCCTGTGGGGGAGCTATCTCAGGACAAGGGCCTTTTGAGATGGTGCCTTCACATCTCCTGAGGGTCTTGTGAATATTTGGCTGAAGGCCTTGTGAATATGTGGCTGATTCTGATTCTCTTGGTCTGAATTTTTCATAAATGGTGTTTGTGCTGCCGGTCCATGGACCACACTTTGAGTAGAAAGGATTTAGAAAGTCTGGGAAGAGGTCTTCTTATTTGGGGGCAAGGAAGAAGTTAGTGTAAAGTTTTGGATGGATCCTAAATTTTCTAGAGCTAATATTCATGAGAATGTTTTCTTAAATGTCTGTGGTAGGCAGAATTCTAAGATGACTCTGGCTGATCCATGCCCTTGTATAATTCCCTCCTTGTGGGATGTGTGAATAGATGGAACATCACTACCATGATTAAGTTACTTTATGTGACAAGGGTGAAGGAATTCTGTGGAAGTAATTTAGGTTCTCAATCAGTTGACTTGAAGTTAATAAAAAAGGTCACATGCTGGGTGGGCCTGACATAGTCAGGTGAGCTATTTAAAAGATTACATGTGCTGGGTGGGCCTGACATAACCAGGTGAGCTGTTTAAAAGAGGATCAGGAGGTCAGTGTCAAGTGGTCAGAGACTTAAAGCAGCAGCAGATGTTGTTTTTTTTCCATTGGCCTTGAAGAAACAAACTGCCCTGGTGTAGAGAGGACCTCAGGGCAGGAAACATGGGTGGCATGTAGGAGCCGAGAGTGGCCTTATCCAGGAAGAAATTGGGGGCTCAGTCCTGCAGTCATAATAGCCCTGTGGGCTTGGAACAGGAACCTGTGCTCCAGGAAGGAGCACAGCCCAAACGATACCTTGATTTCAGTCTGGTGGGACCCTGAGCAGAGACATCTCACCTACAGCAATGTGAGCTAACCAATGCGGTTGTTTTTAAGTGGCTGAGTCTGTGCTGGTGTGTTACACGGCAATAGAAAATGAATACAAGGTCCTGATACTTCACTTTGATTGTGGTGCCTGCCCTCCAAGGTGTACTGTGGCAATGACCTCAGTAGCTTCATACAACATGAGCTGATTTCTTGCTCATGCTACAGCATCGTCATGGGTTAACTGCGTTGGACTATGACGACTCATCAGAGCCACTCGGGGACCCAGGTCATTGTCAAAACAGAATTTACGGAGACCAGCAGTGGGACGCCCATTGTTTTGACACAAGTGCCGGAGGGTGGAGATTATTCCTATTTATCAGAAGCAGAAGCAGGCATAGCAGGAGCAAGTGAGTGGATTGATGGATGCAGGAGGACCTCAGCCTGCTGCCCAGATGGCTTGACTGTGCCGTGCTGGCAGCATGGATGAACAAGGGCTCAGCCTGCACCATGCAGGAGAGAGCTGGCAAGAGAGCACCAGCTGTGAAATGCACAGGCCTGGAATCGGCACTTGTTTTTCTCAGTCACGTGCCCCGCCCGACTTCAAGGGTTCAGAGAAGTGAATATTGGTGAACATGAGTGTACCCACCATGTAGGGTTACCCAGTTAGCTCATTTGGGGTGGGAGGGAGGGACGCAGGATTTCAGCTCACCAAGCTTCACAGAGCTGCTCCCGCCACCAAGGAGCGAGCTGGCCAGGCATCTGACAGCTGAGAGGAGCTGGAGGGGCTAAGAATGCAAATGGAACACTTGCCCACAGACCCAGGGCAAGCCAGAGGTTTCCTCTGGGGCTTTTTGGGTCTGGTCTGTGGAAACCCAGCAAATCTGGGCTATCTTCAAGTTGAAGATCAGGTTTTCTTTTGCTGAGGGTGAGAGATTTTCCCACACAGTAGAGATAAAAATCCCTGGGTGTTTTCAGTGTTTTTTTTTTTTTTTTTTTTGGGGGGGAGAATGGCTGACTTCTTGTTACTTGGACACCCTGGACACAGGGCTTGGGACAATTGCCACCCTTGGTGCCCCTCAGAGGACAAGGTGGGCACATTTTCCAGAGAGTGGAAGATGATCTTTCAAAGCATACAAAGAAAATCCCATCTGTTTTGACATCTTAAAAACTTTGGAAGAAAATATTTCCAAAACATACATATGTATATATAGTAGTGAGTATATATATATGTGTATATATATACTGATTATATGTATTATATACTCAGACCCAGTATATACACATATATAATATATACTGCTATAATATATATACTCACTACAAATTGACGCCAAAAAGATACCTTTAAAGCTTTGCCAGGAGGAATCTCATTTGGCTCTAAAGGCCCTTTCCCACTAGGGCAGGGGAATTAAGCCTGCTGCTACATGTATTGCTGTCTGAGTCGGCTCAAATCTACCTCTCTTGCTTTCATTTTGTTTCTTTTGGGGAGATGTTCACTCTTCCAGTTTCTCACCAGCACCTTCTTCTAGCCAGGAAGAAGCCTGAGAAGAGGGGGACATTGTGTCCCCAGGGAGTGGTGGGCAGCTGATCCACACGTGCTGACCTGGGGTAGGCACTGGCTTCTGTGGAGATGTCCCTGGACCTTCCTGGTCATGAGGTGTCCTGTGGAATCTACTGCTGGCGTCTGTGACTGGGAAAACCCGAGGTCTGGTGCCTCAGTTGTCAGAGCCAGTGCTCCATCCGAGGTCACCCCGCTGTGCCTCTCCCTGGCTCCACAGGTTCTCTGCATCTTGGCCATGACCTTGTTTCTTCTGTGGCTTAGACTGTCCAGGTGATACTCAAAATGTTTAGCAACCAGCAGGGCATGAGTACCAGCCCATCAGAAAAGATGCTACAGCACCTGTTGCTGCACCTGAAGAGCTCCGAGGAGCACCAGGAAAGCCAAGGGAGCAGAAGGTGGAGAGCTCAGGGCCTTGGGGAAGTGGTTATCTACCAAGAGGTGGGGCAGTCTTCCCCCACTTGGCCTCACTGCTCCTTACTCACTGAATATCCTGAAGCTGTGGCTACAGGTCATCTTGTCTTTCATCATGGCAGCCCCATCTCAGCCCAGATCTCAGTTTACCTTCCATTCTCTCCTGGGAGTGCAGGGGAAGGTCTGAATCTCTCCCATCAGTGAAGCACCCCTTTACCTAACAGCCACACCATTATTTCCATTCTTCTTTAGTGCCCCTTACTTCACCAAGGTGGGATTCCTCCAGAGATGCAACTTGGAAGCAGAGCAAAAATTCTTCTGCATCCAGCCCTCTCTCTTTTACCTCTTGTCCCTTTGCCTTCAGGTTTCAAACCCAGAATAAGAAGCAGGACTGCCTGCCTGATTCCTCTTGTACCTTCCCTCCTTTAGCCCTGGAGCCCAAAGGGTCTTTTTCTTCTACTGACACTTCCTACCAGGAAGGAACTTCCCCTGCATCATATTCACTTCCTTTCCTCTTTCTGAGGAGGCCTTTGCTCTCTCCCTTTCCTGGGGCTGTAGTGGCAGAAGAATCCAGAATATCAAGGAGGAAAACACATTGGGAGGTAATTGCAATATTACCTTCATTGCGTCTGTGTTGCATGTACTGTCCCATCCTAGAGAAAGAGGAGTTTGAACAAAATTTAAACTGTTCTTTGTGATTCAAGGAAATCATTAGGAGCATCAATTGTTTTGTGCTTTAATGTCCTGATATACTCAGTAGGGCACAGTAACATGGAAGGGACTGCTGGTGTCTGCGCTTAAAATCCCGAAATGGCTGTGTGCTTTGGTTCTCGCACCTGCCTTAATGGTTTTCCTGTCTCCTCTGTTACTGGGCAATCAGCTGCCGCTTTTTTCAGTGTGTGTTTTCTTCTCCTAGCCTTCTCCCTCTTTCCAATTTGCCATCTGGAATCTGCTTTTGATTGAGCATTCTGTTCACCTGTTGTTGCATGAAAAACTATCCCAAAACTTAGTGGCTTAAAAATGACAACTATTTTATGATAACTCCTAGTTTCTGTATGTCACGAATTTGAGGGCTCAACTAGGTGATTCTTCTGCTCCATGTGTCTGATTGAGTTCAAACAGTGGTGCTCAGCTGGTGAATGGACTCATCTGGAGGGTCCACGATGGCTTCACTTACATGGCTGGTGCCTTTGCAGGGTTCCTGGGAGGCTGAGCATAGCTAGGATTGTCAACCAATGCCCTACATGTGGCCTCCCTAGCAAGGTGGTCTCAGGGCAGTTGGACTGTCTTCGTGGTGGCTGACTTTCCAAGGAAGCCAGGCAGAAGCAAGCACCCCTTGGAAACCAGGTGGAGGCTGCATGGATTTTTCTGATCTAGCTCAAGAGTTCACACAGCATCACTTCTGCTGCATTGTATTGGTTACACCAAGTTACAGGCCAGCCCACATTCAAGGGAGGTGAGTTAGACTCCACCTCTTGGTGGCAGAGTGGCACAGTCACATTCTAGAAGACCATGTGGGATGGGAGATACTGTTGTGGTCACCTCTGGAAAATACATTCTGCTACTCTTAAAAACTAGTGACGCTCATACAAATCAACAGAAAGAGCTTCTGAAGGAAGACTTTAAAGCTGCTTCTGTGAGTGAAATATGCTACATGCCTTTGTACCAGGATCTGATTGGCTGTCTTTCCCCTACTCAGATCTTCCTGTCCTTGTTTCTTCTGTCTTTGTCTTATTTTAGATGGGCAGGTTTTCTGGATGACTGATTACTCAAATATTTTAGGTGTTTCCCACACTCAGATTATAAGACAGAAAGCAAAATTTGTTTTAAGGGTGTATGTCTGTTAACAACCAACCGCTGCTCTAATGCCAGAGCTTCCAGTTACTAATTAACTTTATCCAGCAGGTAGCCCAGCAGAGCTGGAAGTCCAGTTCCCAGGAGACCTCAGAAGTCCCGAGTTGTGGCTCTGCCGTTGGTGGCCATGGGGACTTCGGCAAGAGAGTTGACTGAGTTCAGTGGTTGTCTGCTATGACTCGATGCTTTAGAAACTGAAGCTGTATCTAGGACTGAGGAGGCCTAAGCTCAAATCCAGATTGACTTAGAGTTCCAGGGTTTTAGACCTGCAAGAGACCTGGGAGGTCTCACCAGCCCAACCTCTGTATTTTAGAGGTGAAGAAACTGTGACTCAGAGATTGAGCAAATGACTATGTGTTTGCCTAAGATCACATAGTTAGTTAATGGTAGAGTGAAGACAGGAACCCAGTTCCAACCTCCAGCTCCATATGCTGTCACTGAGATAAAAACCTTAGAATTCCTGGCAGCCTTGAAGATGTATACGTGTGTATGCATCTGTATGTATTTAGAATTGTGTGTTTATATGTTAAGCACGCAACATTTATATTGTGTATTTTATAAAGTAAATATTTATAGAACACTTATATGTTCTATAATATGGATCTATGAATTTAGGCTTATGGATTCCATTAGGTAAAGTTGTACATATTTTTAGTATAGTAACTGGTGTTAGCTAAGTTGCCAACTACAATACCGACGAGTTCTCAGGCTGGGCTGTGGAATGGTCGCTTAGCAGGAATTCGGCAGAATGCAGATGGTGGAAGGGCTGATTTCTCATCACGTCTTCCAACTGTGTCCTTGAGCAAGCTCCTTATCTCCCTGAGTACCGGGCTCTGCTTCTGTAAAACACTGATGAGAGCTACTGCTTGTTGAACACTTTCTTTTTGCAGCACTGCTGAGCTCATTACATATGGTGTGACATCTACTCCTCCTGTAGTGCACACCAGGGTATGCCCATTTCACAGATGAGGAGACTGAGCCTCACACAGGTAATGTAACCTGCCCACCACCCTGCTGCTGGCAGGAAGGAAGGCAGGATTCCCACTTCTCTGTCCAGGTACACTGTGCTCTTCTGTATACACTTTCTAACTCTCAAAGTTATTGGAAGGTGTAGACAGACTTCTTTGGAGCTTCCCCACAGGGTCGAATATGACTAATAAATGAAGTTAAGAGGGAGGAAATTTTGGGATCCAAAATGGCAGACATTTCTAATTATGGATACTTCCCAAGACTGGCAGTGTGCATCTCGTGATGGGGTAAGCTTGTCTTCTATAGAGGATGCTGGGTTTCAGAAGACTGTTTGGGTGGGCAGATAGACTTAATGGCTTCTGGAGGCCCCTCTAGCTCCAGGTGTTGATGCTTTTACAGAGCAGAGAACGAGTGCCAAAACCAAGGATTGTGTAGGCTTGGGTTTACATCCTATTTGTCATTCCTTAGCTCTGTGACCTTGGACAAGTGACTTAATGTACCCAAGTCTATTTCCATTGCTCCGTGTTTATAATGGGGATGCTGAGCTCTACCAGACTCATGAGTTTTGTCCTCTGGAGTTGTTCAGGGTAGTGCATTCCTCTTACACAAATACCAGGCTGGGAGAATTTGAAGCCTGTGGGTTTGCCCTGCAGATGCCTAGGGCCTCACAGGTAGAGCTTCCTCATCAGTCATTTTGGAGGAGGATGGTAACTGTTCCAGGCTAGAGGAGTGGTCTTGCTGGGTGTCAGTCAGGGCAGGGTCTAATGCAGGAGGCAGGTGAAGCAAGTGTTTGTTGATGGTCCAGCCTGCTGGGGGCTTGGAATGACCCAGACTCACAGGGAATGGAATGTTGATACAGGATTTGAATGAGCGAAAACATGAGTTGAGTTGGTTGACTGAACTTGACCAACTTCTGTCCCAAGAACCACTGACTAAGAGACACTTCAGTGGTGGTTTTAGCGAGAAGGGATGTTTGCTGGCAGACAGTATAAAGAGAGCGCCTATGCCTTGGTGGAACCATCTGTATCAGTTTCTGCCGATTTGCTCCTCTGAGATTCAGCCCAATGTGGCCTAATGCCCTATTCTGCCAAAGATGGGTCTCCCTGCAACGTGGCCTCCAGGAAGTGATCTGTCTCACCAGACCCCACCAGGGATGGGAGGCTAGTGTCCAGGACATCGCCAGCTATCATTCTGACACAGCTATGCAGACCAGGAACAGTCTCAGCCTGCTGCTTGGAAGCTCATTCCTTGTCTAGCTTTTTTCTTTCCTATAGAACAAAAGCAGTTTCTGGACAACTCATCTAGGTTTTTGTTTTGAGCCAGCACATTTTTCAATAAAAGCTGACTGAAACCTGGTCATGTATTTCTCTGTATCTGAGTCTAGAAAGTCTTCCCTCTTAAAATTCTGTTATTTCCTAGGGCTTAGTTAAAAAATACATTCTATATTGTTTCACCTTTGAATTTATAAAAAATTTCCAGGTTAATTTTGATGTAAATATTTATTTCCTCATGGGTTTCAAAGAATTTATACGACATGCGTAAAACATGTTCGGGCTCCTAGGAATTCATTTTACACACTAGAAGTGACTCAGTGATAGGTGTAAAGCCTGATAGCTATGTGACTTCATTAACATTCAGCACCTGCCACCGTGTTTTTGTTCTTTGAATGACTGTGCCACCTGACTCAGAGATGAGACAGTTGCCTAAAAACTTCTGGGAACAAGGTAATGATAGAAATAGAGAAGAGTTTCATCTTCTAGGTGAATTCAGTCCAGATATATTCAAATATATTATCAAAAAAAATTGTTACTCCTTCTACATGCTGGAAAATTCCTTTCTGGAGCTATCGTTTACTTACTAGTTTCTCAATCTGTTAAAAAAATGTATTCCTGCATGTATTCTGAAGTATTCAGAGGTGAAGTTTGATGATGTCTGCAACTTTCAGGTGTTCCAGGAGAAAATATGTCTATGTCTATGTCTGTGTCTGTGTGTCTGTGTCTGTGTCTGTGTCTGTGTCTGTGTCTGTGTGTCTGTGTCTGCGGGTGTGTCTGTGTCTGTGTCTGTGTGTATGTCTAAGTCTAGGTCTAGGTCTGTGTCTGTGTCTATGTCTATGTCTATGTCTGTGACTTTGTCCCCTATCTGTGTCTGTGTCTATGTCTCTGTCTGTGTCTGTGTCTGTGTCTGTGTCTGTGTCCGTGTCTGTGTCTGTGTCTATGTGTAGGTCTAGGTCTAGGTCTGTGTCTATGTCTATGTGTATGTCTAATCTAGGTCTCAGTTTATGTCTGCGTCTGTGTCTGTGTCTATGTCTGTATAAATGTCTATGTCTGTGTCTGTGTTGGTGTCTGTGTCTATGTCTATGTCTAAGTCTAGGTCTAGGTCTGTGTCTAAGTCTATGTCTAGGTCTATGTCTATGTCTATGCCTATGCCTATGTCTATGTCTATGTCTATATCTATATCTATATCTATATCTATATCTATATCTATATCTGTATCTATATCTATGTCTATGTCTGTGTCTTTGTCCCTGTCTGTGTCTGTGTCTATGTCTGTGTCTAGGTCTAGGTCTGTGTCTGTGTCTGTGTCTCTGCCTGGGTCTATGTCTAGGTCTATGTCTACATGTATATCTCTGTCTGTGTCTGTGTCTGTGCCTATGTCTGTGTCTGTGTTTGTGTCTGTGTCTGTGTCGGTGTCTATGTCTATGTCTGTGTCTGTGTCTCTGTCTGTGTCTGTGTCTATGCCTATGTCTATATCTGTGTCTGTGTCTGGCTGTGGCTGTGTCCGTGTCTGTGTCTATGTCTGTGTCTATGTCTGTGTCTGTGTCTCTGTCTGTGTCTATGTCTGTGTCTGTGTCTCTGTCTGTGTCTATGTCTGTGTCTGTGTCTCTGTCTGTGTCTATGTCTATGTCTATATCTGTGTCTGTGTCTGGCTGTGGCTGTGTCTGTGTCTGTGTCGGTGTCTGTGTCAGTGTCTAGGCCTATGTCTATGTCTGTGTCTTTGTCCCCTGTCTGTGTCCCATGTCTGTGTCTGTGTCTGGCTGTGGCTGTGTCTGTGTCTGTGTCGGTGTCTGTGTCAGTGTCTAGGCCTATGTCTATGTCTGTGTCTTTGTCCCCTGTCTGTGTCCCATGTCTGTGTCTGTGTCTGGCTGTGGCTGTGGCTGTGTCTGTGTCGGTGTCTAGGCCTATGTCTATGTCTGTGTCTTTGTCCCCTGTCTGTGTCCCATGTCTGTGTCTGTGTCTGGCTGTGGCTGTGGCTGTGTCTGTGTCGGTGTCTGTGTCGGTGTCTAGGCCTATGTCTATGTCTGTGTCTTTGTCCCCTGTCTGTGTCCCATGTCTGTGTCTGTGTCTGGCTGTGGCTGTGGCTGTGTCTGTGTCGGTGTCTGTGTCGGTGTCTAGGCCTATGTCTATGTCTGTGTCTTTGTCCCCTGTCTGTGTCCCATGTCGGTGTCTGTGTCTGTGTCTAGGTCTATGTCTACGTGTATATCTCTCTGTGTCTGTGTCTGTGGCTGTGCTGTGTCTGTGTCTGTGTCTGTGTCTGTGTCTGTGTCTGTGGCTGTGTCTGTGGCTGTGTCTGTGGTTGTGTTTGTGTCTGTGTCTGTGTCTCTGTCTGTGTCTATGTGTATGTCTAGGTCTAGGTCTAGGTCTGTGTCTGTGTCTGTGTCTAGGTCTAGGTCTTGGTCTCGGTCTGGGTCTATGTCTATGTCTATGTCTATGTCTATGTCTATGTCTATGTCTATGTCTATGTCTATGTGCCTGTGTGTAAATAGAAAGAGAAGAAGAGGGAGAGTGAGAATAAAGCGAATGCAGCAAAATGTTAACAATGGCGAATCTACTGAAATATATACTTGCATTTGTCATACTATGCTTTCAACTTTTCAGTCTTTTTGTAATTTTTAAAAATTAAATGAAAAGGTGGAGTAAGCACTTACATCCTTTTAGGCTATATGTACTGTCTATGACCAGAAGCTGCAGACACCTGGGAATCAAAGGCAGGTAACGGTTACCTGGGCCTCAGTGCGTGCTCTACCACCTGTCCAACTCAGGGCTGTGCATCAGCTCTTTCTACCTTCCAGCATTCTTTTTCCTTCCTTTCACACTTCACACATTTTTGTCTTTTTCTTATGCCTGGTCCTGTTTTTCATCATATGCCTCTGTTTTCTTATGTTGAATGTGGTGAAACATGGTTATTTGACAAAAAAAAAAAAAAAAAAGATAGAATTCTAACTCAAATACTTGGAAGGAGCTGCCCTTGAAATTTCTTTCTTCCAGTAAGAAGGTCAACTCAGATTCCAGCAGAAATGTCAAGTTGTCTGTGATTTAAAAACTCATTTAAAGAAAGTAGGCCAGGAGAATAGTGTTTTGCTGCAAACTTCTGCAAAACTAATTTGTTTTCCCCTCTGGGCCTGCCAAAGATTTACTGTTTCCCACGCTACAGCAATTTTGGTTCCAACCTTTTTCTGAGGTTTTGATTATTGAAAACTGTCACTACTATGTGTTTGTGGTTTACTTGTCTGCAGCCACATCCTAGAGAAGTCACAGTAAAGCAGCTCTTTTGCTCAAGTCCAGGGAGAGAAACCAAGACAATTCCCTTGGCTGGAGATGGTGGTGGGGGTAGATGAGGCTAGCAGTTACTGGAGGAGGACAGCATTTTAGGATTCGTTCTACTGGAACAGGATCCTTGTTGAAACACTTCTTCTCACCCATCCAGCCATATCATTTGAAGAAGAGAGTTAACTTGAAACTCACTTTACCTGTAGAAAGAAGAGACTTGATTAGATTTCTCAAAGACTCTTCAGCTCCATAGCTCTGTGAAGCGTTAGCTACTGACTGATCCTGAATGGCACAGCCTGGATTTCTGGTGTCAAAGTAATTTTAAACATGGTTACAAACCTTCCCATAATTCCCGTAAGCCTGACCCTGAGAGAATGTGAGCATGGTGGGGCCCTTTCATTTGAGGGGAGGCTGCACGTCAGCTCCTGACTTTGAGTCAAAGTGACTTTTAGAGTCAACCAGCAGAAACTGTTTACCTGAAATAGTTGAGTATCAGAAAGAAGACTGTGAGAACACAATGCCTGACAGTACCTGGCAGGGCTCCTTCCCCTGGGATCTTTTTATAAACTCTGGAAAAACAATATATTGGGAATAGGCTTGGCTGTGCGTGACAGAAAGCCTGGACACATAAAAAAGGTAGTCCAGGGTGGTGGGCGGCTTCACGAAGCCACCAAGGACTCAGGTTCCCCTCTTACTGCCCTATTGCATTCAGTGAGTGGTCTGTACCTTGTAGTTCATGGTAGTGGCCACAATCCAGCCACCACATCCACACTGAGCAGCAGGAAGGAAGATTAGTGGAGACCTCCCAGGGGGATCACATGACACTTCCACTTACATCTCATTGATCCACATTTTGTCACATGGCCACTCCTTGTTGCAAGGGATATGATGGGAAATGTCTGTGTATAGAGGGCCATGTGCCCAGGTAAGATTCGGGGGTTCTATTATTGGGAAAGCAGGGAGGACAGATATTGGGAGAAGAAACTAGCAGCATCTGTCATAGAAGGTGTATTTTCAAAGAGCAAGGGCTTTGGAATCACCAGTGCTGGGTTTAAATTTCAACATCTGCTTACTAGCTGTAAGATCTCGGCCAGGCCTTTTAACCCCTTTAAACTCTTATAATACATCCTCTGTAAAATCAGCATGATACTCAGTTTGTGGGGATAAAATGCAAGAATGAATGTTCAATATTTGGCACAATAGCTATTGTTATACACTAGTCCCTAAAACACCAGCTTTGACTTCATTTACTTATCCTGATATATGGTATTGGTTAGCTACAGTGTATTTAAATTCCTACTTCTTTCATGTTCTAATGGTGCACTAATGAGTCTGGCTTGGACCAGTATAGTTGGGGATGTGATAAGCTAATGCGTGTCCAAGGAGGACACAGCAGCTTGGTGGATGTTTATGTGACCTTCATCTGGCAAACCTGACAGTATGGTTAGGGGTAAAGTCACAGGAACTATTTGTGCTTCAGAAACTCGTGAAGAATAGTATTGTGTAGAAACAGAGTTTAAGGGAGAAAGCTCCAGGCTAGATACATAGCTAAGGGGAATATCTCAGGTCACCAGAAGGGGGAGCTCAGACTGTAACTCTGAGTCCTTGGACTCAGGGTTCCCCACTCACGAGGGAGGGTTTCTGGAGTGCGAGGGTCGGTTCCTCAATGCCGCAATGCCGCCCTGGATTTACTGCAAGTCATTCCCAGAGATATCTGTGCAAGGAGCAGGGAACAACTCAAGGTAAAAGTGGCTGGGAATTTTTCCCCTGGATTCATTCACAACTCCTGCCGTGGGCAGGCTTTTAGTCATAAGTATTCCCCGGTATGTTCTAGTGTGTGGGCCATGAGGGCTGTGAGCAAGACCAGGGCTCTGCCCCAAGGTTGTCACCATCCTTGCGGAGCCAGAAGAGTCAGGCATGGCAGCTGGCACGACTGCTCCCACTTCCGGCCCTGCCGATGGCCGGGTGGGGCATTGACTTGCTGTGTCGGATGGAATGTGAGCAGACAAGAGTGAGTTAGTTCCCAGTGTGGCCTCGTGTGTGCTTTTGGCCGCATCGTTTCCAGTTTCGCCATCCCCAAAGAGGATCATCTCCCAGGAAGCTTACTGGTCCAAGGAGGATGAGACACCCATGGAGCAGACTTGGACCCCATCTGCCGCTCAGAGCCAGGCCTAACCCTGCCAAGTTTAGGTTAACCAACTTCCATCTTGCCCACAGACTTGTGAGCAAGAGTGAACGACCGTTGTTTCACACCATTCAGTTCTGGGGTCGTTGGTTTGTTAAGCAGCATCGTTGTGGCCGTGGTTAGCAGACACAGGGAACACTTGTGATAGTGTGAGAAGGTCATCAGGGAGACGAGGAGGGCATCTGACACTCCAGTCTTTGGGGGGCATGGGGGAGGACTGCTTCATAAACTTGTACAAGCTATTTCTGTTTTGGATTTCTTGTTGCTTTTCTCCCTGGGATGCTGTAGACCAGAGTGTTAGCAGGACACCAAATCTCTTGGCGCATGTCAGAGTTGTATGTAAAACAGGAGTTAATCCGTAGGGGATATAGGGAAAACTCTCTGACAAGTGAAATATGAGGACTCTTGGGCTTTGAGTGATCCATTAACTCACTCATTCATTCATTCAAAAAATGAGAGTTAGGGACAGAACTGTGAATAAGATAAAGCAGGGTTCTGTCAACCAAAAAGTATCTGACAGTCTTAATAATTTAGAAGCTTATTTTGCCAAGATTAAGGACAATGCCCAGGAGAAAAAACATGGAATCACAGAAAAAGCAGTCTGTGGTCTGTGCCTTTCTCCAAAGATGATTTTGAGGGCTTCAATATGTAAAGTTTTTCCCCTATTGAAAAGCAGGCTGGAGGGCAGAGAGGGAGGGTGCAGTCATTACTGAATCCATGTGTTGCAAGGGAAAAGAAATAGGTAGGGAATAGTCAATTATATTCCTCTTATACTCAGTAAATCTGCTCTTCACATATGATAAGGTAAACATAGAGTGGCTACCTGTGGAGAATTTTTAAAATCTTTTATCTGTACGCTCTCTGCTTAGGAACAAAAGGAAAGGCAGCTTCTTGCAGGACTCAGACTTCAGCTTATTTTTTTCCTTTTGGCAGAGTGAATTGGGGGTCCCAAGTTTTTATTTTCCTTTCACAGTCCTTCCATCAGTGGAGCCTGAATTCTGGAGAGGGGAGACAAGGCTGATGATGAATGCCACAGAGAATGACAGGGAAGGGAAGGAAAACATGGAGTATTGGGATTAAAGGTGGTGCAATTTTAGATAGGGAGGTGAGGGAGACCTCACGAAGAAAGTGAAGTCCGAGCAGAAAGGGCACTGGCAGTGGCCTTAGCTGAGGAAGCAGCATCTCTGGCCAAGGCGCAGGAATGGCTAAGGGAGGTCTCTGCAGAGACAGCAGCTTATGGGGCAGAGCCCCTCTGCCAAGCACGCCTCTAGGTGCTACAAGGATTCGACTTTAGATATGTTCAGTGAATATAGCTGCAGAGAAACAAATCCAAAAATTTTGAGTTTTGTTCTTAAACAGAGTAGGCCAAAAGGTTCCCATTATCCAGTGAAGCTTCCAGACCCTGCCCCTACCCCGTCTTCAAGGGATTCTCTCTGCAGGGTTCTTGGTTCCTGGTGACACCTCTGTTTCCTCCCCTAGGCCACGTGCTGCTGGGTCTCAGTCCTCCACTTCCCGTGTCCTCTGGAAGTTGTCAGGAGCAATGTTGCGCTTGTACGTGTTGGTAATGGGAGTTTCTGCCTTCACCCTTCAGCCTGCGGCACACACAGGTTAGAAGTAAACCTTTCAGATGCAAAAAGGCTTGCCTGTAGCTTCGCTGGGGAAAGATGTTATCTAGAGAAGTTTCCTTGTCAGAAAGCAAAGTGTGGGCCGAGCTCGGTGGCTGCCGGCTGTAATGTTAGTACTTGAGAGCCCTAGGCGGGTGGATTGCTTGAGCCCAGGAGTTTGAGACCAGTTTGGGCAACATAGAGAGACCCACGTCTCTACAAAAAAAAAAAAAAAAAAAGTAGTTGGGCGTGGTGGTGCGTGCCTGTAGACCTGGCTACTTGGGAGGCTGAGGTGAGAGGAGTGCTTGAACCCAGGGAGGTTGAGGCTGCAGTGAGTGGAGATTGCATCACTCCACTCCAGCAGGGCAACAGAGTGAGACCCTGTCTCAAAAAAATAAAAAAGGAAAAATTAAAAAAAAGAAAAAAGAAAAGAAAAGGAAAGAATGGTGCGAATGTGCTTGTCAAAGAGCAAACTGAAGAAGTGACGTGTTTGCCCTTAACAAAGTTGCCTTTGGAGTTTAACCATACGACGTGCCAGAACTAAACTTTTACCATCTAAACTCAGCTCAGATTTACTTTTAATGATGAGAAATCAGCCAGTGAAAACTATGGCCATAGTTTTTAATCTTTAATTTTTTGTCACCGTAGAAACCTGATTTAACTTTCTTCACAAAACATAAGTTGGAATGGATAGTAGCACTGAACTTGTTATTTGGAAATTTTGAAAGTATAATAACGGGGTAGGGAGGGAGTTTAATAGTACCCCAGGGTGTAGGTCTTTTTGTTAGGGACAAATGACATCTTTCTCAAATGTGCTCCAGGTTTCCCTGCCAGAATCAGGATCAGTCCCAGGTGCAGGGAGGTTTTATGATCTGAGCAAGTTTTGGACCCAAAGCCTGACCATGGGCTCTCTGTCCTTCAGGGGCTGCCAGAAGCTGCCGGTTTCGTGGGAGGCATTACAAGCGGGAGTTCAGGCTGGAAGGGGAGCCTGTAGCCCTGAGGTGCCCCCAGGTGCCCTACTGGTTGTGGGCCTCTGTCAGCCCCCGCATCAACCTGACATGGCATAAAAATGACTCTGCTAGGACGGTCCCAGGAGAAGAAGAGACACGGATGTGGGCCCAGGACGGTGCTCTGTGGCTTCTGCCAGCCTTGCAGGAGGACTCTGGCACCTACGTCTGCACTACTAGGTAAGTCTCCCTGTGCGGGGCTGGGGAGGGGATCCTGGCAGGATGGAGGCTTGTGAGGGTCTTCAGTCATGATCCGGATCTCAGAATCCAGTGTACAAAATACAAATCCAGTGAATCCACATTGCATCCCGTTTGCTGTTCCTGACACCCCCCCCAACCCTACAGTCTCATTCTGTCTCCATTTAGTCTTTGCTCAAATGCCACCTCTTTGGAGACAACGTCCCTAGCCATTTTAGCTGACACCGCCCTCTGTCACTCTCTCCTTACCCTGCTGTAGTTTCCTTGCGATAAGATTTTCCCATCTGACACATTTGTGTGCGCTACTGTATTTAATGTTTGTCTACCCATTAGAATGTAAACTCTGCAAGGGCAGGGACTTGGTCTATGTTGTTCACTGTTGAAGCCACATGGTAAGGAACCAAGAAATAGACATAGAATAGGATTTTACTCTGAATAGGATTTTAGAGCTGGGTGAGACCTTAGGATTAAATTAGTCCAACACTTTGGGCGGCCGAAGAGGGTGGATCACGAGGTCAGGAGATCACGACCATCCTGGCTAACACAGTGAAACCCCGTCTCTACTAAAAAAATACAAAAAAATTAGCTGGGCATGGTGGCGGGCGCCTGTAGTCCCAGCTACTCAGGAGGCTGAGGCAGGAGAATGGCGTGAACCCAGGAGATGGAGCTTGCAGTGAGCGGAGATCGAGCCACTGCGCTCCAGGCTGGGCGACTGAGCGAGACTCTGTCTAAAAAAAAAAAAAAAAAAAATTAGTCCAACTGCTCGTTGTAAGGATGAGGGAACCAAGCTGGCTTGGAAAGTTCCCCAGGTGGTGCGTGGTAGAGCTGACTCTGGAGCCCGAGTCTCCTGACCCTGGGTCCAGTCCTCCTCCCTCTTTGTCCTGTTGCTTTCTTCCCCTTTAACTGTAGAAAAAATACACATAACAAAAAATTTATCATCTTAAACAGTTTTTAGTGTACAGATCAGTGGCACCATCACCATTATCCATCTTTAGGAGTTTTTCATCCTCACAAACTGAAACTCTGAACCCATTAAACAATAACTCCCCTCTCTTCTTCCCTCCAGCCTCAGGCAACCACCACTGTACTTTCCGACTCTATGATTTTGACGACTCTAGGTACCTCGTTTAAATCGTTTAAGTGAAATCAGTCTTTCTGTGACTGAATTATTTCACTTAGCATAGTGTTTTCAAGGTTCGTTCATGTTGTAGCATGAGTCAGAGTTTCCTTCCTTTATGAGGTGGAATATTATTATTCCGTTTTATGTATGTACCACATTTTGTTTATCTATTTATCCATCCAGGGACACTTGACTTGCTTCCTCCTTTCAGCTATTGTGAATCCAATATGAACATGGATGTGAAGATATCTGTTCAAATCTCTGCTTTCAGTTCTTCTGGGTATAGACCCCAAAGAGGAACTGCTGGATCATCTGTTAATTCTATATTTAATTTTGAGGAACTATCATACTGTTTTCCATAGTGGCTGTACCATTTTTCATTCCCAACAACAGTGCCGACACTCAATTTCTCTACATACTCACCAACACATGTTATTTTCTATTATTTTTGATAATAATCATCCTAATGGGTGTGAAGGGGTCTCTCATTGTGGCTTTGATTTCCACGTTCCTAATGATTAGCGATGCTGAGCATCTTTTTGTGTGCTTATTAACCATCTGTGCATCTTCGCTGGAGACACAGACATATCTCCTTTATGGACTCTAAGTCCTTTGCCCATTTTAAAAACTGCATTTTGCTGTTGTTGTTGAGTTGTAGGAGTTCTTTACATTTCCTGGTTATTAACCCCTTGCCTTATCAGATATATAGTTAGAAATATTTTCTCCTGTTCTCTAAGTTGCATATTCATTCTGTTCATAGTGTCATTTGTTACACAAAAGGTTTTAATTTTGATCAAGTCCAGTTTATCTATTTTTTTCTTTTGTTGCCTGTGCTTTTAGTGTTAAGAAATCATTGCCCAATCCAATGTCATGAAGGTTTTCCCCTTTGTTTTCTTCTAAGAATTTTATAGTTTTAGCTCTTTTGCTTTTTGATCCATTTTGAGTTAATTTTTGTATATGGTGTTAGGTAAGGGTCCTGCTTCATTCTTTTGCATGTGGATATCCATTTTCTCCAGTACTATTTGCTGAAAAGACTGTCCTTTCCCCATTGAATGGTCTTGACATGTCCTACTCCTTCTTGATGGATGAAGTTTTAGGCCTAGTGTTGGTGATCTTAAAAAGTTTCTTGGCTTCGTTCTTCTGAACTAGGACAACCCTCAGCTTGATTGGGAACTAGTGTTTTGGCCTCTCTCTTCAGCTGCTTCATCTGTTCCTCCAATAAAAACTTCCTTGGCTTTGTTCTTCTGAACTAAGACAACCTTTGGCTTGATTGGGAACTAGTGTTTTGGCCTCTCTCTTCAGCTGCTTCTTCTGTTCCTCCAAAGGCACTGCTTGCTCCTTCCACCAGCTGGCTTCAGAGTCTCCAGATTTCATAAACTCATTTGACTTAAGAAGGACTGTACCCAGGAATATGTACATTTAGAAAAAGAACCGGAGAAGTGAGATTCTTAGCACAGTGGAAGTACTGGTGAATGGAAAAATTTCAGACCACGTCATCCCCAGTCCTAGGCTGGGTGTGTGTGTGGCAGGGTATGTGGGGGGTGGGAGGAGATATGAGGTAGAGGGTGCCCTCTGTGTGTGTGTGTGTGTGTGCATGTGCGTGCATGTGTGAAATTAAGAATCTTTTCAAATTAAACCCAGCTTGACACTACCATCCATATGTCTAGCCCCAACTATAAGCAATTTAGGGACAGGTTTAATCCTGTCAATGAACCTTGCCTAAGAAGCAGGCAAACCATCTTCTATTCTTATGCTAGGAAAATGTGGATGCCTGGTTTTACAATAGCTATAAATGCATATTTCTTCTTTCTTTTCCACAGTAAAAATTCTAATTTTCTCTAAGGAGTACTACTAGGAAAACTTCATAGCATAGTAAGAAAACATGAAACCTGAAGTCAGAAAGAAAGATGGGAATCTTAGCTCTCTCATTTCCTATCTGGTGGGACCTTGGGCTTATCACTTGACTTTTATGGGTGTTAGTTTTCCTGTAAAGAAGTTTGTTGAGAGGGTTATGTGAGATCACAGAATGTGAAGGAACTAGCGTGGGGTCTGCCATGGTAGGTGGTCAATATATACATAAAAATTCCCTCTCCTTCCCAAAAGGCAATCCTCATGACTACTGAAAGTGAGACTGTGCAAAAATCAGGGAGATGTGAGCTGAGTTCTGTTTGTCTTAAAGTTTGCTTTTATGATCAATTTTTGTAGGAAAAAAAAAGCTGAGATTGAGGGGGCAGTGGAAATCCCAGTGTATGTCAAACTTTCTTTGCATGATGGGAAGGTTTACCTGGCTGACCTTTAATACTCTTTGTCAACTGTAAGATTGGGATTCTAATTGAGTGAGAATCACCAGCAGTTGCCATAATACTCTTTAGCGTTGATAGTCATGAGGCAAGAGACTGCCCTGTTCTCATGATTGTTTAAGACCTTGTGATCTAGAACCACGTGGTGAGTCAGAGTAGGCAAGGATGCAAGCCATCAGAGAGGCCAAGATTTGAGCAGTAGCTGCCTGGGCCTCCTTGCTTGGTGCTCTGCAAATAAATGCCTTACTTTCTATCACTGCAAAAAAAAAAAAAAAAAAAAAAAAAAAAGGAAAGAAAGAAAAGAAAAGAAGGAAAAGAAAAAGAAAAAAAAAAAAAAAGAGAAAGAGTAGGCAGTCAAGGTTATGCTGCTGTAACAAATAGCTCCTAAATCTCAGTGGCTTAAAATAACAAGGGCTTATTTCTTACACATGCAACAGGTCCATTGTGGGTTTGCAGACAGTTAGGGACTTAGGCTGAAGGAGCAGTCACAGTCACTATTTCAAATGTTATTGGTTGGTTGCTAGAGCAGGAAGCCTGCTTTGGAGGGTCTCTCATGGCTGTTACAACTTTCATGTAGAAGGGCCACACATATAACTCATGAGCTAGGAAGAGTCCCCACAGTGGGGACGAGGACATGTGATACACCATGTGCTCAGAATAGGGAGAACTGGGCCTATTTGGTGAGCAGCACTACGAATGACTATCACGCCTTTGCCATGGGGGTGCCACACTACATGGGGAGTGCAAGTGGTGATCAAATTGCCCCTCACCCTTCTCTTTCTTTTGAGTTATTTTTATGAAGTTTCTTGCTCAAGGGGAATTACCAGATCAATAATGTGAACAGCCTTGTAACTTTCAATATGTCTACTAAGCTTGGTTTCTGAAGATAGTACTTATGGGTACTGAAGATAGATTTATGGGTTTTCCCAGAGCCTTGCTGGGCTTCCCATTTTGGTTTGACCTCTTTGTAGCTGTACAGCCCACTTAATTTCTGTACACCTACCTTTTTCATATAAAAATGATATAATAGTAATTCCTACTTCATGGGGGCTGGACTATAAGTGAAATAACGTGTGCAAAGTACACAGCACAGGGTCTGGCCTGCATCTACTCGCTGCTGGCTACCTGCTGTGTGACTGTTACTCAAGTAGGCCCAGGTCTTTAGATTTGTCCTCAGTTGCCTTTATTCAACATGTAGTGACATTACGCATTTTTCAAGGTGAGAGTTAACATTCTGTATTTCTTTATGCACAAAATATAATATTTGTTCATCTATTTTCCCTTTTTAAGCTAAATATAAACAGATATTGGCTTCATATATTTAAATTAATTCTTCTTACTTTCAAGTGGTAAGCTTTTATCACATTTCTTTCACCTTTTTTTTACATTTTGTTACTTGTTTGGATATGGATGGTTTAGATTTTGCTGTGCAAGTAATTTTTACCCCTATATGTAAAACTCGTCCTTATTGTCTCTGTCAAAGTCTCATGTGTTTTAGGTAGCCAGAAATTTAGCTGAGATAATTATATTTTTATATTTTTCTACTTAAAAGAGTAGTTTTAATTACTGTTTTCTGTCCTCCATCCATTTCCCACAAGTTTCCAGCAAGGTTTTCCTCTTCCCTTTTTCCAGCTCTAAGGTCTTGATAGAATTATGGCAGTGAAATAATGATTAGGCTAGTAAAATAATAATAATAATAATAATAATAATAATCATATAATAATAAAGCAAACTTACCAAGTTAATTTCCCCATGCAGTATTACAAAAATCTTTTATGGGTCTTACACTAAGTTTCCAGCAGTTTTCTAAAACTAGACTTCAGTTGGTAAATCATTCCCCAAAGGAGCAAAGGGAATATTCCTTTTTACGGAAACAATGGCTCTTGGGAAACAATCTCTGCATGTGGATATGGTTTCCTGGATCATGAAGTTGGAGTATGCGGGGGCTGGGCTCAAGGAGCTCCAGAACCTGGAAGGCATAAGCCCTTTTGAAGAGGACTTGGGGATTTCTTAATGAACCTTGGTGGCATTAGAATCGGGCTTGTAGACAGTCCTTTGTGAAAAACACAGAATATGCTTTTTCTGTACAATTATGTTACGACACTTGTTGCCCCCCAAGTGTTCGAAAAGATCAGGGACAGAAGTATTGCAATATAGATGTTCCTCGACTTACAATGGGGTAAATACCAATAAACCCATTGTAAGTTGGAAATAGCGTTGTCACTTAACTTACCACTTAACACTTAACTTACCCAACATCACAACTTAGCCTAGTCTTCCTTAAATGGGCTGAGAATGCTTACATTAGCCTACAGCTGGGCAAAGTCATCTAACACAAAACGTATTTTGTAATAAAGCGTTGAATATCTCATGTGATTTATTGAATACTATACTGAAGTAGGGTTTCTATTGAATGCTTGTTGTGTTTGCAGCATTGTAAAGTCAAAAAATCCTAAGTTGAACCATCTTATGTCGGGAAACCATCTGTACTAATCCAGAAAATGCAGATGCAGATTTTAATAGAGTTGGGGAAATGATGCTTAATTTCATTTAGCTTTACTTTTATTTTGCCTTGCCATTTATCTTTTTTTTCCCTTTTAAATCAGAAATGCTTCTTACTGTGACAAAATGTCCATTGAGCTCAGAGTTTTTGAGAATACAGATGCTTTCCTGCCGTTCATCTCATACCCGCAAATTTTAACCTTGTCAACCTCTGGGGTATTAGTATGCCCTGACCTGAGTGAATTCACCCGTGACAAAACTGACGTGAAGATTCAATGGTACAAGGTACGGCTTTAAAAAATGCCATTTTACTAAAATGTGTTTTCTTTTTTTACTAGCCATAAAAGAAAGACTTAAAATATCGATTTTCTGAAGACAGTGCACACACACACACGCACAAACACACACATGGTTTGCCTTTCATATCTGTGAGTTCCACATCCTGGGATTCAACCAACCTGGGATTGAAAATATAAACAAATAAACAAATAAAATAACAGTACAATACAAATAATACAAATAAGAAACCAACACAGTGCATCATCTACTGTCACATGCTGCATGACAAAGTTTCAGTCAACAGTAGGCTGCATGTACAATGGTGGTCTTGTAAGATTATAATGGAGCTGAGAAATTTCTATTGCCTAGTGACATCATAGCTGTCTCAACATCATAGTGCAAAATATTACCTTTTCTATGTTTAGATATGTTTATATGTACAAAAACTGACCACTGTGCTCCAATTGCCTACAGTATTCAGGACAGTAACATGCTGTACAGGTTTGTCGCCTAGGAGCAGCAGGCTGTATCATGTCACTTAGGTGTGTAGGAGGCTCTACCATCTAGGCCTGTGCGAGTACTCTCTATGACGTTCACACAACAAAGAAATCACTTAAACTGTTTCTCAGAATTATCCCATTGTTAAGTGACACATGACTGTATTTACACAGGGCATTTACATTGTATTAGTAATCTACAAGTAATCTAGAGATGATTTAAAGTATATGGGAGGATATCCGTAGGTTATATGCAAAGATGACACCCCTTTATATAAACCACTTACGCATCTGTGTTTTGGCACCTGTGGGGAATGTTTGCTGAAACCAATCCCCCAAAGAAACTGAGGGATGACTGTATTTTAAAGAATTTAAAAGGGCCGTAATTAATATGTTCTATTAGTCCTTATGTGGGTTGAGTAAAGGTACTTGAAATAGTGATTTGTGAAGACAGAGTACATAACAGCTGAAGGAAATAACTTTTTACTGTAATTTGTCTACAAAAATGTAGAAAAAAGCTTACATAACAATTTTATAGACATATTAAAGGAGTTTTTTTAAAAAGTACATGACAGCTGGGCGTGGTGGCTCACACCTATAATCCCAGCACTCTGGCAGGCCAAGGCAGGTAGATCACCTGAGGTCAGGAGTTTGAGACCAGCCTGGCCAACATGTCAAAACCCCATCTCTACTAAAAATAAAAAATTAGCTGGGCGTGGTAGTGGGTGCCAGTAATCCTGGTGACTCGGGAGGCTGAAGCAGGAGAATCACTTGAGCCCTGGAGGTGGAGGTTGCAGTGAGCCAAGATCACGCCATTGCACTCCAGCCTGGGAAACACAGTGAGACTCCATCTCAGAAAAAAAAAAAAAAAAGCACATGATAGCAAACTTTTGGGTTAAGGGAGCAAATATGAACACAATTTATTCCCTTGTCTGGTTGAATAGATGTTATTTGATGTGCTCATTGCTCCTAGTGAGAACATCAGATATTGTCATTAGATATTGCTTATGTAGACCGGGGTTGGAAAACCATGGTTGGGCCCTGGAATCAAGTTGTCTCCTGGATTTGAATGGCTCACAAGCCAACGATAGTTGTCACTTTTTTAAATGTTGGAAAAAAAGTAAAAGAAGGATATTTTATGATGTGAAAATCACATAAAATTAAAATTTCAGGGTCGGTAAATTAAGTTTCACTGGACACAGCCACATCCTCTTGTTGTAGTACTGTCTGTAGCCGCTTTCACATGGCCTAGTTGTGATGGAGACCCTGCAGACTCCAAGATCCAAAATACTTCCTATTTGGCCCTTTCCTGAAAACATTGGTCAACTCCTGATAGAGACCCTAGATTGATACTGAAAAGTACAGTTATTGGCTTAATCATTAATGAGAATTAACCCTTTAATTGATAATAGGTTAAGTAGTTGGCTGGTTTGTAACTACAGCATCTCTATATAGGATATTGATTTAATATTAGAAACTTTGAAATGATTTTCTGAAAGTAGAGGAAAGTAGCCAGCTCCTATGAATAAGCTGGCTGAGCTCTAGAATGCATTCTCTCTCTCTCTCTCTTTTTAATAGAGATAGGGTCTCACCATGTTGGCCAGGCTGGCCTCGAACTCCTGGGTTCAAGTGATCCTTCCACCTCAGCTTCCCACAGTGCTGAGATTATAGGTGCAAGCCCCCAAGCCCAGCCTAGAATGCATTCTCTTTTGGTTTGGGAAAAGCATAAAGAGGACAAATGAAAGTTTTTACCTGGAGAGGAAAGAGCACAGGCTCTGGCGTCAATGGGTCTGGGTTTGAAACTCTGTTCCTTCTCTGATCTGTTGTGCAGCCGTGGCCGAGTGACTCCACCTCTCGAACCTGTTTCCTCTGTAAAGTGGCAATTAATAACTTTCACCACCTGGGATTGTTTCAAAGATTAAATGGAATCATGTGTATGAAGCACCCGGTGCAGTGCTTGACATATAAATGGTGCTCAATAAATGTGCATGGACAAAGATGTCATGGTGATGCTTAGTAATATTTATTCCCTTCATAATAATGATACCTATTACTGCGCATGTACTATATCCAAGCCTGTTCTAAACTCCCTGACATGCAACCCGATGAAGTAGGAACTGTAAATATCCCCCCTTTTTACAGTTAAGGACCCATAAGGATGTTCCCAAGATCACACAGCCAGTAGATGGTGAAGTCAAAACTCAAACCCAGGAGGCCAGTTCCCATACACCACTGGAATGACTGTGGTGCTGGGCTCTATTTGGCATTTTTCATATTTGACTACTCATGCTTAGAACAATGAAATATCTCCTTTCAATTAAATATGTTCTAAAGTGGTACTTCATGAGCCATGTGGCAATTTCAATTTTATCTGTGTTCTCGTTCGGAGTAAGATTCTGAAGTGACTCAAGGTTATATTTGACTGTTGCAAACGTTGAATAATCATGATTTTGAAAGTGATGTCCCTGAGAACATTGTGTGCTCATTAGGGTGTTTTTAGAAATCCCATTCCGCTCTTTCTATTTCCTGGAGGCCTTGATCTTGAGGATTCTATTCTGCAGAGACCCCAGAGAACCTTGTGTCCATATAAAAAGTGTGGACTCGTTTCCCCTATTTAGTTTTTCTTATAACAGAGATTTTTCTGTTACTGACTCACAAAATTGAAATGCTTTTTAAAGTAATTACTGCAACGTCATCTCTTCTGAGCATTGTTGTCCAGGTCATCATGACGATTTATAGTGCTCTTCCCAGATACTTCCTAAGGCCTGAAGGTAGCAGTCAGGACATAAACATATTTGTATTTTAGATGGCTTACTTTGTCAAAGAAGAGTTCGTCTCTTTTTTTTCCCCTTGGACAAATATGCTCTAACTATTGTAGTTAACCAAATCTAGCAATTTTATTTGTTTATATGTTAACAAATTCCTTCCCCTAATAATACAGTCAAACGTATGCCCAAAGTACAAAATTGGCAAAGTAAATACCAGGACAATTCTTGGATTGCAAATCCCACATTGGTTGATAATGATGATGTAATTCATAGCCTTTGAGATGTATATTGGTATAATGTCAACTTAAAAAAACATTTTCCCTTAAGGATTCTCTTCTTTTGGATAAAGACAATGAGAAATTTCTAAGTGTGAGGGGGACCACTCACTTACTCGTACACGATGTGGCCCTGGAAGATGCTGGCTATTACCGCTGTGTCCTGACATTTGCCCATGAAGGCCAGCAATACAACATCACTAGGAGTATTGAGCTACGCATCAAGAGTAAGTACTTGCCATTGAGGCACCTATCTATCCTGGTTCAATAACAAGCATGCAGAGAACAAATGACGGTGCACGTAGAATTCCTTGCAGGTCTTTGGAATGAAGGATAACGGAAAACAGATCCATCAGCTCTCCTGAAGCATCAGGTTAATAAGACGTGTGTGATACTTTGAAAGGTATAAATCAGGGTGTTGTTCTGAGAACAGGTGAACGAATTGGGAAGGTTATAGGGTTGCAAGATGAAGGCTAAAACACACCACTCAAGAGAGTCAAACAGTGGCTTCTGTAGAAGGTACCCTTGGAAAGTGTCCTGTGAAGCTTTGCACCTATAGGGCTAGAGGTCACCACATGCTGTAACTTTATGTTCAATTTTAGGATACTTCAATTTTATTGGGTATTCTAACCAGAGAGCTAGCCTTGCACATCCAGTGGAAATTGCCTTTTATTTGTCTTCCCTAAGGTGGGTCTAGCTGCCCTTAATAGCAATATTTCAAATAGTCAGAGCTGCCATTGATTAAAAGGAGTTTCGTTTGAAAATGCTGTTTTGAGCAGTATTGGCTATTGTTTCACATTTGTTCAACATTTACTCCGTACCAACTGTGTGCCGGACATGGAGACAGGTGTAACCATGTGTAAATCCTGGACTTTGCCTTGGAGAGTGGGCCACACTTCTTTGTTTTTTATACTGAATAATGATCACAACTGGGGTCTTTTGAGGGGATTTCAGAGAGCTTCAGAGACACGCTAAGTTTAAATAATTGGTCTATAAGGGGAAAATATATTTTTCTCACAGAGCATCCAGAGATTCAGTTGCACCGCATTTTCCCACGGACTGAGGTGTCCTGATTGTGTTTGTTTTACAGTCCTGTGAGGATTCGTTCATATCAGCTCCTTGCTTCTGGACAGGCCACTGACTCAGGTCTCCTGAGGCTTTCCGTGGACCGGCACGGTCCTGTCTCTGCGATACTGTGCATGAACACTAGGGGGCAGCCGCCCTACATGCCTGTCTGTGTTGTGATCCTCCCAGGATCTCAGTGGCTCTCAAGGGGTGGTCCTGGGCCAGCAGCGCCTCATCACCTGGGTACTCAACAGACATGCAAATCTCGGGTCCCGTGGAGACCTACTGATTGAAACTGGAGTCTGGGGGCTGTCATCTGTGTCTCACAAGCCCCCGGGTGATGCTGGGGACCCTCAAGTCTAAGAAGCACTGAGATCCTGGAGGCTTCTTTCTCTCCCTGGATGCCCCAGCTCCATAGGGCAGCGCGTGACTTGGAGGAGGGGAGGAAAAGGCGTCTGGCCGTGGTCGAAAAGCCGTCTGCCCCTCAGGCTGTCCTGCCATGCTGTCTAATGTGTACTCATGTCAGGATTTCAAAATGCTGTTTCGTGGAAGTGAGGATGATGAGGCCCGTCGTGGAGACAACTCACAGCCCTCACCCCCCAGGTGTCCTTTTTGCTCATTTCAGGGGCCTCGTTTCTTTCTTTCTTTTCTTTTCTTTTTTTTTTTTTTTTTGGTTTTTTTTTGAGGCGGAGTCTCGCTCTGCCACCCAGGCTGGAGTGCAATGGCGCGATCTCGGCTCACTGCGACCTCTACCTCCCGGGTTCAAGCGATTATCCTGTCTCAGCCTCCTGAGTAGCTGGGATTACAGGCTTACGCCACCAAGCCCAGCTAATTTTTGTATTTTTAGTAGAGACAGGGGTTCACCATGTTGGTCAGGCTGGTCTCGAACTCCTGACCTGTTGATCCACCTGCCTCGGCCTCCCAAAGTGCCGGGATTACAGGCGTGAGCCACTGCACCCGGCCACCTCCTTTCTTTACGTTGGCTCTAATCCCTTGGAGATCCACTTCTGCCTCTCCAGAGAGTTTATCTCTTCAATTAACAAGGCCTCTGTGGCCGAGGCCAGGTTACACACTAGCCTTCCAAATAGGTGTTTCTTGAGCCCTGTGCCTTTTCTAGAAGAACTGAGTCTTGAGTATTTTGTGGCAGGCACTTTGGAGAGGTGGAGAAGGTATTTTAGGTCAGGTCAAGTTTCGGGGAAAATCTATCTCGTGGACCTCATAAACATGATTGTTTTCAGGAAGTCTGGGAGGGAAATGGTTAATTGTTTATCATAGAGCAAGGACTGAAGACCTCCTGTCAGCGGAATGTGTGTTTGGCTGTGGCCTCTTCCAGTAATTGCTCTGCTGGGAAAGTCATTGGCCAAGGATGCTCGATTTTGTAGAGAGCCTGTTTCCTTTGCCAGACAAAGCCTGACTCTCATAATGACTGGCCATACTGGAAAGGATAACTTAGTTGATTAGCCAAACAATGACTTGAACCACAGCGTCAAATGAAGGCTTTCCTAACGGAATCTCTTTTCCTTACATCTTTCTCAGAAAAAAAAGAAGAGACCATTCCTGTGATCATTTCCCCCCTCAAGACCATATCAGCTTCTCTGGGTAAGGCCCACAAGGACCATGCATTCCACGCACCTGTGGGGGTGCCTGGTATCCCAATGCAGGGGGCTTGGGACCCTTGCGTCTGCTGATCATACCTGCTCCTTGGGTGCAATGTGCCTGGGTGGAGACCTTAGAACTCCAGTGTGTGAGGCTGGAATAACAAGTGTGAGGAAATATTTCCCTTTGGCCAGTTTGGTTAGAAATGGCATAATCTGAAAACAGGTATACTTTGCTTCATGCAAAGCCTACCTATAAAAATCTGAATGTGAAAATCTGAACGTTCTGGCAGCAGTTATCAACTGCATGAGAAGATGAACAGCATGAACCCCAGGCAGAGCCAGCACCCTCAGTGTATTTAAAATAATTCACATCACCAAAACTTGGCTGGCGCTCTGCCTCTCTCTAAGACTCCATTTGTAAAGTGGGCTCAGCTGTGGTCAGTTTCTTGTTGCCAGAAGAGCTGGTAAGCTGGTTGAATGGTGCCATGAAAATGACCAATGGGGCTTTCTGCTTTTCACTCCATGTGGTACAGTCCATCCTGGCCAGCACAGGTCCACACTAGTGGCCAGTGAGGGTACGTAAGTGTACTGTACTAACAACCAACTGATGCTAGTGGTGGGGCGGAATTGATGTTTATTGAGGATCCACTATGTCCAATGGGATCCCATTCAATCTCAACATAGACCCTGTAGGTTTTATTCTCTCAATTTTCCAAAAGGAAAAAGCCACCCAGGGCATCACGTTGGCTCAGTGGAGGCCAAAAGGCCATGCTCAGAGTCAGGCTGGAGTTCAGATTCAGGTCTGTGTGCCTATAAAACCTGCATCCTTTTATGTGTTTGTTTCTGGGTAGTGTTTTTGTAGGTCTGTTACTCATTTATGAAACCCTGGCTGCACAGTCTTTTAAAAAACAATTTATTTGCTTTTTCCTTTTGTTTAGTGCTGGTTTAAATTTTAAATTTGAATTGGAGGCCATAGAGGAGGAGGGCTTTTGTGCAGTTGCTGGGACTGCTGGCTGGCACTTGGGTTGCCACTGCCACAGTGCAGTCCCCATGGCTGCAGCTCTAGGAACAACCACCTGGAAATCTGGGGCAATGGGCACATGGGTGATACCTACTGGAGCCCCAGTGTTCTGGCTCCCTGGGGCTTCCCAGCCAAGTTCCAGGCCCAGTTCCCAATCAGTTGCTTTGGATGCACTGGAATGGGTGGTGGGGCCACGTGACACTGATTAGTAGGTTGTTACGGCTGAGGAAGATCTTTAAGGTCATAGGAGTGGCATAGGATGGAGAACGGCTGGCATTCTCAACCCGTGGTGGGGCCAGGTGCATTAAAAGACACACCACAGGGAGCCATATCACCCACGAGGAAAAAACAAGTGAGAAGGTTTTCTTCTTCTTTTCCTTCTACTCTTCTTTGTGAATGAAAAAAAAAATAATTTCCTATGATTGAGGCAGGGGGACCCAGTACATCACACTGCACAACTGCAGAGGGCACCATCTATAGAAAACACAGAGTTTTTGGCTGGGCGTGGTGGCTCATGGCTGTAATCCCAGCACTTTGGGAGGCCGAGGCAGGTGGATCACGAGGTTAGGAGATCGAGACCATCCTGGCTAACACGGTGAAACCCCATCTCTACTAAAAAATACAAAAAAAATTAGCCGGGCGTGGTGGCGGGTGCCCGGGTCCCAGCTCCTCGGGGCGCCGAGGCAGGAGAATGGCGTGAACCGGGGAGGCGGAGCTTGCAGTGAGCCGAGATCGCCCCACCGCACTCCAGCCTGGGCGACAGAGCGAGACTCCATCTCAAAAACAAAACAAAACAAAACAAAAAAAACACGAGTTTTTAAAGAAGGGTTGATCCCCAGTCAGAGTCATCTGGGAATGGAGAGTTCCCAGGAGAAACATTAGAGCCAAGACCAGCCTCAGGCAAAGAGAAAGAATCCACACATTGATCTGGATTTTCTGAGGTAACTGAAGTGAGGGGCAGAGGAAGTCGGCTTGAATTTAGCATGTCCCGTGGGAGCGCAGGGGCCCTGGTGAAGCCATTTAACTTCAGGTGCCTCTTGGTTTTTGCCTGCCATGAAGACCAGTTGTAGGAACCAGAGGTACTTCGTAAACAGTAAAGCTCTGTGTGAACAGAATCATTTGAGAAAACTAAATTTTCTACCAAGGAAAGAATTGGGTGGTGAGGGGTGTTTGAGAAGCCGAGGAGGGACTCAGGGCTCAGGTTTGCTGGTGGGTGGGAGGTGCTGGTTCTGCAGTTGACGTGCTGTGCCTTGCCATCCACAGGGTCAAGACTGACAATCCCGTGTAAGGTGTTTCTGGGAACCGGCACACCCTTAACCACCATGCTGTGGTGGACGGCCAATGACACCCACATAGAGAGCGCCTACCCGGGAGGCCGCGTGACCGAGGGGCCACGCCAGTAAGTGGGCCAGGGTCTTCTGTTGAGAACTCTGTGGGTTTCGCTCTTCCTTTTGGAGACAGTTATCACTATGACCCACATACCACATTAAAAGTTACTTTTTTTGATTCCAAACTGTTGGATGTTTAGAATTTAAAAAATTGTATTTTGCTAAAAATTATCTTGAGAATCAAACTTTCTCTGTAAATACTTAAAAGTTGAGTTGCAGTTGACATGTTGGTATTGATGTTGCATTTTGTAGCTGTTTCATTAAACATTGATCCTTTTATTTTCGCAAGTTAAAAAATATTTTGGAGTTCATATCTTTCCATTTTCCACTCTGCAACCTGACTATCAAACATTTTCATAAACCCTTAAAAAGACCCTGAGACCTAGCCACAGTATCTATAGTACCTCTTCTGTTTCTCAGGGAGCTGTGGGCTGCCACAATCTCTAAGGGAGGTTAATAATTAAAAAAAAGAAAGAATTCAGTTCTCATAAGCAGTCATCTCTAGAAAATGTTTTCTTACTCTGAGACTCGAACAATCAGACCTTTTGTAAGTGGGAACTTGTTGCCTGTGAGGGAGACCATTCAACATTCCAAATTGTAACTCTTTTTAAAATTACAGTTTTGATACTTTGAATTAGCCTGAGCTTTTGCTTGCCAAATGGTTGTGTTTTTTGAAAGACTTATCACAAAAGATCTTTCTGGATGTAATTTAGTGGATAAAAACTATGTGTGGGTAGCACAATCATGTGCTTGCAAGTTCTCATTGCAAAAGACCTGGCCACAACTAAATGCCCATCTCAGCTTACTCATATGATCCACTTACTTAAAGGAACCTATATTCCCCCTACAAATAGAACAAAAATATTCCTAGTGGATCCACTCATCTGTGTTTTTATTCACACTAACAGTTAGTAGTGAGGTGTCTACAGATTCCTCTAACACTATAAATGGCAGCTATCCTGGCCACAGCCATTCCCCTGGGCTGTCTGCAGGTTTCCAGAGTGAGAGTCAGCAGTAGAGATGAGAAGAGACGGCACCACTGAGGGCTGGAGTCCTGGAAACTCCCTGCCCTTCAATATACAAGTGATTTAATGGTGAGGGACTCAAGTTTCCTCAAACTAGACGTTTCTGTTCCCATGACTGTTTTTTTTTGTTGTTGTTGTTCATTAAGAGACTTAAAAGATGAACTTCCCCATTATCTAACCCTGTAGTGTAACAACTGTTTGATGCCAGTGACCGCCAACTTCAGTGACACTAAGGCCTTCAGGGACAGGCTTAGAAACTGTCCCAAATGAATCACAAGTATGGTGGCAAGAGCTCCTAACTTTATGAAACTTGAAAACAATAAAAGCGCAATGGGTACTTCTAAAGGAGAGTGTTTAGATGTCTACATTGTGAAAGACAAGCTTGCATTCGATACAATCATAATTAAGTGAATGTTTTTTTAACTCAGGGAATATTCAGAAAATAATGAGAACTACATTGAAGTGCCATTGATTTTTGATCCTGTCACAAGAGAGGATTTGCACATGGATTTTAAATGTGTTGTCCATAATACCCTGAGTTTTCAGACACTACGCACCACAGTCAAGGAAGGTATGTATGTATTTTGGGGAGCACTATAGGAGAATATAACATGTTGAATGTTCCATGGATACTAGACAAATCTACTTGTTCTCCAAATGATTCCATAGAAATTCCCTTGCATTGTCTGCTAGTGGAGAGCTGAAAAGAAACCTCCCATTTTTAAAGAGTTTTGGTAGGGTGGAGGCTGGACTTTGGGAGATTATACTCAAATGAAAAATTTAAATAGCAAGCTGATTTTTGGAAAATGGATGAAATGGTTCTACAGTAAACTTCGAAATACTCTGTCTGCATGTGGCTCTGCCTTGGGTCACTAATCAGCTGTCTTCGCATGGCCTCTAGAAGAGGGTGGATTGTTCTTTATCCTGAAGATGAGAAACTTCATCCTCTAAGAGCTGGGGATTGGGAGCTACCCAGGGTTCAGGGCAGCTTTAGGGTCAAAGTCATTATATGACCGGAAATAGGTACAAGGCTACAGCCAAATCAACCCAGTGTTCATTTAAGGACATTTAAAAAGAAGAAGAGGAAAACCCACATTATCATTTTTGATTAAATTGATTTCATATCAATGTTTAATTGTTGAGCAGGAGGGAGAGCTGCCTTGAATGTAGTCTCTGTTGACAGCCTGTAGCTAATGGCAGGCAAGCCAAAGTGATTCCCAGCATCTCAGTGATGGCTCGTGGACAATCTTACAGCAATAACATAAATACAAATTGCTCCAGGTCTCCATGTTTTGCTGGGGAGGCAGCCACAAACACAGTGTAAACTGGAAAGCCAATGATGTGTTCCAGCCTCAGGACAGGGAATGGCACCCAACTTTCCTCCAACTGTGCGCTGTGCACCACCAGCCTCACACTCACCTGAGCCACTGGTCACAAACACAGATCTCAGGACTTACTCCAGATCCACCCTGTCAAATATTCCTAGGGAGAGGCTGCAGCCTGTGACACAAAAAGCTCCTTTCACAGTGAAGTTTGAGAATGAGGGCACACATGTGAAGGGTGGCGTTTCAGATCATTTCCAGATGAGCAGGCTGGGAGAGATGGTGGTTGTACACATTTACCCACAAAAATCAGAATGTTCCCTCTCGGGGTCAGATTAGTGAGCCCAAGGAACCTGTGGTTTGTCTGGCCCTGATGCTGGGAACCTTTAAAATTTTCCATAACATGAGCCTTGTCCCTGCATGTGGCTGGCCGTGACTGATCCAGGGAACACAGGCTGTAAGTCTTTCACCAGGACTGAGAGGTGTATTCAAACAGCTGCCCAGAATATTACAGCTGAACTTATTTCTAATCTTTGTGGGGTTTTAAAATGTGAGAATCCTCTGGAGCAACAGGCTGAGGTCATGTCGATTCCTGGATGACTAAACAGACTGTGATAGATAATAGCTTAAAAATGCAGGATTCTAGTCTCATCAACAATGTGTCTGATAACACTCTGTTCTCACATTTGCTTTTTAACTTTTTATTCAGAGTCTCTTCCTGTATTTCCATAACACAGAGACGCCAAGGAGCAGAACATAAAATAGCTGGACCCAAGCAATCGTGTTGGCCCCTGCAGCTCCATTATTCAAAATTTATTTTCCTTTGCTACTTCCTTTGATCCTCATGACACCCATGCTCATTAGAAAAGGGCAGATTGTTCCTGGCTCTGTCACAGTTGGCCAACTGTGACATAAACAGACAGCATCTTAAACGCACAGTGTCCCACTGTTGGAACAAAGTTAAACCCTCAGCACTTGCCCACTTACCCTACGATGTTTCTAACAGATTTTGCCCTATCACGCTCGTTTCTCTAATGCCACAGACATCACTCTCAAATATCCTCCATGTTGGTGTGAGGGATGTGCTTTCTGAAAATCAATGCACATTTATCAAGAAAAACAAACTCCAATTTCTTTCTTATCTTGTACACCTGCATTGCCCTGTCCTCTTGTACAGTGAGAGACTGTTCAGCTCCTGATGTGACTCTGTTCTTCCCACAGCCTCCTCCACGTTCTCCTGGGGCATTGTGCTGGCCCCACTTTCACTGGCCTTCTTGGTTTTGGGGGGAATATGGATGCACAGACGGTGCAAACACAGAACTGGAAAAGCAGATGGTCTGACTGTGCTATGGCCTCATCATCAAGACTTTCAATCCTATCCCAAGTGAAATAAATGGAATGAAATAATTCAAACACAAACTCCGTACGTCTTCTCTTATGGAAGTGGCTGTGTCTTTTTGAGGGACTCTGTTCTTTGCCTCAGTTGTCTACCAAAGGTGCCACATTTATAGTGGCTTTGTAGTAAAGGACTAAAGTCTTACATTCTGTTTTTTTTTTCCCTAAAAATCAGTGACAACAGTAGATGTGCCTGTGAGTGGGTGTGAGTAGCTGTCTGCTACTTGTGACCTATTTAACAGAATGAGGTGCTCTTAGGCCTGCATGAGAGTGGAAAACATCTACATGAGTTTTGACATTCATTCAACAAAAACATATTATGAGTCTATTTTGACTAGACTCTATGGGAGATGTTGTACATACAGTGATGGTTAAGACATAGTTTGCCTTTCAGGAAGCTGGTTGTTCATTTTGAGACTGAAAAGAATAATTTAGTGCTAAAGCAGAAGAATCAGCAAGAATTGGTGAACTTTTTTGGAAAGGGCTATCCAAAAAATAGCAATTAAAAATACACACATTGGAATGTATTAGTGAACTGAGAATTAGACCCAACTTCATAACAACATGTCTGAAAATAGAAGGAAGGGCATTAAAAGAATTGTAGACAAACTGAATAAAATGTACCCAGAGCCTCTTTCATATCATATACCAAAAATAAAATCCAGATAGATAAATGAGTTCAATTAAAAAAAAAAAAACTCCAATGGCAGGAAAATCAGCACGGCTGGTGACTCCACCTTTCAGGTCTCTGTTCAAATGTGACCTTCCCAGAGGGAAGGTCCCCAGAGAGGACCTTCCTTCCTCTCTGTCCCCTCACCCTGCTTTGTACCATTGTAGCTTTTATCACCACCAGACCTTCCAGTATAGATTTGCTTGTTGATTTTCAATTTATGTTTCCCACCCAAATGGAAGACCCATGAGGTCAGAGAGATTATTTTGGTCCCAGCTGTATTTCCAGTACCTCAAAGCAGGCATTTAATGAATATTTGCAGAATAAATGAAGATGGGATGAACTCTCTCTTGTTCATTACCAAAAGACTTGCAAGAGTAAAGGTGAGTAGGCTTAATTACATTATAATTTCTGCACAACAAAATAACAAAAGCAAGGTTTAGACAAAATTGTGTCAGACAAGTTCAAGGAATGAGTAACTATCATGTGTAGAGTTATTCAAAGTCATAGAAAAGGCATGTGTCTTAGTCTTTTTGGGCTGCTACAACAAAATACCATAACTAGGGTGGCTTGTAAACAACAGAAATTTATTTCTCACAGTTTTGGAGGTTGAGAAGTCCAAGATCAAGGTGCGAGCAGATTTGGTGTCTGGTGAGGGCCCACTTCCTGGCTAATAGACGGCAGCCCTCCTGACTTAATCACCTCCCAAGGGCCACAACTCCTAATACCATTGTATTGGAGGTTAGGGTTTCAACATATGAATTTTGGGAGGACACAAACATTCAGTTTATAGTAGCATCATCACCCTACAGATGAAAAAATGTGAGTAGGGGATTGCAGAAGAGACACACATAAAGGAACTCATGGAAAAATGACACTTTCAGTAAGAACCAGGGGATGTAAATTAGAGCAAATTTGAGATACCAGTGCACTCACACACTATCAAGTGTTTAAAAGTTTTTATGAAACACTCTCACACTTTAATTCAATTTATAATTTGGTGCTGGGAAGAAGAAAGGCAACATGAGCCAAGTCAGTTGGGTGCTGGACCAGCTTGCATCTTCTTGCAAGAGCCCAGGATGTGCCTCTCTTCTTGGCTCTGTTCAGTGATGTCATGTTGGTAGCTTAAAATCTGTGGCCATTGTGGAGTCTTTACACCACAGAAATTGGCAGTTGCCACAAATCAGCACTCTCTTCCCCAGTACATAACAACAAGGTTTGAGAGATGCCCAGTGATACTACTCCTGGGAATTTAGCTTAGGAAATAATTTAATAAAATAAAATCATTAGAGATATAAAATAATTTAATAAAACTTATTACCCCAATGATGAAAAATTATGCAGCAATTATCAATTATAATGATCAATACTATAATGACCAAATTATCAAAATTGTAAGACTTAAATGTTTACAGTGTTAAGGAAATATTATACATTGTTTTGTACAATTTTTATGGTTACAATATTGACATTTGTTTGCATCTAGACAAGGAGAAAACTTAAAAACTTGGACTTTGAAGGCAGACTTTGTGAGTTCAAGTTCAAGCACTGCCACATGGTGCCTCTGTGATCTTGGGCAAATCCTTTAATCTCAAAGTACATCAATTTTCTCATCTGAAAAATGGGGATAATCACTTAGTCCAAATTAACTTAGCTATTTAGCTATATTTTATATTTCCATTTTTCCTATTTTTCTATTTCAACTATAGTAACTGTTTAATAATCAAAAACATAGGAGGAATAGACAGAAATAAAAATTGTTGTACTTGGACTACGTGTTGACAAACCACAGCCTGTGGGCCAAATGCAGCCTGCCCTCTGTTTCTGTGGATTAAGAGTATTAGGAAACAGCCTTGCCTGTTTGTTTGCAGACTGTCTTTGGCCACTTTTGCTCTTTGAAGATAGAGTTGAGTAGTTGAGATGGCAAAACCTAGAATATTTACTATTTGGTCGTTTACAGGAAAAGTTTGCCAATGCCTGGTTTAGGTGAAGGCGGTTTTGAGCAGTTAACTTTTGACCCTCGCTTTTCTATTTTCCTGTTATCATCTCCTCTTTCCTTCTTCTGTTTTCTAAGCATTCAGGGAGGGAGAAGTACGGAGGGGCCGGCAGAGGCCTTTGAACACCTTATTAGATTTTAACCGGAAAGGAGAGGAGAGTGAGGTTTGAGAAGGAGGATTCGGTGAGGACGTTGCACAGGGTTCTTTGACTGCTTCTGCCTTTTCTTTATCTTCAGGCTTGGGGCCACGCGCTTGCATCTCTCTTCCTTCCTCGAACTTCTCCAGTGCTCTCTGGAGTCCCCCGCTTTAGATTCTGGCTGTTTCAGCAATGACCCAGAAAAGGAGCTGACTGCAGCCGGAGGAGAACCACCATCGGCTTTCAGACTCTGCCTTGACCTCACAGGTTACGCATTTCCTCCCCTCCACTATTTCAGAAGTGTGGGGTCACACAGGTAGAAAAGATGCGAGACAATCGGGGAATTTTGAGTGCTGGATTTATGCTAATATTAAGGAATAAGTGTGATATTTGCATTGCTGCATTCAAAAAAGGTTATTATCTAAGAGGCAAACTAAATATTTATTTATTTATTTATTTATTTATTTTTTTGAGATGGAGTCTTGCTCTGTCGTCCAGGCTGGAGTGCAGTGGCGCGATCTCAGCTCGCCGCAAGCTCCGCCTCCCGGGTTCACGCCATTCTCCTGCCTCAGCCTCCCGAGTAGCTGGGACTACAGGCGCCCGCCACCGTGCCTGGCTAATTTTTTTTGTATTTTTAGTAGAGACGGGGTTTCACCGTGGTCTCGATCTCCTGACCTCGTGATCCACCAGCCTCGGCCTCCCAAAGTGCTGGGATTACAGGCGTGAGCCACCGAGCCTGGCTGAGGCAGACTAAATTTTTTATGGGTGATGTGTGAGATTTGCTTCGAAGTTATCCAGTGGTGGATGGGAGAATACATGAAATAAGATTGGCCAAATGTTGATAACTGTTGGCCTTGGTGATGACTGCACCCTGCTTCCTTATATCATTCTTTCTACTTTTGTATATGTTTGAAAACTTCCATAATAAAGAGTAAAATACAATCCAGCAAAAACTCAATACCCGCTAGACAAGAGAATGTGTAGCTCTTACAAGTAATAAAATGCACTACAGTAAAAAACAACATGGAACAATATGGATGAATCTTAGATATATATTATTGAATGAGTCCCAGAAACATTTCTTAGAATGATGTCCTTTTACATAAAGTGAAAACAACTAAAGTTAATATGCTCTCTCTCGAATATGTGAAAGCATCTTCATATATATTCACACACACGGTTAAAATGTAGTTTTTGTCATATATATGCTCTTAAATATAGATGTGTGTGTGTGTGTGTGTGTTTGTTTGGATAGTGATTACATCAGGGTTGGGATGGATTAGGAAAACATAAACTTCATTAAGTTCTAGATCTCATGTTAGGTAGTAGACTGTGATTGTTTACTTTATTATTAAACAAACAGATTAAAAAAAAACACAAGCTATTCAGGGACCAATATAGAATCTGTGTCTTGAACCAAGGATTATGACTAACCTAATTCTGTGTCCCTAAGTCCAATTTGAACACACAAACAGATGGACAAGTGAAACAATGTGGTTTCTTTTCTTAAAGTGGCCTATCTCCTCTATTTTTTGTTGATTCTGTTGTTTTAACTTTCTGAAGGTGAATTTTTTCACCCCCAACCCTACAAAGGCTGGGGAGAGGGGGTGATAAATAGTTTTTGGAAACCTCACACTTCCATGCACTGCCCACAGGAAAAACCCACGTCTTATGTAATAAATGCCACTTCTGCAAGAACTAAGGATGAGAGCAGACATCAACAACAGAAGCCAAGAATAATTTATGAGCTAAAAAACAAATGTGATCTCTCAAGTATTTTGAATGCTATGGGAATATATAGGGACTCTTTCACAGAAAGGGTGGGATGTTTGTTTCTTGTAAGTTCCTCAAGGCAGGAGCCTTCTCGTTCCTTGATGCACCCCAGCACCGGGCACGGTGTCTTGCTGCGGCACAGGCATTTAAGAAGTGTCTGCAGAATGGATACAGCGTGTGTCACTTGGACTTTTCCAGCCTGTGTGAGCAAATGGGTCTTATCAGTGGGACTCAGCTAAGTTTCTCTGCTCCTGTCTCTACACTCAACTCTCATTGGTTTTTTCCATGATGTCCTGCCAATAGTTCACTTGGACACACAAAGGTGCTTTGTGTTTTGTGGTTGCTTTCCTGTTCTTGCGGTCCTCACCCATTGGCATCTCTGCCCATGCCACCCATCAGGGCTACTCGTTACTGCTACTGGGCTCCAAGAAGGCATTGCCACCAGTGGAGAAGCCATCCAGACGCCACCTGGGCTGTAGCCTCTGCCAGCTTCCGTGCTGGAGCCAGCTTGTGCACTCCTGAAAGCTCCTCCTTTCTTGGCTCATGGGTTCAGCCAGTCCTCAAAGCAGGGGTGGTGGGCTAGAAAGCTCCCTCCCACAGGGCTCAGGCACCAGCACATTCTCCTCCTCCTTGGCATGCCTGCAAAACCCACTTCCTCATTCTTCAGAAAAGCAAAGCAAAACAAAACCTCCTACAAAGGAACTCCCAGAACCCACTGCCCAGTGGTTTTTCAGAAACTGCCCAGACAGCTACCAGACCCCTGGTGGAGGCCGAGCTTCAGGGGCCAGGAACTACTACTCAGCCAGCTTCCAGGACAAGGGGAGAGAAAGCTTTAGATAAAAAAGAGTGGGAGAAATAAAGCAAGAATGAAGGAGGAGAAACCAACATCTAAATGTCTACATTGTGCAAGATTTTACATGTTTTGCTCAATTGAATCCTCAAAAAAAAAAAAAAAAAAATCCACCAGGCAAAGATTATAATTCACATTTTAGAGGTAAGGAAACTGAAGCTCACCTAATTTAAAAATTACCTCCTAGAGAGTGTGGTTTAGATGTGCAGCAGCAATGGGCTTCTTAATACCGAATCCCAGGATTCGACAGCTGAGAAACAGCTGGCCCATGCAGGGGCTGGTTTGAGTCAAGGTTACAGTCAGGAGCAGAGCAAATATTTGCTTTTCTAGGGGAAGACTAGCTACCACAAAGAGTTCATCTCCCGAAACCGGTAGAAGGTACATCTGGAATCTGGGGGACCAGGGGGACTGTAATAAGGATTCCTTCACAGGGAAGGAAGAATCAGAAGTAGGAACCGAGTGTCCTCTCCTACAGTATTTCCCAGCTTTTTGTTCTCTTAGCCTGTGGCCTGTGACCAATCAAGGCGTCACTGTCCTACTGGATGGAGGTGAGGCGTCCAGCGTGCAGTCCTGCCGCTGGGTCTGAGGCTACTCTCTCAGGAAATAAGAGTGTGAGTCCCTGGATCCTTCTGAGCCCACTGCAGGGACAATGTGGATTTAGCCCCCAGAAAGCACAGAAACAGCTAAGAACAGTCTGTGAATTAAATTAGTCTCAAAGCCATACTATACCTCAGGCTGACTGTTCACCTTGTTATATTTCCCACCCCAAATTGCTGTTTTCAAATATAGGCTTTATTATTCAGGTTTGGTGAGGCCAACAGATCAGGAGACAATAGCCATTGAAAATACAGTGGTATCCCCCAGATCCCAGCAGGAGGGGCACACCACACCATGGCGGTTGGGAGGGTGCCCAGAGAAGCACTAGGGCCGATCAGGAGGCTGAGGGAGTGAGGGGAAGGTGTGGGCGAGAGCTCTTCCGATGGTTTCTGTGGGAAGGAGTGGGTGAGGCAGGGTAGGCAGGCTTAGGATTGGCTGGTTTGAATGGTTTCCTTGGGCTCTTGGTGCATGGGCTGTCCCTCACTGGGTGTGGATAGTGACCCTGAGGGTGAGAGTTCCATAAAAGAGGTGGTTGGGGTGTGGCTCTGGATTGGTCGATTTGCATTTGAAAAGCATGTTGCAGAAGTAGGCAAGTTGTTTACTATCTCTAGGAATTGGCTAAACCAGGGAAAGGCCCAGGTATCAAAGCA